>NC_000023.11:98712542-99337542 GCF_000001405.40 Homo sapiens
GTGTTGGCGAGGTTCTTTTTGTGTTGAAGCTTTGGGATCCACTAGGTGGCACTTAGGCTTAGTGTTCAGTTGGTAGGCTCTTGCTCAGTGATATGGTTTGGCTGTGCCCCCACCCAAATCTCATCTTGAGTTCCCATGTGTTCTGGGAACTCAAGAACTTCCATGTGTTGTGAGAACTGCCAGGCTGAGGTGGTTTCAGATGGCGATGAGGAACCTGTTGGGAACAGGAGCAAAGGTGACTCTTGTTATGTTTTAGCAAAGAGATCGGCAGCATTTTGTCCCTGCCCTAGAAATTTGTGGAGCTTTTAACTTGAGAGAGATGATTTAAGGTATCTGGTGGGAGAAATTTCTAGGCAGCAAAGCATTCAAGAGGTAACTTGGGTGCTGTAAATGGCATTCAATTTTAAAAGGGAAACACAGCATTAAATTTCAGAAAATTTACAGCCTGACAATGTGATAGAAAAGAAAATTCCCATTTTCTGAAAAGAAATTCAAGCTGGCTTTAGAAATTTGCATAAGTAAGGAGGAACCAACTGTTAATCACCAAGACAATGGGGAAAATGTTTTCAGGGCATGTCAGAGACCTTTGCAGCAGCCCTTCCCATCACAAGTCTGGAGGCCTAGGAGGAAAAAATGGTTTCATGGACTGGGCCCAGGGCCCCCCTGCTCTGTGCAATCTAGGGACTTGGTGCTCAGAATCCTGGAGACTCCAGCCATGGCTAAAATGGACCAAGGTACAGCTAGGGCTGTTGTTTCAGAGGGTGCAAGCCCTAAGCCTTGGCTGCTTCCACGTGGTGTTGAGCCTGCAAGTGCACAGAAGTCAAGAATTGGGGTTTGGGAACCTCCACCCGGATTTCAGAGGATGTATGGAAATTCCTGGATGTCCAGAAAAATGTTTGCTTCAGGGGATGGAGAACCTTCTGCTGGGGAAGTCCAGGAGGAAAATGTGGGTTGGAAGCCCCCACACAGAGTCCCTACTGGGGCACTGCCTAGTGGAGCTGTGAGAAGAGGGCCACCATCCTCCAGATCCCAGAATGGTAGATCCACTGACAGCTTGTATCGTGTGCCTGGAAAAGCTGCAGACACTCAATGCCAGCAAGTGAGAGTAGCTGGGAGGGAGGCTGTACCCTGCAGTCTCACAGGGGTAGAGCTGCCCAAGACCATAGGAACACACATCTTGCATCAGCATGACCTGGATGTGAGATATGGAGTCAAGGGAGATCATTTTGGAGCTTTAAGATCTGACTGCCCCACTAGATTTTGGATTTGCTTGGGGCCTGTAGCCCTTTTGTTTTGTCCAATTTTTCCCATTTGGAATGGTTGTATTTACCCAATGCCCATACCCTCATTGTATCTAGGAAGTAACTAACTTGCTTGTGATTTTACAAGCTCATAGGTGAAAGGGACTTGCCTTGTCTCAAATGAGATGTTGGACTGTGGACTTTTGAGTTAATGCAGAAATGAGCTAAGACTTTGGGGGACTGTTGGGAAGGCATGATTTGTTTTGAAATGTGAGGACATAAGATTTGGGAGAGGCCGGGGGTGGAATGATATGGCTTGGCTGTGTCCCCACCAAACTCTCATGTTGAGTTCCCACATGTTGTGGGAGGGATCTGCTGGGAGGTAATTGAATCATGGGGGCAGGTCTTTCCCATGCTGTTTTCACAATAATGAATAAGTTTCATGAGAGCTTATGGTTTTATAAGGGGTAGCATCCCTGCACAAGCTCTCTTTTTGCCTGCTGCCATCCCTGTAAGATGTGACTTGCTCCTCCTTGCCTTCTGCCATGATTGTGAGGCCTCCCCAGCCACATGGAACTGTGGGTCCATTAAGCCTAATTTTCTTCCCAGTCTTGGGTATTTCTTTATCAGCAGTGTAAGAACAGACTAATGCACTCAGTCATGTGGCTTTCCTATATTTCCTCACAGTTGCACCTGTGCTCCTCTCAATGCTTTGAAAATGTGTACTTCTCTCTTATTTAAGTGCTGGCTGTAGTTTGTGGTGTGGCATTCCCAGGCTGCCCACGGCTACTCTGGGGCAATCTCAGGGTTTATGTTTCCTCTCCAGTTTGGAGGCAGAAAAGGAAGGGACCTTAGTAGTGGTTGCAGCCAAGGGTCTTTTGCTTTTCTCCTGGGGACTGCACTCCAGAGAGGTGTAGGAGAGCAATTGCTCAGTGCAGTCAGACCAGGATGGAGAATCTATGCTGTGGGCCTAAGCCAGGGGTTCTCTGCCTGGTAACTAGCTGTGGTGGTTGGGGGATGGGTCAGACCAGTGGGAGATGCACTGGTCTCCTCTCCTTGTGTAAAATGCAGCTTGTTGGAGGTGAGGATAAGGCACTTACAGTCTTTGCTCTTTCGTTAATCTGAGGGTAGCAAGGGCAGCTTCACTGCAGAGGCAGTGGCAAAGAGGCTTTTAGTTGTCACTGGAGCTCCACCTCTGAGGAACATGGAGCTGCTGCTACTGGGAGTGTTAAGCTAGTGGGGTGGGGTGGCTGTACTACTGGCGTGAGCTTGGGGTTCCACTTGTTGGGGAGCAGGGGGTCAAAGTGTCACAGGAAGGAGAGATTGATCGTCTCTCTGTATGATGGCTGTGGCATGCTGTAAGCTTGGATGTACCCTTCAGGCCCTTTGTTTCTTTCCCAGACCAAAGATGACAGGAATAGAACTGTTGCTGTAGCAATGGCAGAGGGGCTGTCCTGTGCCTCTTTGAGCCTCTCCCTAAGGGAACTCTGGGTCACTAACAGTGGGTATGCTCAGCTGTGGGTGGGGTGACTTTTGTACATTCATGAGCCAGGGGCCTGTCTGGTGAAGGGGAGGGGTGGGAGTTTGCAGAGAAGAGGGCCTGGGCTTCTGTCTGTATGGTGGATGCAGTGCGCTGAAGGTGCTGGCGTAGTGACTAGGCCCTTTGCTCCTTCCCCAGCCTGATGACTTTTAGGACTGCACCACTGTAACTGTAGTGGCAGAAGGTAGAGGGGTTGTGGGTTGACTCTGAGATTTCCTCCTTGGAGAAATGCTGCACTGCTTCTGATTGTGGTGATCTGGCAAGGGTAGTGTGGTTGTGGTAGAGTCACAGTTCAGGTGGCTCTGCCCAGTGAGAAGTGAGGACCAGCATCTGTGTAGAGAACAGTTTGGCCACTTTCTTTTAGGTGGTTGCTCTGTGCTGGTGGTCTGGACCAGTCTCTGGTCCCCACAGACTCTGCCAAGCCACTTCCCTAGGTGGGGAGGTTCCTCTGGCTCTGTGTTACTCCTAGGTGCACCATCATTCTGCCTTGCTTTCTCCATTCTTCGTTCATCATTTTTTTTCCTTGATTAGTCCCAATGCATGTACCTGGATGTTTTAGTTGAAGGTGATGTATTTACTTGCCCCTTCTGTTCCTCTCTGATATAGTTTGGATCTTTGTCCTCACACAAATCTCATGTTCAATTGTAATCCCCAGTTTTGGAGGTGGGACCTTGTGGGGGCTGACTGGATCATGAGAGCAGTTTCTTATGGTTTGACACCATCCCCCTTTGGTGCTGTCATCAAAATAGTGAGTTCTCATGAAATCTTGTTGTTTAAAAGTGTGTGGCACCTCCCCCATTCTGCCTTCTGCTCCTGCCATGTAAGACACCTTGCTCCACCTTTGCCTTCTGCCATGAGTAAAAGCTCCCTGAGGTCTCCCCAGAAGTAGATGCTGCCATGCTTCTTGTACAACCTGTGGAATGATTAATCACTTAAACCTCTTTCTTTATGAATTAACCAGTCTCAGGTATTTCTTTATAGCAGTGCGAGAGTTTAATAATACACTCTCTGTGACAGCGGCAGACACTAGCTGCTTCTAGTCAGCCATCTTGGCCACCCCCCAAGTTTTCCATTTTTCAATGTTAGCATTTTTAACACTATTGGTAGAGTTTTTTTGACATTCTCTTATAGTCTGATGTTTTGAGGCATTTTTTCATTTAAAGTCTGAATCTCTTCTGTAATAAGTTATCATTAATACATATCATACATAATGTGTGTGTGGGTTTTTTTTTTTTTTTGGCTTTTTCACATGCATTGTCTACTTGTAGTCCCTGGTTCTTTCAGTGTGTGAGTTTGTATCTTAACGATGTAACAAAAACAAAACACAAATATCCATAAGTATACATAATCAAGCCCAGCAACGGCTTTTGCTAATATTTTTGAGATTTTCCTCCAGACAGTGTTGTTCCAGCAATACTGACAAAAAATAGTTACAGCTATTCTGAGATTTAACCTCTATCTATCTCTATTTCATTACAAAAATGAGAGCAACAGTCTATGACTAACTTCCTACTTTATTAAATATTTCTTACATATTTCATCGAGTTTCTGTCACTAATATATCTGAGTTGTCAAAATAAATAGATGATTTCTAAGGAAGAGTGATAATAATTATAAGCAGATGGAAAGGCAAATAATAACAACAATAATGATAATTGTTGTTATTATAAAAACATATGTAGGGTTTACTGGTTGTTAGTTATTCTTCTAAGAGCTTCTCCTATTCAATTTTTTATCACTATGAGAACTCTATTAGATAGGTGCTTGGTATGTAAAAGCTGTGAAGGAACAGCAGCCAAGACTTTTTTCCTATGTAAGGTAGGGTGTGGGGGTCAGAATTGAAAACTCCACATAAAGTCTGATCTATGAATTACTATGTTCAACTTTAATGAAAAGTTGCACTACAAGAACTCTATTTGCCTGCAAAGAGAGATAACAGGAAACACTATTAGTCTCAGCCTTCCTCTGGGATAAAAAATATAGTTTTATACTGTTAATTCATAATCAGGTGTCAGGTTCACATTTATACTACATCCAAGTTCTGGGAATCCCTAAAGAGAGACTTCAATGTAAAGTAGTCTGAAATAATAATGCCCCAAGACACCTATGAGAAGCAGTTGCACATACTCTCTGGTAAGGAGTATCTTCAAGCCAGGGTTTGCAATATTCTCACAGATGAAATTAAGTTTAATATGAGCAAATAATTGAAAATTATAAAATATACAAGGAAAGATGCCTCCATAATTAAGAGTCAGCATAAATACCAATCCTCAAATTTAACACCTGAAGAAAATCAGCTATTGGAAAGATCAGATACATATAAATATGTTTAAAATGCTTAGAGAGTTCTAAAGGTGGACATCAAAATATGACACAAGGCCAGGATACAGTAAAATAAGAAAAGGTGCTGAAAGCACCACTCTAAATTACAAACTTTAAGAAGAGTAAAAATAAAATTCAAATGAAGAAGATACCAGAAAGACTGGAAGAAAAAAATATTAGTAAACGTTGATTCTCTATACCAGAGGTAAGTAAACCACGTCCCACAGACCAAATCTAGCCCACAACTTGTTTTTGTAAATTAAGTTCTATTGGGTCACAGCCATGGTCATTGTGATGGTTAATACTATATAAGCATGGCATGCTAACCAGTTGTGCCACTGGAACTCCAATGGTTAATATTATGTGTCAATTTGACAAGGCCACGGTGTGTCTAGTTATTTAGTCAAACATAATTATGGGTGTGTCTGTGAGGATGTTTCTGGATGAAATTAACATTTGAATCAAATGGTAGAATGAGTAGAGGAGATTGCTCTCCCTAATGTGGGTGGGCCTCATCTAATCATTTCAAAGCCTGAGTAGAACAAAGAGGGGGATCCTCTTCAAGTAAAAGGAAACTCCTCCTGTTTCACTGCCTTTGAACCAGGAAATTGGTTTCTTCCTAACTTACTCAAACACTGGCTTTGTTTGGGTCTCAAAACTGTCAGCTTTCAGACTAGAACTATACCATTGGCTGTTCTGAATCCTTAGTTGTTGACTACAGATCTTGAGACTTGCCAGCTTCCATAATTGTGTTAGCCTATTTTTAATATAAATACACACACGCTCATGCACACACACACATACGCATACCCCATTTTATTGGTTCTGTTTCTATGAAGAAACCTAACTAATGCACTCATTCATTCTTGTATTGTTTATGGCTGATTTTGTACTACAATAGAGCTGAGCAATTGTAACAGAGATTGCGTGGTTCACAAAACTGAAAATGTTTACTATTTGGCCCTTTTGAAAATAAGTTTTGTGACCTCTAATTTAAACTAATATGGACTGCAAAAGATGGTAATGATAAAGGTGATAAAATGACAGTGACAATAACAACAACTAATATTAAGGATATGAAAACAAGGTTAAATTAAATTGTTGGTCAACAATAATATTGAGAATGGAAGAAGTTATCAATGTATTTTAAGACCCTTCTATTGATTGAGAGAAGGGAAGAGGTATTAATTAAAATTAGAATTCATTAAATCAATGATATATATTACCATTATAAGGATAATCATGAAATAATTAGGATGCCTGATGTGAAAAAGCTAAAGGGAAAATTAAAAATAACAATTTTAAAACATTTAAACAATAAAAATGTTTAATAAAATTGGACACTTCATCTCAATTATATGGTCAGTAGAAGTTAAAGCACAATAACTGTAACTATGAATAATTTTATGTCAAAAATTCTAAAGGAATAAGACAAAATTGACTATTTTATATAAAAATATAACTTCAAAACAGGATCAACACAAACACAGAAATCCTGACTAGATTTATAATCATTAAAGAAATCATATTAGTATTTAACATTCTTTCCTAATCAACCCACTGCCACACAAGTAAATAGCCCAGACTTTCACACATTAATTCTAGCAAATATTGGAATAATACATAAATCCAAATGTTGAAAAACTTACCGAATATTACAAAAACAGAGAATTCTTCCCAACTCATTTTTTGAGGCTAGTATGTTCTTGACACTGAAACCAGATAAAGAAATTTTGAGGCAGGAGTTATTGGCTAATCTCACTTTGAATATAGATGTAAAAATTGAACAAATATAAGCAGTCAAATACAGAGCATGTATTAGAAAAAATCACAACCAAATTGTCTATCTTATTAATGCAGGGTTGATTTAACATATCAAAATCCACTTATATAATTAACCATATTAATGGATTAATGGAGAAAAACTTGTGATTACCTCATTAGATGCAGAGAAAAATCATTTGACAAAATTTGCCATGTTTAATTAGTAAATTGAATAGAGGAAAACACTGCCTTATTCTCATAAAAAGTATTGATCTAAAACTCTAGTAAATATGCTTAATAGTATGATGTTAAAAGCTTTCAATGTATAATAAAAAAAGTGAGACAAGGATTCCTGCTATCACCACTTTCCATCAACATTATAATTAACATCTCCAGCTAAGTCAGTAACATGATCAAGTATAAGAAAGGAAGAAACAAAGTGTTCATTTCCACAGTCACGAAGATTGCACACATACAAAATCCAAGAGAATTTATAAATAAATTATTAGAATTAATAAAAGTTTATAGAAAGGTCTGTGAGTATAAGATCAATATTCTGAAACCCGTTGCAATCCTAATTACTAGGAACAAATAAAGTGAAATATTTAAGCAGGATGCCTCTTAAAATGATATTAAATATTAGGTACCTAGAAATAAATTCAACAGATAATGCAAGTCATTTAAAAAAGGTAATTTGAAAACTCATTTGAAAGAGATTAAAGAAAATCTAAATGGTTGCAGAGAAACTCCATGTCCATGATTTGGAAGAATTAGTGTCATAAAGATGACAAGTTGTCTTACATTATTCTATAAATTTAATTCAATTAAATTCTAATAAAAATCTTAACAATGTTGTTTTGCAGAAATAACAAATTTATTCTAAAATTTATATAATGTATTAGCCAAGATGCTCCAGAGAAGCAGAACCAACAGAAAAGAATAATACACACACACACACATACACTCACATGTGTGTAAATATGTGTGTGTAAATATATATACACATCCACATACACACTTACACACACACACAGATTTATCATAAGAATTGACTCACATGATTATGAAGGTCAAGAAGTTCCACAACTGTCATCTTCAAGCTGGAGAACTAGAAAAACCAGTCATGTAATTCAATCCAAAATCCTGAGAACCAGGGGAGCTCATTGTGTAAGTCTCAGTTGGAGTCTGAATGCCTGGAACCAGGAGGACTGATGTCTAAGGGAAGGAGAAGATGGAGGACTGATGTGTAAGGGAAGGAGAAGGTGGATGCCTCAACTCAAACGTAAGCAAATTGGCTATTCCTCCACCTTTCTGTTCTTGTACAGTGTTCAACGAATTGGATGATACCCACTAACATTTTCCAGAAACACTCTCACAGACACATCCGGAAATAATATTCTACAAGCTATCTGAGTGTCTCTTAGCCTAGTCATGTCGACACCTAAAATTAATCAACAGTATAGAAATACAAAGTGCTAAGAATAGGTGCAACACACTTAAAGAAGAAAAAAGTGGAGGAATTTTCCTAATAGATATGAAAATACCATCAAGTTATGGTCATTACACCAGTATGATGTTGTTTCAGAGATGGGCAAATAAACTACTAGAACAAGAGAAAGCCCAGAAATATATGTGCATTAATAGAAACTTTATATAAAAACTTTTAAATAAGTTGCGGTTGGAATATGGATAGCTATATAAAAAATGTAATAAGTCCTTACATCAAATTGTACACAAAAATAATTTTAATTGATTTTAGACATAAATATAAAAAACAAAACTTTAGAACTTTTAAAATATAGAAATATACACATATATATTACTTTGCATAGAGAAATATTTCTGTAAAAAGACACAAGAAGCTCATCTTTACAACCTTACAAAATACATTGATTATTTGAACAAAATTAAACAGGCAAATAAAAAACGCTGAGCAGAATTTTAAAATCATAAACAAAGGAAAATGCAGACTAAGAGAAAATATTTGCAAACCATTTACCTGACAACAAACTAATATCTAAAATTCCAAATATAGAAATAATTACAAATAGATGAATATATAATTCACAAAAAAATAACTAAATGGTGCATAGTATATGAAACTCTACTGAACCTCACTAGTATTCGAGAAATGCAAACTAAATTCTGGGAATTTACCATTTTGCATTTACTGAAATTGAAAAATTTAAGTCTGACCATCAAGAAATTGAACTTTGAGAACATGAATGTAGATACAGTCCATCTGGAAAATAATTTGGCATAATGTGATTTTTTAAATTTATATATTTTTTATTTGCTTTAGTTTTTAATTTTTAATTTTTTTGGGTATATAGTAGGTGTATATATTTATGGGGTAAACAGGTGTTTTCATTACAGACAGAATAAAGAATTAGTGAGCTTGAAGGCAGGCTATTTGAAAATACAAAGTCAGTGGAGAAAAAAGAAAAAAGAATTCTAAAAAAATGACACATACATAGAGGATCTAGAAAATAAAAAGGGCAAATCTAAGAGTTATTTGCTTTAAAGAGAGGGTAGAGAAAGCAATAGGGTAGAATGATCATTCAAAGGGATTATAATAGAGAAATTTCAAAACCTAGAGAAAGATATCAATATCCAAGTGCAAGAAGGCTGTAGAATACCAAGCAGATTTAATCCAAAGAAGACTGCCTCAAGGCATTCAACAATCAAACTTTCAAAGCTCAAGTATAAATAAAGGATCCTAAAAGCAGCAAGAGAAAAGAAAGAAAGAACATACAATTGAGCTTGAATATGTCTGGCAGCAGACTTTCCAGTAGAAACTTTACAGGCCAGGAAAGAGTGGTATGACATATTTAAAGTGCTGAAGAAAAAAACTTTCACCCTAGGATAGTATATCTGGCAAAACTATCCTTCAAACATGAAGGACAAATAAAGACCTTCCTAGACAAACAAAAGCTGAGGGATTTCATCAATACCAGACCTGTCCTACAAGAAATGGTCAAGGAAATACAGTCAGAAAGAAAGTACATTAAGTAGCAGTAAGTAATCACCTGAAGGTACAAAACTCACTGGCAATAGTAAGTAATAAAAAAAAAATGCAGAAAAGTATAACACTGTAACTGTGGTGTGCAAACTACTCTAATCCTATGTAGAAAGACTAAACAGTGAGCCAATTAAAAATAATAACTACAACAACTTTTCAAGACATAGGGAGTTCGATAAGGTATAAATAGAAAAAACAGAAAGTTAAAAAGCAGAGAACAAAGTGAAGGCATAATGTTTTCATTAGGTTCCTTTTGGCATGTTAGTTTGTTTATGCACACAGTGTTAAGTTGTTATCAGGTTAAAATAATGGGTTGTAAGGTAGCATTTGCAAGCCTCATGGTAACTTCAAACCAAAAAATCATACAATGGATACATAAAAAACAAAAAAGCAAGTAACTAAATCAGATCATCAGAGAAAATTACCTCAGCTAGCAGAAGACAGAAAGGAAAGAAAGAAGAGAGACAATTTTAAAATTTGAAAACAAATGATAATGGCAGGAGTGAGTCCTTTCTTATAAAAAAATAATATTAAATGTTAATAGACTAAACTTTGTAATCAAGAGACATCGTCTGGGTGAATGGATGAAAAAATAAGTCCCAATGATCTGTTACCTACAAGAAACACACTTCATCTATAAAGACACACATAGACTGAAAACATAAAAAGATGGAAAAAGATATTCCATGCCAATGGATACCAAGAAAGAGCAGGAGTAGATATACTTTTATCATATAACATGAATTTCAAAACAAAATGTATAAGAAGAGACAAAAAAGCACTATATAGTAACAAAGGGGTCAATTCAGCAGGAGGATATAACAATCGTAAACATATATGCACCCAACACTGGAGCACCCAGATTTATAAAGCCAATATTAGAGTTAAGGAGACAGATAGGCACAAATACAATCATAGCTAGAGATTTCAACACCCCACTTTGAGCACTGGACTGAACTTCTAGACAGAAAATTAGCAAAGAAACATCAGATTTAATCTACACTATAGATAAAATGGATCTAGCAGATATTTACAGAATATTTCACCCAACAGCTGCAGAATACACATCCTTTTCCTCAGCACATGGATCATTCTCAAGTTTAGACCATATTTTAGGTCACAAAAGAAGTCTTAAAACATTCAAAAAAATTGAAATAATATCAAGCATCTTCTCTGACCACAATGGAATAAATTACAAATTAATAACAGGAGGAATTTTGGAAACTATACAAATACATGGAAATTAAACAATATGCTCTTGAAGAAACTAAGAAGGAAATTGAAAAATTCTTTGAAACAAATAATAAAGGAAACACAATATACCAAACCTGTGGGATGCAGTGAAAGCAGTACTAAGAGGGAAGTTTATAGCTATAAGTGCCTACATTAAAAAAGAGAAATAACTTCAAATGAACAATCTAATAATATATCTTAAAGAACTAGAAAAGCAAGAGCAAATCGAACCAAAAATTAGACAAATAAAAAGAAATAATTAAGATCAGAGAAAAAATAAAATTAAAATAAATATAAGACAATAAATCAATGAAATATAAAATTGTTTTTGAAAAGTTAAACAAAATTGACAAATTTAGCCAGACTAAGAATAAAAGTGAGTAGATCCAAATAAATAAAATCAAAAATGATACAGAAGATATTATAACAGATACTACAGAAGTTCAAAGGATCATTAGGGGCTACTAACAGCAACTACATGCCAATAAATTCGAAAATCTAAAAAAAAATAAAAAATAAACAAACTCCTAGACACATACAACTTACCAAGATTGAACCAGGAGAAAATTCAAAATCTGAACAGACCAATAACAAGTAACAAGATTGAAGCCTAATTTTCTCCCAGCAAAGGAAACCTTAGTACCTGATGGTTTGACCTCTGAATTCTACCAAACACTTAAGGAACTAGTAAAAATCCTACTTAGAGTGTTTCAATAAATAAAGAGGGAGAGAATAATTTTAAACTAATTCTACAATGCCAGTATTACCTTAATACCAAAAACCAGACAAAGACACATCAAAAAAACAAAACTACAGGCCAATATCTTGATGAATATTGAAGTAAAAATCATCAACAAAATGCTAGCAAACAGAATGCTCAAGACATTAGAAAGATCATTTGTCATGACCAAGCGGGAATTATCACTGGGATGCAAAGATGGTTCAAGATATACAAATCAAACAATGTGATACATCATATCAACACAATGAAGGATAAAATCTGCTTGATCCGTTCTGCTATTAAAGGACTCTGATGCATTCCTCAGTATGCCAATTGTATTTTTCACCTCCAGACTTTCTGCTTGATTTTTAAAAATTATTTCATTCTCTTTGTTAAAATTATGTGATAGAATTCTCAATTTCTTCTTTGTGTTATCCTGAATTTCTTTGAGTTTTCTCATCACTATTTTGAATTCCCTTTCTGAAAGGTCATATTTTTCTGTTTCTCTAGGATTGGTCCCTGGTACCTTATTTAGTTCATTATGTGAAGCCATGTTTTCCTGGAGGGGTTGATGTTAGTAGATGTTCTTTGGTTTCTGGGCATTGAAGAGTTAGGTATTTATTTATTGTAGTCTTCACTATCTGGGCTTATTTTTAGCCATCATTCTTAGGAAGGCTTTCCAGATGTTTGAAAGGAGTTGGTGTTGTAATCTAAGCTGTATGTGCTTTAGGGGGTCTCCCCAAGCCCAGTAATGCTGTAGTTCTTGCAGACTCATAGAGGTACCACCTTGATGGTCTTGGGCAAGATCTGGGACAATTCTCTGGATTACCAGAGAGAGACTTTCATTTTCTTTCCTTTCTCCCAAACATACAGAGTCTCTCACTCTCTTCTGAGCCACATAACGCTGGGGATGGAGTGACCCAAGCAACCCTGTGGATACCAACACTATGATTGCTGTAGGTTAAACCTGAAGCCAGCAGAGCACTGGGTCTCACCCAAGTCCTGCTGTAACCACTCCCTGGTGAATGCCTGTGTTGGTCAAGGCCCTAGGGCTCTACAGTCAGCAGGTGGCAAACCCAGCCAGACCCATGTCATTCCCTTCTGGGTGGTGAGGTCACCGAGGCCCTGAGTGGGTCCACAACTACCATCCAGGAGTCAGAGACTAGGGTCAAACGCCTCAGAAGTCTATCTTGTGTTCAATTTTATTATGACAGAGCTGGTATTCAAACTGCAAGATGCAGTTTTTCCCAGTCTTCTCTCCCATTTCCAATGGCAAAGGAGCCTCATCATATAGCCACCACCATTCCAGGCCATGATGAGTACTACCAGACTACCACTGATCACTGATATTCCCTTAAAGCCCAAAATCTCTCTCTCTCTCTTGTTTTCTTTTTCTTTTCCTTTTTTTTCTTTCTTTCTTTCTTTCTTTCTTTTTTTTTTTTTTTTGAGATGGAGTCTCACTGTGTCGCCCAGGCTGGAGCGCAGTGGTGCGATCTTAGCTCACTGCAACCTCTGCCTCCTGGGTTCAAGCAATTCTCCTGTCTCAGCCTCCTGAGTAGCTGGGATTACAGCCACCCACTACCACACCTGGCTAATTTTTGTACTTTTAGTAGAGATGGGGTTTCACCACATTGGCTAGGCTGGTCTCCAACTCCTGACCTCAGGTGACTCACCAGCCTTGGCCTCCCAAAGTGCTGGGATTACAGTCGTGAGCCACCATGCCTGACCCAAAATCTCTTAAGTAAGAGTGCTGTGAATGCTTCCAGGGCTGGGACTAACACTTCAGGGCAGTGGGCTCCTCTCTGGACCAGGGCAGGTCCAGAAATTCCATCCAAGTGTCAAGTCTTAGAATTGAAGACACTAAGAACCAGCTTGGTGCTCTACCCTCCTGTTGCCATGCTGGTAACTAAGGTGCAAAACAGAGCCCTTTTTACATTTTTCTTTGCTTTTCTCCAGCAAAAGAAGTTCTGCCTTATAGCTACCACATCTGGTAACATGTTGAGTCTCACCTGAAAGCAGCCAGGCTCACCCAAAACCATTAATATCGTAGTACCTTGGTATCATTCCTGTTTATTCAGGGCCAAGGGGCTCTTCGGCTAGCAGGTGATGAATGCTGGCAGGACTGGGTAATTTCCTTCAAAGCAGGGCAGGTTCCTTTCTGGCCCAGGCTGTGTCTAGAAATGTCCTCTGGGAGCAAGGGCCTGGAACAGGGGCCTCATGAATCTGACCCAGGGCCCCATGATAGTGCCACATCCTGCTGTGGCTTTGGTAGTTACCAAGCAGCAAGGGAAAGTCCTCCTACTATTCTCTCTCCTCTCTTTAAGTGGAAGAACGGAGGAAGGGGTTTCTTTTGGAGCCACAAGCTGTGCAGACTGAGGTTAAGGGAAAGGTAATGCCAACAATTCTTTGGCTGCCCCAACTGATATCTCAGTATATCACAAGCCTCTGCAACCAGTCCACCATATATGGGCTTAGTTCAGCACTAGGACTTGCCTATGAGTTGCAGTCTTTATGGCCTAGACTGCCTTTCAAGTATACTTGGAGACACAGACGTTGTGGCCCTGGATGTCAAAGTGTGTAGGTATTCATGCTTGGACCACTGGGATTGGCAATTGCCCACTGGCTAGAGTTGTTTAAATGCTCCTTCCATGGGCAGGCATCAGCTGAGTTTGGTCCGGTTTTCCATTCTGTTCTAACAGGACATCACTGAATTCAATGCCTCGTAATTGCTGTGTTCTCCCTCCCCCAGTGCCCAGAGATGCTCTGCACTAGGCCACTGCTCTTGGGGCCGGGAAGAGAGGTGACATTGGCAATTCAGGACTGTTTTTTATTGTATTTTATTTTATTTTTTTATCTCTTCAGTGCCTCTTTTAATGATATGAAGTTAAAAACCATGTACTACGACTGCTCACCTGGTTTTCAGTTTTTATGAAGATGTTTTTTCTGTATAGATACTTGTTAACTTGGTGTCCTTGCAGGGTGTACAATTAGTGGAGCTTTCTATTCTGCCATCTTTCTCCATCTCCCTCTGTTTTGAGTATTTATAACTGCATATAAATGGTACAATTTGCAACTTTGTGCCTTGCTCAACACTATATTTTGAATATTTTCATGCTGACATATGTGAATCTATATTATGTATTTTCACTTTAAGGTAGCATTCTGTTGAATTAATATAGCACAATCATCCTTTCTTTTTTTTTCATTTTTTGGCATACGTGAGTGCTGTCTTCACTGTTTTGCTCTTCACAATATTCTATGAACATTCTTCTATACATCTACTTATATACATGTGTACAGATTTCATTGAAGTGTATACTATTTAAATTTATCACAAAGAGGAGGTATAGCAAGATGGTGAAATATAAGGCTTCATAAATCGTCCCCCCAGCAAGGGCACCAAATTAACAACTATCTACACAGAAAAACCACCTTTGTCAGAACCAAAAATCAGGTGAGCCTCATAGTTCCTTGTTTTTAATTCATGTTGCTGAAATAGGCATAGGAGAGATAGAAAAAGAAGTCTTGAATTGCATACACCACTCCTCCCCCAACCCCCAGTGGGTTTTTCTATTCTATTGCATTGCTAGGCTGCAAGTTTTCTGAACTTTTATACTCTGTTTCCCTTATAAAACTGAATGCCTTTAACAGCACTCAAGTCATATCTTGAATGCTTTGCTGCTTAGAAATTTCTTCTGCCAGATACTATAAATCATCTCTCTCAAGTTCAAAGTTCCACAAATCTCTAGAGAAGGGGCAAAATTCTGCCAGTCTCTTTGATAAAACATAACAAGAGTCACTTTTGCTCCAGTTCGCAACAAGTTTCTTATTTCCATCTGAGACTACCTCAGCCCGGACTTTATTGTCCATATCATTATTAGCATTTTCGTCAAAGCATTTAACAAGTCTTTAGGAAATTCCAAATTTTCCCACATTTTCCTGTCTTCTTCTGAGCCTTCCATACTATTTGAACTCCTTCCTGTTTCCCAGTTCCAAAGTCGCTTCCACATTTTCAAGTATCTTTTCAGCAATGCCCCGCTCCCGGTACCAATTTGCTGTGTTAGTTCATTTTCTTGCTGCTGATAAAGATAAACTCGAGACTGGGCAATTTATGAAAGAAAGAAGTTTAATAGACTTACAGTTACACATGGCTGGGGAGGCCTCATAATCATGGCGGAAGGCAAGGAGGAGCAAGTGACATCTTATGTGGATAGCGGCAGGCAAAAAGAGTATGTACAGGGAAACTCCCCCTTTTAAAAACATCAGATCTCATGAGACTTATTCACTATCATGAGAACAGCATGGGAAAGACCTTCCCCCATGATTTAATTACCTCCCACCAGGTCCCTCCCACATGAAGTGAAAATTCAAGATAAGATTTGGGTGGGGACACAGCCAAACTGTATCAGCGTATGTAGTATATAGTGTGAAGTCATGAATAGAAATAATATAAATAAAAATCAGCATAGTTATTTTTCCAGAGTAAAAGGAAGAGAATCTGATTTGTGAGGGTATACAGAGGTCTTCACTTTGTTCATTTTACTTATTCCTTAAGCTGAATTGGGTTGATATGGTTTGGCTGTGACCGCACCCAAATCTCACCTTGAATTGTAATAATTCCCATGTGTCAAGGGTGGGGCCAGTTGGAGATAATTAAATCATGGGGTTGCTTTCCCCCCATAATGTTCTCCTGATAGTGAATAAATCTTATTAGATCTGATGGCTTTATAAATGGGAGTTCCCCTGCACACACCCTCTTGCCTGCCAGCATGCAAGACATCTCTTTGCTCTTTCTTTGCCTTCCACCATGATTGTGAGGCCTCCCCACCATGTGGAACTTTGAGTTCATTAAACCTCTTTTCTCTGTATATTACCCAGTCTTGGGTATGTCTTTATTAGCAACATGATAATGAACTAATACAAGGATGTATACATATGCTTTTTTTAAAATTAGGCTTTAATTTTTTGCCTTATAAATTTGATGATATATAAACTACTTCTCAATAAATGTTAAAAAAATTAAAAATTTTCTAAAAGAGAGAAAGGTCTTTGAACACAGCACATTTATTTTGTTTCATGGACCCAGTAAATATTAGTTGAGGCCGAGAAGAAGAAAGGGACTTTGATTGCTCTACCTCTTTGCCTGCTTAAGTTGATACAAGTGAAAATCTCTGGTGTTCATCATTTAATTTTGTCAGAAGCCATTCTCTTCAGTTTCATTGCATCTGATGTTATGATTTTTTGTATGTTGAGTTTAATTATTTGTAGCAAAAAGCAAACAGATACTTTCTCAAAGTCTATGTTTTAAAGATTTATAAAATTTGTCTTTAAATATTAACAATATGTTTTAAAAAGATAAAAATCCAAGATTCTCTGATCAAATATTTTGAACATTCTTTAATAAAAATCTGACCCCAAATTATTTGCTCTTAGCTGAATCAGAAAGATTTCTAAAATATTAATAAGCTAGAATGTTATCTTTCTATTTAATAGGATAGAATGGTTCTAAATATCCTATAAGCTTATCTGTTCCTTTTATATTATAATGTCCAGCAAATAAAAATATGATCCAAACTCACACTTTATCGTCTTTCATTTATTTACCCTGTTCGCTAAAATACATGAAAACTTTCATTAAGTATGCATGATTCATATGAGAATACTCATTGGGCATACAATGGATCTGTATAAAAAAGTTTTAATGTTTATTTATGAAATACTATTTTGGCTAGAAGGTGCCAATCAATTAACTTCACCAAAACCTGATGGCTCTTAAAGTTCCAACTAACATATTTCAATTAAAGAGGCTGGATGACCATTCAACACTATATTTAAAAAGCATCATGAAAGCTGTACTAATAATAAGACAAAACAACTTTTTGCATGCAGTATGATTTTTATCAGCCTGAGTGTTTAATGAGATTGTAAGAGTGAATTGTTAAGAACAATCTCAGCAGAAATACAACCATGTTACCCTGACTCTCTGTGTACAGTAGACATCCAGAATTTACACAAAAGATTATTCTCCAAACAAAGGTCATTCTAGATAAATAAGTATCTTAGTCAGTCTGGGTTACTATGACAGAATGCCATAGGCTGGGTGGCTTAAAGAACAAACATTTATTTCTTACAGGTCTGGAGGCTGGGAGTCCAATGTCAAAGCACCAGCAGATAAAGTGTTTGGTGAGGGCCTGCTTCTTCATTTATAGATGTCCATATTTTCTTTGTGTCTTCATGTGACAGAAAGAAGGCTAGAGAGCACTCTATGGTCTCTATTATAAGAGCAGTAAACCCACTCATGAGGGATCCACCTTCCAAAGACTCTACTTTCTAATACCATCACATTGGGGGTTAAAATTTGAAGATATGAATCTTGGGGACATGCAAACGTTCAGTCCCTAACACTAAGACACTCATAGAAACTAAGTTAGGTAGTACCTTTTAGGCAGAAACTCTCTCAAAATGCTGTATAGCTCTACTAAATAGTTACCCACTGATCCAAAAGACTGAATATATCATTCAAAGTTGAGCACACTTAGAGAATAAGCATAGTCATATGGTGAGGTCTTTTTTGTTGCCACCTAATATATATTGCTACAATAAAAGGAAAACATTTTGTTTAAAACTTTGTAATTGCATTTGGCAAGATTCCCTATCCTCTTGTCTGTAAGAACTAATCAGAATTCACAGTGACTGTTAAACAGAAACAAATTGAAAGTGTAAGCTTACCATTGAAAAGAAGACATAAGGATACTGCATTATTGCCAGTGGTGAGAAGCAAAATAGGTATAAACACACACACACTCAAACACACACACACACACACACACACACACACACACGGAGAGAGAGAGAGAGAAAGAGAAAGAAATAGTTGGGATCCAAATATCCCATTATACAATATTGTTTAATAATATCTTTGCTTCCACAGCTTTTGTGAGTGAAATTAAACTAGAAATAGAAATTAAACTAAAGAAATAGACACACTGCATTTTCTGTCTTTCTTGTTCAAATATCCTTTTCAATAAATATTATCAACAAATTTTAATTTACAATTTTGAATGTCTCAGTTAATGCTCCTTACCTTCCCCCAATCCTGTGCCCAGCAACCACTTCATAGTTATTTGTATTTATTTGTATTCCAGGATTATGAAGTACACATTAACAATGAAGCCTCTTTTCAAGTAAAGAAGTGAGTAGTGAGTATCTCTGTGGTCACAATTACAGTCCTGTCTTGGTGGGTAATTGGATAAAATAGGGGCCAGGACAGTAATCCGCAGATCTGCATAGGAAGTATTTGCCAGGCTAAAAGCAAAGTAATGCCATATCCAGGTTATCAACTAATTCTCTGGGGCACGCTAAAGGAAAGCTGCCGTCTTGAATTGAGGAGACAAGAATGGGAGAAACCATTGATACGAGTCTTTTGGAGAAAGGAGTTAAGAGGAATCTCAGTTTAAGGAAAGAGTACTCCCAATCTTTGTTGATCAAAAAGCAACTAATAAAGGTATTTTAGAATTTAAGAAAGGTCTCATAGTTTCTATACTGTTGCCATTATAAGGAACTCAAATATCATGAGAGAGTAAACAGGCTCTTACAAATGGAGCAAGTTAATGTTTAACATACTTAAACATGTTGCCTAAAACAGCCTCTCTAAGGGTTGTGAATATGTCCCTCCACTCCGCAAGTTGTTTGCACAAACAGTGATGGAACAAATTGTGTTAGATCACAGTTTAGTATAAATTTCAACTGAGTGTCAGTTGTTCCCAACTTGAATCACCCTTCTGGGTAAAACCATTTTCCAAAAAGAAAGTAAGATTGATTCACTGTATGTGTTTTTTAATTAGTTAATTATTTTTAATATTGTATGTGTTTTTTTTTCAACCATATCCTAAATGTGTCTTAGGATTCTGCAAGGTTCATTGCAACAAACAGAATAGGTTAGAATTGGTTGTTTGGCTTATTCCTTCTGATTTCTTTTTTTTTATTTTTTTGAGACGGAGTTTCGCTCTTGTTGCCCAGGAGGAGTTCAATGGCGCAATCTCGGCTCACTGCAGCCTCTGCCTCCTGGATTCAAGCAATTCTCCTGCCTCAGCCTCCTGAGTAGCTGGGATTACAGGCGCCTGCCACCACACCAGGTTAATTTTCTGTATTTTTGGTAGAGACGGGGTTTGGTCATGTTGGTCAGGCTGGTCTCAAACTCCTGGCCTCAGGTGATCTGCCCGCCTTGGCCTCCCAAAGTGCTGGGATTACAGATGTGAGCCACCACACCTGGCCCTCTTTCTGATTTCTTAACAAGCATTTCCTGAATGCATACTACAATACAGTACTGCCATTTTTTTAGCTCCAAAACTATCCAATCATTTTATTTGATTTATCATGTATCATATTTCAGGCAACCTGTTTAAATCAACCATTTATCATACCTGCCCACCTGTCAAGTCCTGAATGAAGAAGACTTTTCTTTAAAAAAACTTTTTTTGTTCACAGATTATTTTTTGTAAATGCTAGAACACCAATAGTAGTTCATGGCATATAAAGCTCACTTGGCTTAAGGTAGATGGTAAATATACTTCTTTCAGATACATTGAAAGAAAAGACCAAAATTGGACTTTGATGCTCTTTAAATCTTTATAACGCACTATATATTTTTAAAAATAATTGCATCATATTAATAAAAAATAATATGTGAAATTATATGACAAGTCTAGATAACAATATGCATTTCAAGCTTCCTTTATATATATTCATAAGAAGACATCCTGCTATTGTTATTTGTCATATTGTTTCTTAGGGGTATGTTATTACATACTTATTACTACAATTAACAGTTATACAAATATTGAAGAATTTTTACCTTATACATTACAATCTAATTTTTTAATAACAATTTTACTGAGGTATTATTCACATACCATAAAATTAACTAATGATTTTTTTTAGTATAGTCATCGAGTTGTGAAGCCATCACTATTATCTAATTCCAGAACATTTCCATCACCCAAAAAGGAAACCTCATACTCATTACCACTTACTTACTCTTTCTTCCATAGCCCAATCTTAGGCAACTACTAATCTATCATTCTTCATTCTGTACATTTTGTTTAAATGAAATTGTATACTATGTGACCTTTTGTGCGTCTGGTTTCTTTCACTTAGCATAATGTTTTCAGGGTATATTTATATTGTAAAAGGTATCAGTATCTCTTTTTTTTTTTTTTTTTTTTTTTTTGAGACGAAGTCTTGCTCTGTTGCCCAGGCTGGAGTGCAGTGGCGTGATCTCAGCTCACCGCTAGCTCTGCCTCCCGGGTTCACGCCATTCTCCTGGCTCAGCCTCCCGAGTAGCTGGGACTACAGGCGCTTACCACCATGCCCAGCTAATTTTTTGTATTTTTTAGTAGAGATGGGTTTTCGCCTTGTTAGCCAGGATGGTCTCGATCTCCTGACTTCGTGATCCACCCGCCTCGGCCTCCCAAAGTGCTGGGATTACAGGCATAAGCCACTGCGCCCGGCCCAGTATCTCATTTTTTAATTGTCAAATAACGTTCCATTTGTCTATCCATTCATCAGTGCATGAACATAGGGGTTGTTTCCATATTTTGACTACTATGAGCAATACTGCTGTAGACATTCATGTCCAAGTTTTTGTGTGAACGTATGTTTGTAATTATGTTGGGTATATATCTAGGAGTGAAGTTTCTGGGTTATATGGTTATTCTACATGCAACTTTTTGAGAGACTGCCAAACTATTTTCCAAAGTGACTGCATCATTTTACTGAGACATTAAATTTTAAAAGTCATATAATTATCAGAATTATTACATTCAATGTATAATCCTTAATATCTCATGAACACTAGTATTTTTGTAATATATAATAGTTCAGAAAATCTAGCTAAGTCTCCCTATTTCGTTTTCAACTCAGTGTGTATTTGATTATCCCCTGGGTATGTCCAGTGTTTTGTAAGGTATGAAGGTAGGAATTGGAATTTATAGTCATAGTCTATATTACATAGTCATGTCTATAGTGCCTATTCATTTATTTGAAATAAATATGTTTATTCTCAAATGGAAATTGTCTTTGTAGAGGACATTTTATGTTCATGAAATATCAAAATAAAAGTGTTTGTTAATCTTTTTTGTTTAGTAAGGGAATGAGATTGATTTTTTTTTTTTTTTGTGGCTGGAAATAAAGACAGAATTGAGATTTTGAGGTCCCATTTAGACTTTAATAATTTATTTAATTTAATATTTTAAGTTACTTCTCTGCATTTGAATGTTATAATTGTTAGAGGTACTCTCTTAGAGGTACTGGAAAACTTTGTTAATTAATCCCACAAAATACTGATAAGGCCTCAAAACAATAGACTTATGTAAATCTTATGATATGTAACATAATGTGACCAAAAGAATTTTACTACTTTTTTCTGTGTTTTAAAAAGCTGTTTAACTCTCCTATAAAGAAATTCAATTTAATATTTGGCTTTCACTTATTCTGAGACTCTTGTAAGATCAGTGTTCTTATATCTGCCTTTGGTCATGGTATTGTTGAAACAATAAGCCTAAGATTCTTCAAACACTTGCACACATTCAGTTTTTCCCACTAAGTTGCGCTGAATAAGAGTCACATCATCCTTTTTTTAGGAATATGCTGTACTATCTGTGAAACCGTATACCTCTTCAAAGAGATCCAATGTCTTGCTTATAAAATAGCAAAATGTCAGAGGCTGAGGTAATTAAATGACCAGAAGCAGAAAAAAGTAATTTATTTTGTCCTTTTTATGTGACTTGAAACTCTGATTATACCCATTTTAATACTTACCTAGTTTAGGGAAATTCAAAATTAGAGGGAAGAGTTGGAGTGGGTGGAAATGAAAACAAGAAAGATGACAGAGACAAAAATAGAGGGCTGATATGGAGTGGTTGGTTCACTTTTTTTTTTTTCCAGAGCATGTATAGGCAAGGAATAGGAGCATCAATGAGGAGAAGCACAGTAACATCACTGAACAGAGTGCTGCCTCATTCTTCAGAGTCCTCCACACAATCCTCCATAAAGCACTGATCAGTTTACTAATGAACTTCTTATCTTTCAGTGGAAGGTTTGCCAAAATGCTAGCCCAGATACTAGCTAATTCCTGGTGCTATGCAATCTCAGGGTGTTCAAATAAGTCAGTCAGTATGAAGGGCTTGCTGATGAGACCACAGTATTACATAACTGATTCATAGGTGACTGGTGCATTCTAATATCTTTCAGAAATCCTTTGGTACTAGTTTTATGTTGCTGCAAACCAAATCATCACAAACGCAGTGGCGTTTAAAGCAACACGTATTTATTATCTCACAAACAACACATATTTATTATTTCACAGTGTCTGTAGATTAGAGGCCTCAGCACAGCTTAGCTGGGTTTTCTGCTTCAGTCTCACCAGTTGGCAAAGCAGGTGTCAAATGGGGCTATAGTCTCATTAGGGAAAGATCTGCTTCCAAGCACACTCAGGTTGTTACAGAATTCATATTCTTGCTGCTTCAGGACCAAGGGTTTGTTTCTTGCTAGAGGCCTTCCTCAGTTCCTAAAGACCACCTACAGTTTCTTTCCATATGAGCTTCTCCAACATGACCACTTACTTTATGGAACTTTGCTCCTTCAAAGCTAGCAAGGGAGAGAGAGTGCAAATCTGCTAGCGAGTTGAAGTCTTATAATGTAACTTGCTAATGGAAGCAACATTTCATCACCTTCGCCATATTCAGTTTCTTAGAAGCAAGTCACAGATCTCATCCAGATACAGGGAAAGCGGATTACAAAAATATGTGAACCCTGAGATAGGGATCATTGGTTGTACACTTTAGAATCTGTCCATGCACCTTGCGTATTCCTGCAGGTGCAACTCAGTAGCACTAGTGCCAACCATGTCATTTTCTGGTTTAGGATAAGTCCTCAGGGGAAAAAATTCTCATTTACATTTTTTATTTAATAGGGTATCTAGGAGATAAGTCAAGGAAACAGGCAAACCTAGCCAACTCAGGATTGGAGAGAGAGAGAATGAACATTTAGAAAATCAGTGAGATCAACTTCACCTCTATCCATCTGTGGAAAGGCTGCAGGGACTGCCTAATGCTGTAACAGTTGACAGTGATGGCCTTGTTATCAATTATAACTAGGCCTAGATTGCTTTTGTTAATACCTAGTGGAAGATTGGCAATGTGAAACCTACACAATGGATAAAGGAGCATAGAGTTGTACTTCTATGTCTTTGCTTGAAACACTTGCATATTTTCTCAAAGTATAAGAAAATCCAAATGAATTGGAAAATATTTGAATTTTAAATTTAAGAGAGATAAAGGACAAACTAAGTCACAGAATTGTTTTGGATTTTCCTTCATGATTCATAGCATTGTGGGTGTGAGAAACCCAATTTATTTTCTTCTCAGTTACATACATGCTAAGTCCATTTTCACCTGGCCTTGTCCATCTTCACCAATTTGTCATATTTTGACTCAGTTTGATTATATAGTGAAATGTGCAGGGGTGTGGTAATACATGGATGCAGTTTGTGGGTCCAGATTACTCATTAAGCACCCTAAACCTCCATTTATGAAAAATTTTGATGACAGGTAAACTGTCAAGATTTCTTCCACTATACAGCATGGCAGAACTGATTCTAACAGTGAAAAGGGAGTAAAAAAACATTATACACTAAATCTTTAAGGGTACTTTTAATATTCATTTTGTAAATGATTACTGCTCACTGACGGAATCAGGTCCCTGGTGTTACTTCCTAATGACTTCTCCGGAGACTGGCAAGATAACTGATCTGGAAGAAATAGTAAGAGAAACCTACAAAATTGGCAAGGTTATTGATGTTGTTATCACTAGTACCAAAAAATGTGATCTAAATACAACACCTGCTAAATAGATGTTCAAACACTCATAGGCATGACTGTCACGTTGCACAACTCTAGAAGGCCATGTTCAGCCTTTATATTTGTTTGAGGGATTGCAGTTCACATAGATCACAACTCTTTATGAATTGTTTCCTTTGAAGTTGTACTATTTGGCAGCCCTCGTCATGGGATCATAATTAAAGACATATTATAAAAATCAACTTCAGCCTCATTTGTTGGCCTAGAGTGGTTGCTTGATAGCGTTTCACATCTATACCCAATAATTTGAAGGCAGGAGATGAGAGCAAGCTCATTAAATTTGTAAATTTTGTCAATTGCATGAGTGTGTATTGATACTGCAGCTATTGCTCTTCCTCTGTCCTAGAATGGAACACTGGTTCAGGTCATGGGAAGCTTGGAAAATGCCGCTGCTTTTCTAGCAATGGAGATTTTATTAATGTTGATGTTTCACTTTGTTTTATTTATTTATTTAAGAAAGAGTCTTGCTCTGTCTCGCAGGCTGGAGTCCACTAGTGCAACTTTGGCTCACTGCAGCCTCCCACTTCTGGATTCAAACAACTATTGTGCCTCAGTCTCCCAAGTAGCTGGGATTACAGCCACGGGTCACCACGCCTAGCTAATTTTTTTTTAAATTTTTTTAATTTTTAGTAGAGACAAGATTTCGCCATGTTGTCCAGGCTGGTATTTCCTAGACTCAAGTGATCTGCCCACTTTGGCCTCACAAAGTGCTGAGATCACAGGCACGAGCCACTGGGCCCGGCTGATGTTTCACTTCTTTCAAAGGCATTATTAACGTCTCTCTTTTGCTGGTTTAATTTGCTACCAAGATCCTGGAAAGCCCACACAGGGATAGTTTGCCCCAGTAAAATGCATCTGCAGGAGGCTTGTTAAATCAGTTTGCCTAAAAATGCAGACTTTTGTTTTCCCACTATTTTAGTTCCCCAAACTGATATTTTTCATATGTGAGGGAGATAGACATAGCTTTCACACAACTTTTTACACAAATTGGACACAGTGTAAGAAGAATGAACTGCCCTTTTGCTGTGCTTGCTTACTTCATAATGTCTTTGGTAAGGAAGGTGCTAAGCTTATCTACAAATGTACAAAATAGTAGAGGAACGATTGAAAGAAAGATTTTATTAAAAGTAATGAGAATGTAGATCTGAATTGAAGTTTCATAGCTTTTGATTATTTAATTCTTCATTTGATAAACTTAACATCCAAATTACTTCATTAATGTAAAAGAAAAATGTACCTAGCACTGATTCATTGTATCCCCCTCCCCAAAATATGCACACACACACACACACACACACACCGCTCTTTCATTCAGCACTAATTAGATATTTTACCAGACTCATTCTTATCAACAAGTTTCATGCCTCAATTATTTGGTCAACAACTACTTAAGGATTAGAATAATTTTAAAGCCTGAAGGGACAGAATAGGCTGTTTAACATGTCTTTCATTTTATAGGTGAAGAAATATGCTCAGTGAGTATGAGTAATTTGTCCAAAGCTGCACATCTTTGAGCACAGTGGCAAGGTGGATTAAATCCTTCTCTCTTTTTTTAGACAGAGTCTTGCTCTGTTGCCCAGGTTGGAGTGCAGTGGTGCAAACTTGGCTCACTGCAACCTCCGCCTTCCAGCTTCAAGCAATTCTCATGTCTCAGCCTCCACACCTGGCTATTTTTTTGTATTTTTAGTAGAGACAGGGTTTCGGCATGTTGGCCAGGCTGGTCTTGAACTTCTGGCCTCAAGTGATCCACCGGCTTTGGCCTCCCAAAGTGCTGGCATTACAGAATCCTTTTTCTCTTGACTCCTAATTTAACATGCACACCACTGTAACCATAATTAAGCAACCTAGTCCTGTGGCTACTTTATATGGTAACAATGTACAACTTAAATGTAGTTTATGAACAAAAGTCTTACATGTATGTTCTTATACATTTTTGACTCTGAATTTTTATTTGTGTCATCTTTATTAAGTTACTCTGCACTAATTCCCATGGACATATAATACTCTTACAGATAAAACTGCAATAGATAACAGATGTAGTGCTTATTTTATGTTACATACTATCCCAAGTACTTTACATAGAATTTACAAGTCTGTGAGGCATGGACTACTATTATTCTCATTTTACAACTGAGAGTATTGAGACACAAAAACTCTCTGGTTACCGAAGATCACACAGTAACCACACGATATCCCGGTATGTTAACTCAAACATTGTAACTTCCGAGTTCATACTCAATAAAGGCAGATATCAAATACAGTTCTATTAATCAAATCATTCTACAGTTTATTTTCAGACTACATGTAGTGGCAAGAAATAATCTGGTATCCCAAAACATGAGGAAAATTAGATGTAACTGTTGAAAACACTTAAAAATTATATTTAAAGGAAATCTGATGAAAATATCAAATAAGTCTTAAAGTGCAAATACTATGACAAAATTATGATATTTACTTGTAATGTTTTCTTTTTAGACCAAATTTTAAGAGAAGAAATTTCCTGTTAGCTGCCTTGTTTTTAGGCAATGAACATCTCCCTAAGATGACTAAAATTGTATACATGTACAATTTGATGCTGCACATACATTTAATTATTAAGAAAATCATTCAGTGTAATTTGTCATGATTACTTAAATAAATCTTTGGTAAGTTCATTATAAAATAAATTTTTATCTGCCAATACAGTTGTGTTATAAATTTTTATCCTAAGTAATTTGTCATCTATAAATTTTTAAAAATTTAATTTAGATTCCATTTTATATCTTGGAAACACACACAAAAAATCTCATAATTCCCTCACCTGTAACATTTACAAAACATACTACATGCACATTAGCCCAAAATTTAAACAATGCAGACAGATATAATGGAAAGTAAAAGACTCCCTAGTTCTTCCTAGTCCTAATCTCCAAAGGTTAATGCTCTTAAAATTTCTTGCACGTTCTTCCAGATTAAATACACACACATATACAGACATACAAACATCCCTGTTTAAATGCACATAATGCAATTTCTTTTTATTTATGGGAATGGTATGATACGCTACTGTACTTTAGAGATTATAATAAGCTTTGTTTTTTTTTGTTAGTATCTTTACTCATCTGCACATACAGATTTACTTTATTATTTTAATGGTTACATTTTATTGCATGTTCTCTATTATTTTTATAAAAAAAATATATACAAACTCCCAAAGTATCTATAAACACTATAATATTATGATAATGTTATTTATCATAAACAGTTTTAAGATTTATATCTATCTATCTCTATATAGATAGTTATCTGTGTGTATACACAGTTTTCTACTATTAAAAACAATGTTGCAAAGAAAATCAATGCTCATAGATCTTTACATATTTTGGCTAAGAAATACAGAAAGTAAATCTATAGCAATGAAATTTTTGCATCAAACAGTATGTGAATGTACTATTTTGATAGGTATAACTAAACTACCCTATAAAAAATTCAACCAATTTAGATTTTCATCAGCTATGTTTGAGAGTGCTTTGCTTTTTCAACTGTCAACAATACTGGGTTTTTATTTGTTTTAGTTTTAGCCTTTCAGATAATTCAAAATTATGTCTCATGTGGATATGGATTTTTTAAATTAAGAGGGAGTTTTAAACACAAAGTTCCTTCTATTTCTTTTTTGTTATTAAGTGACCCGATCACACCCTTTGCCCATTTAAAAAACATTAAGTTGTTTGCCTTTTTATTTTTCTGATGTAGGTGTTCTTTTTAAATTGGGAAATTATCTATTTGTTTCCTGCAAGTGCTGCGTTTTCTTGCTGGTTTTTCATTTGTCTTTTGATTCTATTTCAGTTATCTTATTCTATGCACTATTTTAAAATTGTTATAAGATAAAATTTATTATCAATGTTTAGTTCCCCTTGTTAAAGCCTCAAAATTATAAAGTTAAAGTTTATTATTGACATCTTATGTCAATAATAAACTTGGTCTAAAACAGCAGATTTGATGTACTGTAAGTAGAAGTCTTTCCTCTACAGTTTAATTCAGTCAATTGAAGACAGCATCAAAGTTTCTGCTTCACCTGTTCCTCTTCATCTTCTGGGCCTCTGAAACAATGCCCAGTTGAGCCATATTGAAGCCTGAGGCAAAGGGAAAAATGACCAATGCTGATTTTATCTTTACTTAAAATTTTAGTATTTTGTTCATCAAGGATTTTTGCATTAATTTTTTTTTTTTTTTTGAGACAGAGTCTTGCCCTGTCACCCAGGCTTGAGTGCAATGGTGCAATCTCGGCTCACTGCAACCTCCGCCTCCCGGGTTCAAACGATTCTCCTGCCTCAGCCTCCCGAGTAACTGGGATTACAGTTGCCCGCTAATTTTTATATTTTTATTAGAGACGGGGTTTCACCATGTTGGTCAGGCTGGTCTCGAACACCTGACCTCGTGATCTGCCCACCTTGGCCTCCCAAAGTGCTGGGATTACAGGAGTGAGCCACCGCACCCGGTCATTCATTTTTATTTTTAGAAAATATTGCATTAAAGTAGTTTTTCTTGGTTACTGAGTTTTTTGGTGCCCCTTTAAATTTTGGGCCCAAGGTGGGTGCCCCACTTGCTTTACTCTTATTCAAAACCTCCTCTAATCGTCAGATTTCTCCAGGCTCAGTACACAAGTTCTTGGACCTCCTTTGAACCTCTTTTTTATATCTGCACCCACTTCCCTAATGATCTCATACCTTGACTCTAAGTACTGCCTTTACACTGATGGCTCCTAACTTAATATCTTCAATCTAGACCTCATTCTTGAACTACAGACTTGTATTTCCAACTGCATAGTCTACAGCTTCCCCATATGGATGTCTAATAGATATCTTAAATCTAATAAGTGAAAGGCTAAACTCTTGAATTTTGCACCTATCTGCTCCTCCTCCACACTTTTCTATCTTTAAATGGCACCACTATCTACATATTTGCTTCAACCAAAAATTTAACCATTACCCTTGAGTTTTCTTATTTCTTTATCTCTTGCTCAATTCAGTCTGTGAATATCCAATCTGCTCTACCTCTGAAATATATTCTGAGTCCATCCACTAATCTTCATTTCCACCACCATTGTCTTGGCCCAAGTTCTCATATTTTCTTGCCTGGATTATTGCAATAGCTGCTGCTTCCACCCTTGTTCCTTCCACCATGTCCTTCTCTACACAACAACCAGAATTATTTCAAAACATAAGTAAGATCGTGTTATTTCTCTACTCAAAACCCTGCAATGACCTTCCATCTCATTCAGTGTAAAATGCCCTTACAATAGCCTCCAGGACGCTATATAACCACAGCACCTTCATCACCACTTTCATTAGTTCATATCCTGTTCTTTCTCCTTTACTCATTCCATCACATTTGTTTCATTTCTCATCTATGTAAATACCAAGCATCCTTCCACCTTGGGAATTTTGTGTTGCTGTTCTTTGTCTGTCATATGATGTGCCCCCAATATCTGCATGATTTATGGCCTTCATTTCTGTCAGATCTAGGCTCAAATCCCATCTTATCAGAAAGACTATCAATGCCCCCATCTGTAATAAAATAGAACTCTCCCTCCACTAGCACTGGCGCTCTCTAAACCCCTTACTTTGCTTTATTTTTCCTTTTTAAGCATTTTTCACCACTGGGCATAATGTATCTGTGTGTGTGTGTGTGTGTGTGTGTGTGTGTGTGTGTGTGTGTGTCTATGTATTTATCTACTTACATATTTACTTTTTTTAAGTCCTTATCCCCTAGAGTGTAAGTTTTATGAGGACAGGAACTTTGAGTGTGTATATGTGTGCACATTTACTACTGTGTCTCCAGCACTTAATGCAGAGTCTGGCACATAGTAGGACCTGAATAAATATTTGTTGAATAAAGGAATAAATTGAATCCATAAATCATTCTTCACAATGTCTATTTAGCATTTTTCCTCTTCCTCAAGCTCCAATCTTCTGCTTTCCCCTCTACATAGTTCACTTAGAAAAAAATTGCCATCACACTGTTCTTAAAGACTATCAAGTATAAAATTCTCAAACTATTCCTCTTCCATCTAAAATTTTCCTGATTTCTACACTAAATTTTTAATATAGCCTGTTATTTTAGAGGCATCTCTTTACTTATATAATCAACAACTGTTGTTGATTAAAGGCAGATTAGTGCGATCACTAAAAGCGTGGTTCTTGGAGTCATCTCTTTCGCTCTAGTGTATACATAAAGCAAGTTACCTAATGTCTCTTTGCCTCAGTTTTCTCATCTACAAGATGACAGCAATAATAATACCTATTTCATAGGATTATTTAGAGAACTGAATGGCTTTAGTTGAAACATGCAATCAAATTCATTGTGATCATCATCATCAAAACAATCATATAGCATATGACATATGCCAGATAGTATTCTAAGCACTTTGAATATATTATACATCTTGTTCTCACTTCATCTTTATAATATATCTATGGTTGTTAATGCTCTTTCTTTGTCCTTCTTTATTGTTATGTATTTGTCATGGTTGGACATTCCTCTTTGAAGTACTTTGACTCATGCAGGATTTTCTTCTCCAGTATGTCAATATAATTTCTTTAGTATCACCTCATTTTTCTACCTCATAGTGTGATATACCACATATTTATTGAATGTTTATTTATTTTCTGTTCACTACTGCTGAAGAATTTACTGTGCTAGGCACTATAGAGATTTTGATTATACATGTTATCACCATTTAAAAAGTCATACTGTCCAGTGCTAGCAAGGTAATCATATATCCTTTTTGGTGGCATTTTAAAATTGGAAAGAAATATGGATGTATATACCAAGGCCAGTAAAGACATGCACGGTCTGTGACCAAGTATGGCTTGTTATAGAAATATATCCTATATAATTGAACATATTCTTTGTAGCATCATATAGGAGAGAAAACAACTGAAAATATTCTACATGTTAAAGAGTAGGTTAAAAGCACATGTTGATTATTTAATAAATTAATACTGAATAAAAGTATGCTATATTATCTGAATTAAATATTTTGCCACTGTTAAAACTTATATTGAAGAAAATTATATAGAAACATGGAAATATTTATAAGGTATTGTTTTCTAAAGTATACAACTAGATATACCAAATTATTTCAATCATGTAGAAGATATTTTAATACAGGCAAAAATTGGAAAATAATAATTTGACAAGAAGTTACGATAAGATGTGATATTTTGAATTAATGTTTTCTTTTCTCGAACTGTCAATAATATCAGTGTTTCTATTGATTTTATTTTTAAATTTTTAATTTCTGATTTTTTAATTTTTGTGCATACATAGTAGTTATATTTATGGGATGCATGAGATATTTTGCTACAGGCATGCAATATGTAATAATCATATAAGGGAAAATTGAGCATCCTCTCAAGTATTTATTCTTTGTACTGCAAACAATCCAATTACACTCTTTTAGTTATTTTTCACGTACAATTAAATTGTTATTTACTGTCACCCTGTTGTACTATTAAATACCAGTTTTCATTCATTCTTTCCTTTTTTTTTTCTACCCATTAACCATCTCCATCTCACACCCACCACCCCACCACCACTCCAAGCCTCTGGTAACCATTCTTCTACACTCTATCTCCGTCAGTTCAATTGTTTTGATTTTTAGATCCCACAAATAAGTGAGAACATGTGATGCATGTCTTTCTATGCCTGGTTTATTTCATTTAACATAATGATCTCCAGTTTCATACATGCTGTTGCAAATGACAGGATCTCATTCTTTTTTTCTGGGCAAACAATACTCCAGTGTGTATATGTACCACATTTAACTCCATCCATTTATCTTTTGATGCACACTGATATGATTTGGCTATGTCCCCACCCAAAATCTCATTTTCAATTGTAATCACCATAATCCCCACATGTCAAGGGAGAGACCAGGTGGAGATATTTGAATCATGGGTGTGGTTTCCCCCATGCTGTTCTTGGAATAGTGAGTAAGTTCTCATGAGATCTGATGATTTTATAAGTGTTGGGCAATTTCTTCCTTTGGTCATTCTCTCTCCTGCTGCCTTGTGAAGAAGGTGCCTGCCTCCCCTTCACCTTCCACCGTGATTGTAAGTTTCCTGAGGCCTCCCAGTCATACAGAACTCTGACTCAATTAAACCTCTTTTCTTTATAAATCACCCAGTCTCAGATACTTCCTTATAGCAGTGTGAGAACAGACTAATACAGACACTTAGGTTGCTTCCAAATGTTAGCTATTTTAAATAGTGCTGGAACAAACATAGAAGTGCAGATATCATTTTGGTACACTGATTTTCTTTCTTCTAGGTATATGCCACCAATGGGAATGCTGGATCGTATAGTAGCTCTATTTTTGGTTTTCTGAGAAACCTCCAAACTCCTCTCCATAGTGGTTGTACTAATTTACATTTTGACCAATAGTGGACAAGAGTTCCATTTTCTCCACATCCTCTCCATCATTTGATATTGCCTGACTTTTGGATAAAAACAATTTTTACTGGGGTGAGATTATATCTCCTTGTAGTTTTGCTTTGCATTTTTCTGATGATCAATGATGTTAAGCACCTTTTCATATTCCTGTTTGCCATTTGCATGTCTTCTTTTGAAAAATATCTGTTCAAATCTTTGGCCTATTTTTAAATTGACTTACTAGATTTTTTTTCCTATAGAGTTGTTTCAGCTCCTTATATATATATTCTGGTTACTAATCTCTTGTCAGATGAGTAGTATGCAGATATTTTCTTTCATTCTGTAGATTGTTTCTTCACTTTGTTGATAGTTTCTTTTGCTGTGCAGAAGATTTTTAACTTGATGTGATCTTATTTATTTTTGCTTTGGTTGAATGTGCTTGTGGGGTATTACTCAAGAAATTTTTGCACAGACCAATGTCCTGGAGAGTTTACCTAATATTTTCTTATAGTAGTTTCATAGTCTGAGGTCTTAGATTTAAGCTTCTAATCCAGTTTGATTTTATTTTTGTATATGACAAGAGATAGGAATCTGGTTTCATTCTTCTGCCTGTGGATATCCAGTTTTCCTAGCACCATTTACTGAAGAGATTGTCTTTTCCCAAGCATATGTTCTTGGCATATTTGTGAAGAATTAATTCACTGTAAATGTGTGGATTTGTTTGTGAGTTCTTTATTCTGTTCCATTGGTCTATGTGCCTTTATTTGAGCCTGTACTATGCTGTTTTAGTTACCATTGCTCTGTAGTATAATTTGAAATCAGGTAATGTGATTGCTCTAGTTTTGTTCTTTTTGCTTAGTATAGCTTTGGCTATTCTGGGTCTTTTGTGTTTCCATATAAATTTTAGGTTGTTTTTTCTATGTCTGAAGAATGTCATTGATATTTTGATAGAGATTGCATTGAATCTGTAAATTACTTTGGGGAGTAGGGACAGTTAAACAATATTGATTCTTTTAATTCATGAACATGAAATATCTGTCAATTTATTTTGTATCCTCTTTGATTTCTTTCATCAGTCATTTATGGTTTTCATTATAGAGATCTTTCACTTTTTTGGTTAAGTTAATTTTTAGGTATTTAATTTAATTTGTGACTGTTGTAAATGAGATTACTTTTTCTTTCTTTTTTCTGATTGCTCACTATTGGCATATAGAAATGCTATTGATTTTTGTATGCTGATGTTGTATCCTGCATCTTTACTAAATTTGTTTATCAGTTCAAATAGTTTTCTTGTGGAGCCTGTAGGATTTTCCAAATATAAGATTATATCATCTGCAAACAAGGATAATTTGACTTCCTTCTTTGCAATTTTGATGTCCTTTATATCTTTCTCTTGCCTGATTTATCTAGGTAGGCTATGCTGAATAACAGTGGCAAAAGTGGGCATCCTTGTCATGTTTCACATCTTAAAAGTCTTTCAATTTTTCTGTATTCAGTATGATAGTAGCTTTGGGTCTGTCATATTTGACTTGTATTATGTTGATGTATGTTTCTTCTATACTGTTTTTTGAGAGTTTATATCATGAAGGAATGTTGAATTTTATCAAATGCTTTTTTGATATCAATTGAAATGATCACACAGTATTTGTTCTTCATTCTGTGATATGATATATCACATTGATTTATTTACATCTGTTAAAGCATCCTTGAATCTGTAGGATAAATTTCAGCTAATCACAATAAACAATATTTTTAGTGAACTGTTGAATTCAGTTTGCTAGTATTTTATGGAGGAGTTTTGAGGCAATACTCATCAGAGATATTGGTCTGTAGTTTTCTTTTTTGATGTGCCTTTGTGTGGTTTTGTTAGCAGGGTAATACTGGCTTTGTATAATGAGTTTGGAAGTACTCCCTACTTCTCTAGTTTTCAGAACAGCTTGAGTAGGATTGTTACTAGTTTTTCTTTAAATGTTTGGTAGAATTCAGCAGTGCAGCCATTGGGTCCCTGGATTTTCTTTACTGGGAGACTTTTTATTATGGCTTCAATTTCATTAGTTTTTTGTTTGTTCAGGTTATTAATTTCTTCATGGATCTATCTTGGCTTCTTGTATGTGTCTAGGAATTTGTCAATTTCTTCCAGATTTTCCAATTTATTGGTATAGTAGCTCACAGTAGCCACTAATGATCCTCTGAATTTCTGCAGTATCGATTGTAATGTCTTATTTTTCATCTCTGGCTTTATTTATTTGGGTCTTTTTATTTCTTCATCAGTATGGTTAAAGGATTCTCAATGTGGTTTATCTTTTCAAAAAAACTTTTTTGCTTTGTTGATCTTTTGTATTACTTCCTTCATTCAAATTTATGTATTTCTGCTCTGATCTTTATTATTTCTTTTCATCTACAAATTTTGGCTTTGGTTTGCTCTTGTTTTCTAGTTTTTCTAGCTGCATCATTAGGTAATTTATTTGATTTTTTTATACTTATATGTATAATTTTCTCTGTTAGTACTACTTTTGCTGTATCCCATAGATTATGGTATGTTGTGTTTCTATTATGATTTGTTTCAATACCTTTTTTAATATCTTTTTAAATTTCTTCATTGACTCACTGGTCATTCAGAAGCATATTGTTTAATTTCTATGTATTTGTGTAGTTTCTAAAATTTCTCAATTCATTGATTTTTAGTTTTATTCCATTGTGGTTGGAGAAGATGCTTGATATTATTTCAATTTTTTGCATGTTTTAAGACTTGCTTTGTGACCTAACATGTGATCTATCCTCAAGAATAATCCATGCTCTGAGAAAAAGAATGTGTATTGTGCAATCCTTGGATGAAATATTCTGTAAATATCTATTAGCTTTATTTGTTCTATAGTACAAATTAACTCTGATGTTTCTTTGTTGATTTTCTGTCTGGGAGATCTATCAAATGCTAAAAGTAGGGTGTTGACATCTCCTACAATGATTGTATTTGGTCCTATCTCTCTCTTTATCTCTAGTAATATTTTCTTTATATATCTGGGTACTTCAGTGTTGAGTGCATATATATTTGCAATCATTATGTCCTCTTGCTATATTGACCCCTTTATCATTATATAACGACCTTTTTGTTCCTTCTTACAGTTTTTGTGCTGAAATCTATTTAGTCTGATATAAGTATAGCAACTCCTTTTTTGGTTTCTGTTGGCATGGAATATCTTTTACCATCCCTTCATTTTCAGTCTATCTTTTTTGTTTGTTTGTTTTTGAGATGAAGTCTCGCTCTTGTCCCCCAGGCTGGAGTGCAATGGCGCGATCTGGGCTCACTGTAACCTCCACCTCCAGGATTCAAGTGATTCTCCTGCCTCAGCCTCCCAAGTAGCTGGGATTACAGGTGACTGCCACGCCCGGCTAATTTTTGTATTTTTAGTAGAGATGGGGTTTCACCATGTTGGCCAGGTTGGTCTTGAACTTCTGACCTCAGGTGATCTGCCTGCCTTGGCCTCCCAAAGTGCTGGGATTACAGGCATGAGCCACCACGCCCAGTCCAGTCTATGTTATCTTTGTAGGTGAGGGGTGTTTCCTGTAGGCAACAGATCATTGGGTCTTGTTTTTTCAGCCACTCTATGTCTCTTTGTTAAAGAGGTTAGTCCATTTACATTCAGTGTTATTATTGATAAGTAGAGACTTATTCCTGCCATTTTGTTATTTGTTTTCTGATTGTTTTGCAGTCTTCTCTTCCTTCTTTTCTTCCATCTTGTCTTTTTTTAGTGAAAATGAATTTCCCTGGTGGTATAATTTAATTTATTCCTTTTCAGTTTTTGTGTATCTATTGAACGTTTTTTGATTTGTGGTTATCATGAGGCATGTAAATAATATCTTATAACTCATTATTTCAAACTGATGACAACTTAACACTTATTTCATAAACACACAAACACACCAAAAGAAAACCAAAAAAAACCCTCTACACTTTAAGTTTGTCCCCTACTTTTGAACTTTTTTTTTGTTACTCTTTATGTCTTATTTTATTGTCTATGTCTTGAAAAGGTGTTGTGGTTATTATTTTTGATTTGTTCATCATTTAGTCTTTCTATTTAAGATAAGAGTAAATTATAAACTCTAATTACAGTATTATACTATTTCGTGTTTGTCTTTGTGCTATTATCGGTGAATTTTATACCTTCAAATAATTTCTTCTTGATTATTAATATCTTTATCTATCAGAATGAAGAACTCCCTTGAGTATTTCTTATGGGACATGTCTGGTGATACAATTCTTCAGCTTCTGCTTGTCCTAGAAGGTATTTTTTTCTCCTTCATGTTTGAAGGATATTTTCATCAGATATACTATTCTAAGGTAAAAGGTTTAATTACTCAGCATTTTAAATGTATTATGCCATTCTCCCCTAGTCTGTAAGGTTCCCACTGAGAAGTCTGTTGCCAGACATACTGGAGCTGTGTTGTATGTTGTTTCTTTTTCTTGTTGCTTTTATAATTCTTTCTTTATTCTTGACCTTTGGGAGTTTGATTATTAAATGTCTTGAGGTAGTCATCATTGAGTTAAATATGCTTAATGCTGTATAATCTTCTGTGCTTGGATATTGATATCCTTCTCTAGGTTTGGGTAGTTCTCTGTTATTATCCCTTTGAATAAACTTTCTATTCATATATTTTTTGCCACATTTTCTTTAAAGCCAATAGCTCTTAGATTTTCACTTTGGATGCTATATTCTAGATCCTATAGATGTGTTTCATTGTTTTTATTTTTCTCTCTTTTTTTCTCCTCTAACTGTGTATTTTCAAATACACTAAGCTCACCAATTCTTCAACTTGATCAATTCTTCCATTAAAGGATTATGAAGCATTTTTTCATGTGCCAATTTAATTTTTCAGCTCCATAATTTCTGCTATATTCTTTTTAATTATTTCAATCTCTTTGTTAAATATATCTGATAGAATTCTGAATTCCTTCTCTGTGTTATCTCAAATTTCTTTGAGTTTCCTCAAAATGGCTATTTTGAATTCTCTGTCTGAAAAGTAATATATCTCGGTTTCTCCAGGATTAATCCCTGGTTCCTTATTTAGTTCATTTCGTGAGTTCACATTTTCCTGGATGGTTTTCATGCTTGTAGATGTCTGTCAGTTTCTGAGCATTGAAGAATTAGGCATTTCTTAAAGTCTTCACAATCTAGGCTTGTTTGTGCCTGTCCCTCTTGTGGAGGCTTTCTAGGCATTTAAAGAGACTTGGGCTTCAAGCCCAATAGCACTATGGTTTTTGCAGTCTCATAGAGGTACCACCTTAGTAGTCTTGGATAATATTTGGATCAATTTTCTGGATTACTCCACAAAGACTCTTATTCTCTTCTGTTACTTTTTCTGCAACAAACAGACTCTCTCTCTCTCTCTGTTAGTCCATTTTCATGCTGCTATAAAGATGCTACAGGAGACTGGGTAATGTATAAAGAAAAGAGGTTTAATTGACCCACAGTCTTTATGGCTGAGGAGGCCTCAGGAAACTTACAATCATGGTAGAAGGGGAAGCAGGCATGCCTTGCACAGCAGCAAGTGAGAGAGAGCATGTGGAGAAGGAACTGTCAAACACTTATGAAACCATCAGATATCATGAGAACTCACTCACTATCATGAGAACAGGAAGGGGAAAACCACCCCCATGATCCAATCATCTCCCACCAGGTCCTTCCCCTGACACGTAAATATTATGAAGGTTACAACTGGAGATGAGATTTGTGTGGGGACACAGAGCCAAACCATATTATTTCACCCCTGCCCCTCCTAAATCTCATATCCTCCTAACATTTCAAAACACAGCCATGCCTTCTCAACAACCCCTCAGTGTCTTACCTTATTCCAGCATTAACCCAAAACTCCAAGTCTAAAGTCTCATCTGAGACAAGGCAAGTCCCTTCTGTCTTTGAGCCTGTAAAATCAAAAACAAGTTACTTCCAAGATACAATGGTAGTACAGGCATTGGATAAATGCTCGCATTCTAAATGGGAGAAAATTACCAAAACAAAGAAACTACAGACCCCATGCACATCTGAAATTCAGAGACACAGTCATTAAATCTTAAAGCACCAAAATAATCTCCTTGGACTTCATGTCTCACATCCTGAGCATGCTGATGCAAAGGGTGGGCTCCCATGACCTTAGGCAGCTCCACTCCTGTGGCTTTGCAAGATACAGCACCCCCTACCCTGGTTTCTGTCACAGCTGGCATTGATTGTCTGTGACTTTTCCAGGTGCATGGTACAAGTTGTTGGTGGATCTACCATTCTGGAATCTGGAGGATGGTGGCCCTCTTCTCACAGCTCCACTAGGCAGTGCCCCAGTGGGGACTCCATGTGGGGGCTCCAGACTCACATTTCCCTTCTACACTGCCCTAGCAGAAGTTCTCCATGAGGATTCCACCTTGGGAGCAAACTTTTGCCTGGACATCCAGGCATTTCCATACATCCTCTGAAATCTAGGTGGAGGTTAATAAACCTCAGTTCTTGAATTCTGTGCACCCAGAGGCCCAACACCATGTGGAAGCTGCCAAGGATTGGAGATTGGACCCTCTGAAGCAATGGCCCAAGTTGTACCTCAGTCCTTTTTAGCCTGGGACACAGCTGGGACACAGGGCACCAAGAACCAAGGCTGCACAAAGCAGCAGGGCTCTGGGCCCCGTCCACGAAACCATTTTTTTCTCCTAGGCCTCCAGACCTGTAATGGGAGAAGTGGCCATGAAGATTTCCAATATGCCCTGGAAACATTTTTCATATTGTCTTGGCAATTAACATTTGACTCCTCATTACTTATGCAAATTTCTGCAGCTGACTTGAATTTCTCCCCAGAAAATGAATTTGTTTTTTCTACCTCATTGTCAGGCTGCAAACTTTTCTAACTTTTATGCTCTGCTTCCCTTTTGAATAAATATTCCAGTTTCAGGTAATCTTTTTGGAAAGCATATGACCGAATGCTTTCAGAATCAGCCAGGTCACATCTTAAATGCTTTGCTGCTTAGAAATTTATTCCACCAAATACCCTAAATCTTCTCTCTCAAGTTCAAAGTTCCACAGATCTCTAGGGCAGGGGCAAAATGCTTCCAGTCTCTTTGCATAGCAAGAGTGACCTTTACTCCAGCTCCCAACAAGTTCCTCATCTCCATCTGAGACCACCTCAGCCTGGACTTTATTGTTCTTATCGCTATTTGCATTTTGGTCGAAACCATTCAACAAGTCTCTAGGAAGTTCCAAACTTTCTCACATCTTCCTGTTTTCTTCTGAGCCCTCCCAACTGTTCCAACCTCTGCCTTTTACCCAATTCCAAAGTCATTTCCACATTTTTGGGGATCTTTATAGCAGTGCCCCAAACTCCTGGTACCAATTTCCTGTATTAGTCTGTTTTCACGTTGCTATAAGGAGATATCTGAGACTGGGTAATTTATAAAGAAAAGAAGTTTAATTGACTCACAGTTCAACATGGCTGGGGAGGCTCCAGGAAACTTACAATATGGTGGAAGGGGAAGCAGGCAAGTCTTACATGGCAGCTGCAAAGAGAGAGCATGTGAAGAAGTAACAAACACTTATAAAATCTTAAGATCTCATGAGAACTCACTCACTATCATGAGAATAGCATGGGGAAAACCATTGCCATGATCTGATCACCTCCCACAAGGTCCCTCCCTTGACACGTGGGGATTATGCAGATTACAATTCAAGATGAGATTTGGGTCGGGACACAGTGCCAAACTTTGTCCCTGTCCCTGTGCTGAGCCACCTGGAACTGATGGTGTAGTAATGCAAGCACCTCTGTGGCCATCACCACTAGGACTGTGCTGAGTCAGATCTGAACCTAACCCAGCACTGGGTTTTTCCTGAGGTCCTCCCCTTTATGGTGGCAAGATCCTCCAGGCCCTGGGCATGTCCAGAGATGCTGTTTAGGAGCCAGGAATTGGAGTCAAAACCTCAGCAATTTACCTGATGTTCTATTGTACTACAACGAAGCTGGCGCTCAAACCACAATACAAAGTCCTTCCTGCTTTTCTTTCACCTTTCCACAGGCAGAGGAGCCTCTCCCTGTGGCCACCACCACCACCAGTCCAAAGGGATTCTGATAGCCCACACCAATGTTCAATTAAGGAGCAAAGTCTTCTCTGTCAGCTTATGGTAAATGCTGTCAAGTCTGGCACTCATCCTTCAGGGCAGTGGGCTCCTCTCTGGACCAGGGCAGATCCATAAATGCTGTTTAAGTGCCTAGGCCTAACTCAGAGACCCTAAGGGCCTATTTGTTGCTCTTCCCTCTTATGGCTGGGCTGGTACCTAAGGTACAAATCAAACTCCCCTTTACTTTTCCTTCTGCTTTTCTCAAATAGAAATATTCTGTCACCATATCCAGCATAACTGGGAATGTGCTGGATCACACATGAAGTCAGCATGTCTCAGAGTCTCACCCAAGGCCCACAGCATCCTCCCTAGGTGTTGCTGCTGTTTATTCAGGGCCCAAGGGCTCTTTAGTAAGCTGATTATGAATCCTTCCAGGACTGGGTACTTCTCTTCAAGGCAGCCAGTTCCCTTTTAGTCCATAGTGCATCTATAAGTGTTATCCAGGACCTGAGTCCTGGCACAGGGGCCTTTATGACTCTGCTCAGTGTCCTGCTCTACTATGGCTGAGCTGGTCTCCAGGATGCAAGACAAATTTCTCTTTACTCTTTGCTCTCCTCTCTTTAAGCAAATGAAAGGAGTCACTTTCATTTTTGTGAGCTGCACTGCCTGAGGTGGGGGAGGGCTCCACAGGCACTCCCTTAGCCACCCCAGAGTGTGTCTCCCTAGGTCACATGACACCCTAGTCCACTGGCTCTAAGACCCACCTAGCACTAGGGTTTGCCTCGGAGTTGCTGTATTTGTGTCTTAGATTGCCTATCAAGTTTACCTAGGACCCCAGGGCACTTCGGCCCACAGTGGCAAGGCTTGCACAGAAACTCAAGTTCCAAACGCTGGGATCGGCAATTCCTCTCTGACTATGGCTGGTTCAAATGTTCCCTCCATGCACAGGTGCTAGCTGAGCCCATTGAGGCTTTGCTCTCCACTGTAACAGGACAACACTGAGTTCAATGTGAAGTCCCCCAGTCACTGTGCTCTCCCTCCCATAAGTACACAGTTTCTCTCTCCGCACCACACAGCTGCTGCTGGGGGATGAGGGAAGCGTGGGAATGGCAATACAAGACTGTGTCTCCTGCCTTCCTCAATACCTCTTTCTCTGATATGAAGTTAAAATCAGGTACTGTGATTGCTCATCTGCCTTTTGGTTCTTGTGGCGATGCTTTTCTGTGTGCAGATAGTTTTTTAAATTTAGTGTTCCAGCAGTGGGCATGAACAGTGCAGGCTTCTATTTCACCATCTTGCTCCACCACCCTAAGATTTGTCTTCTATTTAAGACAGAGAAAAAATCGGAAAATATATTGTACTTATGGTCCCTACCCGTGGAGAATTTACACACATGACACATACATTAAAGAGTTACGTAAGGTGGTTTGATAAAGCAAAACATTCAATAGTCATTCATTCAATAGGTTTCCATTAATGTACATAGTATAGTATGCATTTACACGTATACACAAATAATATACATATGTATAGTATCAAGTGTTTTCTGGAAAACAAATGAGCGTGAGGCTTCTGGAGGGCAGTCAGTACATATCTCAAGCTTTAGGTCCAGTTCTTTGTCTTCTACCATTTTATTCTAGAATTTATGGTGTTTTCTTTTAAAACATATTCCTCTAATTTGGTATCTCTAGTAATAACTCCTCTTATTTTATGATGGCTAGAAGGTGCATACTTGGCTATTAAATAGCAGCAGACTAATTAAATTCCATTTTGATTTGCAAAGATGAGACTAATAATTTTTCTTGTCAGTTTTTTGGAGGTAGTCTCTTACATCTGTTATTTACATAAAAATAATAGCAATTTGATGGTGGTTGAGAGAGCTATAAGATTAGTTAAGGGACTAGGAAGGGCTTGAGAAAATTGGGGATATGTGAATTCATAAATTTAAGGCCAAATGAGTTTTCAATGAACAGTGATGCTCTTCTAAATTGACTACATTTACTATCATGCTTGAGTATTATCTAAAACTCCATAATATTAATATTTCAAGAAATTGACTGTCATCTGAATATCTTCATTTAAAAAACTGGCCTCATCATGTAGCCAAAAATAGTTTCTGATTTTTATTTCCCACCAATCCATTTGACATTTTTATTACTTCTTGGATTTGACACCAGCATACAAATAGCAGAAGCACATATTATAATATTTAGTTATTTCCAAATTTCAGAACTCCATAAGTGCACAAAATAAAAATTTCATAAACTAAGAAACATAAATTTGCTTCTAGAATGACTCAGCATATCTCTATAAAATAAATGCAAAAATCATATTCATTTCCACTGAAAATAACAGCCCATATATGTCAAAATATTGTCAGAGATCATTACAAAAATACTAAGATACTGTTTTGGCTTTTCTCTCACTTTTAATCTAATAGGTTGTCTGTGGATAGCAATTGGTTTAATGAATGAATGCCAGGTAATCTTTCAGGCTCATTCAAAATATCAGAACAAGATGTCCTTATTCCATAATATCTACTTTCTTTGGAAGTTCATGTCAAACATTGCTTCAATGAAGATTTTTCTCATATCTGTTCTTCCCTCTCCCTTTCCAGAGAGAATCCATCACCCTGTCTTTATTTGTATCAGCCACTGTCCCATGTATGACTTTCTATTTGAACACCTTAAAATGTGACTACACTTATTTGTTACATATCTATCTCCCTAACCCTAGACTTTGAGCTCTGCTCATTGAGGAGAATGATGGTATCTCACCCCTTTGTCTCCCTAGTATGTAACACTGAGCATGAGAATTTGATTGTATTAACAGTCATAAATTTTGATCCTTCTCAGTATCCATACCCTTTACCTGTCAACCTCTAGTATTCTTCAACTCTAATTCTGAGCTTGGCCATATGACTAGGTATGGCCAATAAGATGTTAGCAAATGTGATGCAAATATGGGCTTGAAATGTGCTTGTGTGATTGGCCAGCTTGTTCTTGCATTCTTCCATTACTATGAGAACATGCCCATGTTAATCTGCTGGAGATAGAGAGACACAAGGTCATTTCAGTTTTTCTAGATGAGCTCACCCTAAATAACCTAAGAACCAGTCAACTCCCATCCATGTGAACAAATCTAGCTGAAGCCAGTAGACCACCCAGCCAATTCAGCAAAGATTGGTACAACTGCTACTAAGACACCCTAGTTTCATAAAAATCACTTCTTGTTGCTTTGCATAAATTAAGTTTTGGTGTTAATACTTGCAATTGTTTTGTCATTAGATAGTTGATGCAAAGGGAATAGCACATAGTATGTGCTTAATAATTGAAGTATGAGTGATGTTTCTAGGTGGCACAAGGAAAAGGGAAAATGATAAATGGAAAGGCAAACACAAAAGATATGCTTGCCTTCTAAAACCCTTTCACTTAAAACTCCCAAATATAAAATTCAAAAATATTAAAATAGTCTATATAAGATAAAGACAAAAATTATTCTTGGCTTTCAGCCACTGGGCCTGGAAAAAATGAAACATATTAATTGATCACCTATTATGCCACAGCCATTTTTACATCAGTTATTTCATTTAATTATCATGTCAAGCCAGCAAGGTAGGAATTGTCTCCACTTGAGAATGAGAAAACTAAGACTCAGTCACGTAACTTAGTGAAGGTTATCAATTTAGAAAGTTGTAGATTTAGTAAGAGAAGGCTATTTAGAAAGTGTATTTAAGAGATGGGGAGAGAGGCACAGAAAGAATGGAGTTAGAATTCCTCACACAAAATGAGGATTAATATAAATATTTATTAAGCACCTACCCTGTATCAAATACCTTACTAGGCACTGAAATATAATAAACATTGAAAAATCATATTATTTCAAAGTAGACTCAAATAAAACAAAGATGTATATTGTAAGTGCTACAGCCACCATTAATAAAGAGGTATAGTGAATAAGCAAATAGAGGAGACAAAATAAAATCAATTTTTGAAATCTCTAGTTACACAAAGGAAGGTAATAAAATAAGGGGTATCCACATTTGTAATATAAACGCAGCCACCTTTGTAATATAAATGGTTAAACTTTCTAATTAAAAGACATAGATTTATAAATTGGATAAAAAACCTGAGTCTTACCTATATGATATCTACAATAAATTTTAGAGATAATGGCAGAGAATAAAAGTAAATGGACAGAAAAAAATGTATCATGCAAACACTGATAGCTAGAGTACCATACTAACATCAGACAAAGTAGACTTCAGAAGAAGGAGTACTACCAGGAATGTAGATGGACATTTTATAAGAAGTAAAAAATTAATTCATCAAAGAGACATAAAAACCCTAAATGTACATGTATCTAGTAACAGAATGTTAACATACACAAAACAAAGCTGATCAAAGTGAAGGGGGAAATGGGCAGCTCCACAATCACAGTTGATTTCAACACTCCCACATCAGTAATTGAGGTAATTTGCAAGGAAACAAAATTGAGTTGTTATTGGTTGTTTTATGTATATATATATATATATATATATATATATATATATATATATATATGTATATATATATATTTGTATTTATATTGGATACTTATCAATATAGACAGGAGAACAATGAAAAATTAGTGCCCCCTTCCTTTTGAACTCCGGTTTGTTCTGTCACTCTCTACTTTGTTGTGAAGTCAATTATTTAAGCAAAAAGGACAGCTGCAGCATATCAGTAAGAAATACTAAATATTTTTATTTAATATTATTTAGTATTATTACCTGCCAGACTTTGACTACATACCACAAACACAATCTCTTAAAAAGCTTAAACTAAATAAGTTAATGCAGTCAAAAATTGTACCTTCAAAAATCCCATTTTTTTCTTTTCGCTATCTTATTGATCTTTGTTGAAAGTAATAACATCTGTATATGTATTCTTAGCCAGGGATCACTTTATTGAAGTTTATTGTCTTGAAATAGTAAATAGCACTGGCATTGTTTTACTAAACTGGTGCACATTTTCAGTATTGTTTTGCTAAACGGGTATATATTTTTGTAGAATCTTTGGTCTAATATTTTATGTTAAATATTGAACAAATATTTGGGCCATGAGTTGACAAACTGTAACCTGCTAGCCAAATTTGGCTTACTGCTTGTTGCTTCCAGTCTGCGATGGCAGAGTTAATTAGTTGTAACAGAAACCTATGGCCAAAAATGACTTATCTGAAACAGAAAAAAATTTGTCTGTCTCTGATCTAAGTTGTGAAAGTTTAATCAAGATGTTAATATAAATATGTCTAATTAACAAAGGAATATTATGTCTATAAATATAGAAATTTAAGTAGAACCTTAGAACAAAGTACATATGAATATGAAATCCTTATTTTCTGTAAATGTATTAATTATGAATTTTCAAGTACATGCACACAGACACACACATTTGCGCACATGCATCTGGAAATCTTATGAAGATAATTCATAGTTTCTGTATTCAATTTATAATATCCAGCTATCGTTTCATGAAAACAGGAAGTAGCCTTTAAAACTGGTAATGGGGTAGTTGATTATATATACATAAATTTATACTGCATACAAATTATATATAATTGATTATATATATGTATATAATTTCACACATCAGGGCTTTAGTCTTAGATAGCTTTCCCACAAGCTTGAGGCTCTACCCTCCATCTTGATTGGTTCTCTCCACTTGCTTAACTGATGTGCAGAAAAAAATGAATACCTGGCAAAGAAGGAAAATGTTTGATCTTAGAACATGAGTCATTTAATCAATAAATATGCACAAGAACAGATTGGTAACGTCACTTGAATTATTGTATACAAGTCTTAGAGAGAGAAAATCTTACCAAACCTTTATGGAAGCTTCTGATCTTAAGAAAATGAAGAGCCCAGGTGTACTTGGAAATTCTGTAGATCCACTTTAATCTTGGCATGATGAATTTTATCACTCCAAGGAGCCTTCAGTCTGTATCTTCAAGCAAATTATATCAGCAGATACTTTCTCTTACTTTGTTTCTCACTCATTCATTTAGTTAAGTCCCTTTTTAATTTCTAGCATGCAGAGGATGGCATGGTATCTTCTAGGATTGCAAGGCAACAACTTTTTCCTTCTCTGTCACAGAAAACAGCTGCTTATAGATATGGCTTCTCTTTATGATAATTTGTTTTGTCCCATCTACAGAAAAAAAAAGTTATTTCTTGGCAGGAAAATAGAAATTTTTGCAATATCATAAACTGCACAATTCTAATTACAATTCGAAGATAGTAAATGAATTTGTGTATTAAGTGTATATAACTTATGAACAATATTTATCCTCAAACTTCAGAGATGGCATAACATAAAAAAATCCATATTAGCAAATTACAGAAAAAATAAAAAAATCTAATTGTCATTCTTTAACAGATATAGAAAAAGTAATTAATACATCTCAACATACCTAATTTTTAAAATTTTTCTTCAACTTTTATTTTAGCTTCAAGGGCACATGTTCAGGTTTATACATGTGTAAATTGCATGTCACTGGGATTTGGTATATAAATGATTTCATCACCCAGGTAGTAAACAAAGTAGTTTACTACCAATAGGTAGTTTTTTGAATCTCATACTGCTCTCACCCTCCCCACACAAGTAGACCCTGGTGTCTATTGTACCCTGTTTTGTATCCATGCGTACTCAATGTTTAGGTCCCACTTATATGTGAGAACATGTGGTATTTGATCTTCTGTTCCTGTGTTAGTTTCCTTAGGATAATGGCCTCCAGCTTCACCCATGTTGCTGCAAAGGACACTATTTCATTTTTTTGGGGTGTGTAGTATTTCATTATGTATATGTATCACATTTATCCAGTCCAACATTGATGGGTACCTAGGTTGATTCCATGTCTTTGCTATTGTGAATAGTGTTGCAGTGAACATACAGGTGCATGTGTCTTTTTGGTAGTATGATTTATTTTCTTTTGAGTGTAGTCCCAATAATGGGATTGCTCGGTCAAATGGTAGTTCTGTTTTAAGTTCTTTGAGAAATCTCCACACTACTTTTCACAGTGGCTGAACTAATTTATATTTCTACCAGTAGTCAACAAACATTCTTGATATTAAGATAAATAACCTCTTCTTAGCAAACTAAGAAGTGAATCCCATAGCTTGATAAAATAGTATTAACATATAAAGCCAGAGCAAACATTATCCTTAACATAAAATACAATACATTTGAATTGCTATAGAAATAAGATAAAGATTCCAACTATTACTGGTACTAATTCAACATCATTATTGAATTGCTACCCATTGCAATAAGACAAGAAAATTTGATTTATTTTAAATATTGGAAAGCCTATTAGGTTTTATTGGTTTCAGATAACAAAAACCACAGCTAATAAACACAATGGTATTGATAAATCATGGGAAAGCTGAAGAAACAGAATCTACCAAGAGTGACTCCTAAAACCACATCAAACAATTGGGTCACCAAGAGAGCTATTGTCTCTGTCATCAGGAAGCTGTCATATCAGGAAGTTGCCTGCTAATGAGAAAGCCTCTGAACTTTATGCTCCCTTAGAGCCATGTTACCTTTGCTATAACATGTGCCAGAAAAAAAATGAATGATTTGCATCTGCCTCTCTCACCACATAACTTATTTCCAAATAAAAGTTGGGTTTGAGTGTATATGACTGATTGAAACTAAATCGTATCCAAAACCATTAGCTAAAAGAGATTCTGGGAAATACAGTTTTTAGATTTCATCCTCTGAAGCTAAAAGCGGGATCAAATACATGTTGAACAAGCCAACCCATGGTATGCACCACATCAAGGAAGGACAACGTTGCCATTCTTCATAGACCATATGTTGGTCAACATAGAAAATCCAAAAGATGCAACTAAAAATCCAGTAAAATAGCTGTAACCATTCACAAACTAGATTGATACAATATATACAACAATTCCTGACAATCTTGTATACCAAATTAACTAATTGGAAAATAAAATACAAGTGTCATATTTATAATTGCAACAAAATTCATAACATCAAGGAAAAATTTTAAAGTATGTCCAAGACCAGATAACAATGTTATAAAAATGTACTTTAAAAAGAACAAAACTAGGGCATCGCACTACCCAACTTCAAATTATGCTATAAGGTTACAATAACCAAAACAGCTTGTTACTAGTACAAAAACAGACACATAGACCAATGGAAGAGTCTGAACCCAGAAATAAGACCACACACCTACAACCATGTGGTCCTCAACAAAGTGTATTGCAATGGGGAAAGAACTTTCTAGGTAATAAATAGTGCCGGGATAACTGGCTAGCTATATGCAGAAGAATGCAATTGTAACCTCACCTTTCAACATATATGAACATTAATTCAAGATGGATTAAATATTTATTTCTATATTTATTTACTTCTAACTTTTTTATTCTTAATTCTTTGGGATTCATAGTAGGTGTATATTTATGGAGTTAAAGATTTAAGGCCGGGCGCGGTGGCTCACGCCTGTGATCCCAGCACTTTGGGAGGCCGAGGCGGGCGGATCACGAGGTCAGGAGATCGAGACCATCCTGGCTGAAACGGTGAAACCCCGTCTCTACTAAAAATACAAAAAATTAGCCGGGCGTGGTGGCGGGCGCCTGTAGTCCCAGCTACTTGGGAGGCTGAGGCAGGAGAATGGCGTGAACCTGGGAGGCGGAGCTTGCAGTGAGCCGAGATCCCGCCACTGCACTCCAGCCTGGGCGACAGAGCGAGACTCCGTCTCAAAAAAAAAAAAAAAAAAAGATTTAAATGTAAGGCCTCAAGCTATAAAAATGCTAGAAGAAACCTGGGAAATACCCTTGTTGACATTGGTCTTGGCAGAGAATTTTTGGCTAAGTCCCCAAAAACAATTGCAACAAAAACAAAAATTGACTAGTGGGATCTAAATAAACTAAAGAGCTTCTGCACAGCACAAAAGCTATCACTAGAGTAAACAGACCACTTACAAAATGGGAGAAAATATTCACAAATTATAAATTCGACAGAGGTCTAATATTCAGAATCTGTAAGGACCTTAAACAAATCAACAAGAAACAAACAAATAATTCGATTTCAAAGTGGGCAAAGGACATGAACAGAGGCTTATCAAAAAAAAAGACATATAAGTGGCAAACAAACAGGAAAAAATACTCCATATCACTAGTCATCAGAGAAAAACAAATCAAAACCACAGTAAGATATCATATCACACCAGTTAGCATGTCTATTATTTAAAAGTCAAAAAACATCAGATGCTGGTGAGGCTGCAGAGATAAAGGAACGTTTATCCACTGTTAGTGGGAATATAAATTAGTTCAGCAACTGTGGAAAGCAGTTGGAGATTTCTCAAAGAACTTAAAACAGCAATTTAACCCACCAATCCCATTACTGAGGTTATATCTAAAGGAAAACAGATTATTCTACCCAAAGACATATGCACTTGTATGCTCATCACCACTCTATTCACAATAGCAAAGACACAGAATTAACCTAAGTGTTCATCAATAGTTGATTGGATAAAGAAAATATGGTGCATATACACTATGGAATACTACACAGCTATAAAAAAGAACAAAATCATGCCCTTTTAAAAATTATACTTTAAGTTCTGGGGTACATATGCAGAACATGCAGATTTGTTACATAGGTATCCATGTGCCATGGTGGTTTGCTGCACCCATCAACCCATCGTCTACACTAGGCATTTCTCCCAGTGCTATCCCTCCCCTAGCCCCCCACCCCCTGATAGGCTCCAGTGTGCGATATTCCCCTGCCTGTGTCCATGCGTTCTCACTCCCACTTATGAGTGAGAACATGGGGTGTTTGGTTTTTCTGTTCCTTCCTGTGTTGGCCTCCAGCTTCATCCATGTCCCTGCAAAGGACATGAACTCATCTTTTTTATGGCTGTATAGTATTCCATGGTGTATATGTGCTATACCCACAGGATTATAAATCATTCTACTGTAAAGACACATGCACACGTATGTTTATTGCGGCACTATTCACAATAGCAAAATCATGTCCTTTTGCAGCAACATGGATATAGCAGGGGGCCACAACCCTAAGCAAACTAACACAGGAACAGAAAACCAAATACTGTGTATTCTCACTTGTTAAGTATGAGCACACATGGACAGAAATATGGGAACAACATATATGGCAGACTACTAGAGGGAGGAGTGGGGAGGGATGAGGGAAACATGGGTTGAAAAGCTACCTATTGGGTACTGTGCTTACTACCAGGGGATGGAATCCATACCGCAAACCTTAGGCTCATACAATATACCCATGTAACAAACCTCCACATTTACCTTCTGCATCTAAAATAGAAGTTGAAATTAAAAGGAAAATGTGCTCAATAAAGTATTAAATAGATGTATAGTAAATTTTCTTGGAAGCAATTTCTTAGCATCAAGATCATCTCTACTTCTTAATATAATAAACACAATGCATTTGAATCAAAATATTACAAGGATTTTATGGTATTTGATAATTTGATGTGAATATTACTGGGAAAAAATGCACTAGAATGGCTCAGATATATAAAAAAAGAATTGGTAGGGGAACTTGTGCCAACAGATTTTAAACATGCTCTGATGCTGTAATAATTACAATGGTGCAGTATAGCAAGAGGCCACAGGGATAGACAAATATACAATAAAAAAGTTATGGAGTCTAGAAAAAATCAATTTATTTAAGGGATTTAATACATGATTAACGTGGCATTTCAAATCAGCAGGGAAAAGATGAGCTCTTCAATGAAAGGTACTTGGGTGTTTATAGATAACTGCTTGGCCATAAAAAGGAAAAACTTAGATACAGCTGTCACACTAGAATTAGAAATAATTTTAAGATGTAATAAGAAGTTTAGCATAAAGAAACATTTTATAAGTGTTAAAAGAAAATCATGGAAGTACTTTTTGCAATGAAGAGCAAGATACAAAATTTTGAAGTTATAAAAGAAAAATATGGATGGATAATACTGCAAAAAAATTAAACATCTAAACTCCAAAAGATATCATATAGTTTTAAAGAAGTGATAAACTGGGCAAAAATGTTTATGTTTTATATAAGAAAAATGTTTGAAATCAAGAATAAAGAAAGTACTATAAATATGAGAAGTGGAGGTGGGAGGTTGGGAGGAAGCCAAACAACCAAATATAAATTAATAGACAGAGGATATCAATAGATAGTTCACACAAAAAGACATACAAATTGCCAATAAACATATGAAAATACATAAGATAAATTTTCATTTTACCTTTTGAAAATTCAGAAAATACAAATTAAAACAACGATGACATATTTTTCCTATGAGAGAAACAAAAAGAGAAAAGGTGTAAGAGACAGAAAGAGCAAGAGAGAATGTCTAGTGTTCTAGCATTGGTAAGAATGTGACGAACCAAATTCTATCATACACAGTTGAAAGGAGTACAAATTGGAACAACCTTTTGAAGGAAAATTTTACAGTATCTACCCAAATTTTAAAAGTGCATGCTTTTCAATCCAGCAATTCCTTTTCTAGGACTGTGTTCCAGTTAAATATTCATTTGCATATATTCACAAAGAGCCATTTACACAGATTTTCATTGAAGCATTGTTTATAGGGGAACAAAATGGAGACAAGTTAAAAGTCCATGATTATGGACACAGTTAAATATAGTCATGTGCAATTATATTACAGATAATTATGCAATATTTTAACATAAGAGTGAGATGGATCTCTGTGTACTGACATGGAATGATCTCCAAGGCATATCAGCAAGGAACAAAGCTAGTTGTAGAATAACACATCAAGTATGATCACACAGCCACATACATGTACATGCATACATATACAAAAGGGGAAATGATAGCAGTGGTTATTTTCAGGAGGCCAGGTTATTGGCATTGATGCTGGAGTGAAAGGAGGACACATTACAATGTTTTTCTGATATCTTTCTGTGATATGTGACACATTTACTTATTCATTCATTCATTTATTACTTGTGTCATCTAAAAATTTAACTTTAAATTTGCAAGCTGTTGTGTGTCAGCATTTTCCCATACCTCCAAATTATTTCCTACAATTATAGCTAAAATTTCAATAACATTATTATAATTATTATTGTCATTATAAGTAATCTATATTGAGCCTTACTGCATTAAGCCAAATACTGTGCTAAATGCCTCATTTGCATTATGTTTTCAATTTTTTCAAGGACCACCTCAGTTGAATTCCATTATTGTGTGCCAGGCACTTGCTAAAGTGTTTCACTAATTATATTTCTTTCATTTATTTTTCCAACAATCCAAGGATTTGGCTACTATTATTCTCATTTTCACGTCAGGACACAGAAGTTTTGTAAACTTAAATAAATTTCCCAAAGTGCCAAACTCCTCAGTGGTAGGACCCAGGATTCGAAGCTAGGTTGTCTAATGCCAGAAACCACACTGTTAGCCACCAAAATATATTTCCCCTTCTCCAAGGTTCTAAATATCCTGAGTCATGATGGGAAAACTTGAGCAGCCATCACACAGACCTGGAAGGATTCCCAATCAAATTTCAACTTTTAAAACTTAATAGACATAATTGTAGTTGAAGAGGCCTGATTTGATAATCAAGAGTAAAACTGCTTAGTCATAGAGTGACATAAAATTCTTCATTTGCTACCAAAGTTTAATGCTCTAACTTTGACCAATGCATGCCGTTTTCAAAGGGCAGTTCTTTCATTAAGGGATGGCTACTTTGGACTTACTGCAACTTTACTACAAGTTAGAATTTAGTTCTCTACATCTTGGACTTTATCAGCATTTAATCATTCTAATTGTGTTGCTACCTGCCATGGCATGAATATAATTGCCTTTGTTTTAACATTTCCCATTCCTTGGCAGTAATCTCTGAAATATAACTTTCGTCTCTTATAAACTGTGGTGAAGAAAATACCAAGGGACTGTGGGCAACATCAGCCTCATATCTCACTGACACTCTTTTTCATCCTTTTATATTGTTGTGCTAAGCTTCTAGCTAAATACCACTATTCTGTGAGATTAAACAACTTTTATTGATTATATCTTATTTCCAACCACTATATCCTGTTTCCAATCAATTCTTGCCAATACATCTTTATGTATCATGATTTAAATTTCTTTAATTTCTTTTTTTGCCTTAATATACCAATTTCCTACCATTTCATTTTATTTTCTGGGTAATATTTTAATTCTAATACAATGGCATTTTTACCTTAATCACTTGGTGAGTTTCCTCATCGGTCTTGATCAATTATCATGCAGCAGCTTATTTTTATACGTGCTTTGCTTATTACTGATTTGGCAACATAAGCATTAAGCTTTGTGATATAGGTGCATTTGCTGCCCTTTATTTCTCCTATGGGTGTTTTTTCTTTCCTCCATAAACCTCATCACAAGGTCTGATTTTCATATTTATCGCGGTTTGTCATTTTGCAGGTAAATGTTTTCGTCCTTTTTACCATTGAGGTGCACATTTGTCACAACATTGTCAGCCAACATAATTTTTCTTAACAAATTTTTAAATATTATGTACATGAATCAGATAAGCTTATAAATATTCACTGAACTAACACACACACCCAGAAAAATATGTCAGTGGAAATAGTAGCAGCATGTTTAATCAGCAGCAAAAAGAGCTTGACTGAATCACAAAAACAAAAAATTTCAGGCATAAATGCAAATACGTGAGGACAGTCTAACTTTCCATAAAGCAAAATTTAGCCAATTATGACCCAATCAATTAAACCTAAGATCAGCATTAAGATATAGGATAAGAAGGTGGGATACTCATGCAATGGGGCTTGAAATTACTCATCTGAAATGTAATATATCAGCTGTGCAAGATTGAAGAGATTGGTTATCTTCAGCCTCAGTAAGGAGACACTATAGTATATAAAGTAGGCCTAATTTAGACTCCAGAGTGCATTCGTATGAACTGTATGTTCGGGGCTGATGTTACAGTATTATGAGTGATTGAAAAGTCATGCATATCCAACCACATGAGATGAATAATGTGAAATGCATTTAAAAATCTATGTGGAAATTTTATGCACTGTCAAGTTGGCTGAGCCCCTGATGAAGAAATTATCAAATTATCAAAACTCCAGAGACTATTCATAATTTTTTGCCATGAAAACTAAGGTTTGGACCAAAAAAGGAATAATGAATTTCTTAAGTTTGCTTTTCTCCACTAATTAAGCCTTAGCTCAGGGTGATTTACTCACTCCTTTGATTGACCTCACTGGTATATGCACAGCCTGAAAGAACTCTCCTTAGGAAGTGGTGTCCTTACAGGACAGAGGAATTTCCATTTTTTCTAATGTATAATAAAATATCTAGCAATCAGCAACTCTTCAAGACTCAGGCTTTATTTATTCAAAAGTCTCAGAGAGACCATTTAAAATGTCCTACACTAAGAGAACAAATCAAGTTTAGAAATATGTATACTTAGTTTTGAAGTCCTAAATTTGACCAAATCACAATGTTTTTAATAATTGTAGGATGGAGGAACTTAAAATACTCATAAATTTGTATATACCCATATAATGGCTCTAGAGAGGGCCTGCAGCTCTTTTATCCAGTGACAACATTTTAGCCATATGTAGTAGACAGCCTCTAAAATGGCCTCCAATGAGCCTTGTGTCCAGATATACACACCTGTGTGTCATCTCCCATGCCACCAAGTGTGAGTCAGAACTAGTGATTCATTTCTACACAATAGAATACAGAAAAAGCGATGGGATGTCACTTTTGAGAATAGGTTACCAAGAGATTGTATCCGTGGGAGCACTTTCTTACTTTCTCACTGTCCTCTCACTTACTCTGGGAGGAAAACAGATGCCATGTTTTGAGCTTCTCTATGAAGATTACCATATGACATGGAACTAATATAGCCATTTAACAGCCAGTGAAGACCTGCAGCCTTCCAACAGGCTTGTGAGTACATTTGGAAGTGAATTCTTGCCCATTAGAACCTTGAGATGACTGCAGCCCCTGCTGATAACTTGATTGTATCCTTGGGAGAGACATTGATTCAGAGACACACAGCTAAGGCAGACCTGGATTCCTAACCCACTGAAAATGTGAGATAATAAATATTTGCTGTTATAAGCCACTGTATATTGGGGTGATTTGCTAGACCACTATAGACTACTAATACACCACAGTAGCATTCTTTATGATTGTTCGTGTATTGTGATAAAGGATCTTCTTTTTTATTAGCAATGTAGATGAAAGGTAATGAAACATAATGTTTTAAATTAAAAACTTGATTGTTGACTGAAGAAGATACTTTAGATACCAAGGACTTTGAATAGTCTAGCTGTCTTTAAGAAGCTACATTTTACAATCACTTCACAGCATTAGCATGATCTGAGTGTTGATGTGGGACTTCTATCATGGAAAGGTTCAGACAGCAAATATGATAATTTGCAATAAGGGAAGTGTGAAAATAGAAAATTACATTACAGTCTTGCTTGACTGTAAGACAAAATTAATTAAGATGAAATTCTCCTTCAGCTCCTCCAATAAAAAAATACTTCTCACCCTTAGGTATTACCATATATATTTAGCTAATTACGCCAGAGCTCAGCTTTATACCTGACCGTAAGTAAACACTGGGGATACTGGCATGCTTTTGTTCTTTCATGCAATTGGTGAAATTGAAAAGAGAGACAACAAGAAAAAGGGTTCAATTTGGAGATATGCCAAAATGGACAGAGGACATATCTTTCTGTAATTTCACTGTGAAAGTGTAGTTGTTTTTCCTTTCTTTTTTTATTTTATGTTGTTTTGTGTGAAACACAAATATAGATTTCAGTGTGAAAGCTGAGACAGTTCAAATCTTCACAGTCCCAAATATTCATTGGCAGCAGAGAAGGGTAAATTGTTATTAACATCTATTGCTGGTCAATGTAGAGTGTTCTCAAGTGATAGACCAATGGAGAAGATGAAAAACTTGTAGGCAAAGGCAAGGAGGGTTTAACTCAAATTAGTTATTGAAAGTATTGAATTAAGTAGCTTATTAAATATATTATTTTTATGTGACTGCTGTAACAACATGCCATAAACTGGGTGGCTTAAAATAACAGAAATTTATCCTACTGCAGTTCAGGAAGCCGGAAGTCCAAAATCAAGTTGTTGGCAGGGGTGGTTCCTTTTGGAGGCTCTGAAAGAGAAACCACCCATGCCTCGGTCCTAGCATTCAATAGTTGCAGGCAATTCTTGGCATTTCTTGTCTTGTAGACACATCATTCAATGTCTCCCTCCATCTTTACATGGTCTTCTCTTCTGTGTCTCATAGCCCTCTCTGCTCATAAGTTCACACCAGCAATTGAGTTTAGGGCCCACTTTAAATCTCAAATGCTTTCACCTAGAGATCCTTAAGTAATGACATCTGCAAAAAGTGTATTTCCAAATAAGATGACATTGTGAAGTTCTGGGTAGACATGAAGTTTTGGGGGACACTAATCAACTTATTATCAACAGCCATAGTTAGGCATTAGTTAAGATTTATCTGAAGTTCTAAATGATTCAAAATAAAGTATAGGATATAACCCTAAAATAAGATTTTGGCTCCTTTATTTCTTTGGTAAAATCAAACTTATTAGAATGTTGTTGTTAACATAAAGTATTTAAAAAGATAAAAGTGACAATGGTCCCCTCAAGGATATTTAAGTATGTTAGGTACTCTGCAGAAAAAACAAAAACAAAAAACCTCACGAACAATGCAAAAGCAGAAATCTTCAACAATAGACAACTCCTGCATTCCATGCATTTTAGAATAGGTCATTTATGTGTCTATTCCTACCTTAGCTCATAAGCTTTGAACAGAATTGGATTGAACTAAACAACTCCTTACAACAGGGGTGTCCAATATTTTGGCTGCCCTGGGCCACATTGGAAGAAAAAAAATTGTCTTAGGCCACACATAAAATACACTAACACTAATGATAGCTGATGAGCTAAAATTAAAAAAAAAATTGCAAAAAAACTCACATAATGTTTTAAGAAAGTTTACAAATTTGTGTTGGGCCACATTTGAAGCTGTCCTGGGCTGCATGCAGCCGGTGGGCCATGGGTTGGACAAGCTTGTCTTGCAACTTCCTGTATGCTGGTCCATGTTGTTTTTTACTTCTTTTTGCATATTTACTTGAGTAATGGTTTGTTTTAGGGGTGTATATCACATGCCTGGTCCCCAGTGAATAAATACCTAAGATAACTAATGCCATTTTAAATGTAGCATTCCAGTGTGGGGGAGCATAAGATGAAATAGACACTATCACACATGACTGGTAGGAACTTTATTTCATAAAACCTTTTCAGAGAGAAGTCTAGAAATATGTACCAAACATCTTAAGGATATTCATATTCTTTGAACATCTACTTAGAGAAATTTATCTTAAAAATAAATAGATGCACAAAAATATATATAATAGAATCTTTATTGCAATATTGCTGTATCAGTGAAAAATGAGAAATATCCTAAATGCCCTAAAACAAGAGTTTTGTTACATATTTTTGAGGTTGTATAAAAAGTAGTGTGGAATACCGTGCAGTTATTAAAAGTGATTCAGTAGAAAAGTATTTAATGAACTAAATGAACTTTATGACATACGATGAAGTGAAAAAAGCAATATGAAAAATGTGCTCTCATTTATGGAATAAATGCAAAAAAAACCCTTGAAAGTCTACAGATTAAAATGTTAATGGATCATTTATCTCAAAAGATGAGATTATGGTTTCTTTTTTCATTTTTGCTAATTTGCATGTTATATTTTAAAAATAAATATATTTTTCAAATGTTCAATAAATGGTTACAAAAATCTTAGCCTAAAACATGAGTTTTTATTAAGACATGAATTCCCAACTATTTTCTTCTTCTCCTATTAACATTATGTGTCAATTCACTATCCCAATTTTTAAAAAGTAAACTAAAGGAAGACTTTTAAAATCTTTAGCTGAACTGGAATCTACTTATTTTATTGTATTTTATGTTTAGGTGCTTATGTTTTCCTGAGCAAACATAGAAACAAATGTAACTATTACAAGGAAGAAAGCTTTCCAAATGCTTGTGCAGTGTCATCTGTCAAGCTATCCTTGGGGAGCAGCCAGAAAATATTAGGCCAGACCACTGGGCGTTAAAAGATCCCTCTCTTGTGTCCAGGTGCGGTGGCTCACACCTGTAATCCCAGCACTTTGGGAGGCCAAGGCAGGCAAATTGCTTGAGCTCAGGAGTTTCAGACAGGCCTGGGCAACATGGTGAAACCTTGTCTCTTCCAAAAGTACAAAATAAATAAATAAATAAATAAATAAAAAATAGCAGAACATGGTAGCAGGTGCCTGTAGTTCCAGCTACTCAGGAGGCTGAGGTGGTAGGATCGCCTGAGCCCAGCAGGCAGAAGTTGGAGTGAGCTGAGACTGTGCCACTGCGACAGAGTGAGACCCAGTCTCAACAACAACCAAAGTTTACATCCCAACATTGTGTCATTGATTCTTCTTTATTATAAGTTATTATTGCAATTTATGCTCCTATAAGATCCCTGGCACATACATTTTCTATTTGCTGCCTAGATGTTTACTTTGAACATAAAGAGAGTTATTCTGAATGTAAAGGATTCAACAGCAATGCATCAAAACTCTAGAATGCTAATTCATATTTTATATGATTTGATTTTTATGACATTATGAGATGACAAAAATAAATTTGAATGACATATATATACACATATGTATCTATCTCAGGCTACCAAACAACAATTAACCTACTTGAAAAATAGCCAGTTATTATGGAAAAAGGATATACTAGTCTCATATCCAGAAAAATTTATATTTCACAAGACATTTTACTGCAATTGTTATATATGTTTATTGAATCCTTTCCTAAACACAGAATCCATTCCTTTTCCAAAAATTGGAAACATATCTACATTAGAATTTAGGAGCCATGTTTTAGTTTTCTTACCACATAGGTGTGTAATGAAGCAGTAAAAAATTTCATGTAGAAAAGCAACAGTTCCATTACTTATATGATAATTAATTTCACTGTTGTAACTTTTGCAAATTCAGTTGTTATAATAAAAAATAATTAAAATATTCAGATTAACACAAGACTGAGTTGGTGGTTTCATTCTAAGACCTAACAGTCATGAGTTTAAATTCCTAACAGCTTTTTAGCACAAAAGGAAGTGATTTAGTCCCTCATAAGAGAATAAGTGAAAAGTTTTTGTATTTAAAACAAGGAACCTGAAAATTGTCTCACAGTTCAAATTTCTAAACTATCAGGTAGAGAGGTGTGAGGTCTTATAATGGACAACACAGGGAATATTCTCAAACAATAAGGAGAAATCAAAGAAGAAAAGCAGAAGGGTAGAAGGAAAAGAACTCTGTGTGATCATAAGCAAGTTATTTAACATTCATAAGAATGTTTTCTCATCTGTAAAACTCATGTGCGAGTACCTTCATGTGTAGTGTCTCTGTGACAATTACATGAAATAATAAATGCCTTTTTAGTCAGACTTAAATTAGGAATATCTTCTAGCCTGAAGGCAGTTAAAGACAGCAAGCACAGCCAGTATTTATATTTATTTTGTGATGCTTACAGCTTAGGAACAAGCTGCTCTATGAATCCTGTTCAACCAGAAAGCTTTCCCCCATTCCTGTCTCCAAGTCTTTCAACTCCCTACTTGATCACTGTGAACAGGGGAAGATGTACATTAACCTTTCTCTTTCATGGCCTTCTGAGAATAGAGCAGGCTTTCTGTTTCTGTACCTGCCACAGATAGCATCAATAAGAAATGCTACGATCACTAATCCAGGACTATATTTGTGACCACATGTAGATTTTTTTTAATAGAAAAAGAGACTATTTCTGGGGTTGAGCATGTCAGTGAGTCAAGGTTACACTATGCATTTGGATTATTTTTTCTGTGCCCCAAGTTGTAATTTTTTGCTGCTTCTCAGCTTGCTTCCATCAAAGTAGACTTATAAAAACCAGATGATAATATATCCCACAGAGTGAGGGAAAAAATGGAGTCAGGTAAATTAGGAACTGTTGTAGGGTGAAGATTTCTTTTATGTCATATATTTTATCTAAACAATCATTTGATTTGGCATTTCACTTTATATTATATCAATGCTTGTTATAATTAAAAAATATTTATTACTAAGTAAAATTCACTCTTCATACAAGCACTTTCACATACCACTGCATACTCCAGTTTGAAAGGCAGAATTTAGTATTTCTAAGAAATTTTCAAAATGGTATTGAAAAGGATCATATAAAATTAAATGCTTTATTAAAAATGATTGGTTACTCATCAATAGGAGTAGATTCATTGTCACCTAAATCATGAGTAATAACTTAGTACACTCTTACAAAACAATTTTGACAAAAAAATCAGTGAGTATTAAGCAGTATATCATGATTTTATACCCTGATTATTAGTGATTACAGTGAAGTATTGGGAAAAAACTGAGTATAGTGTACCAAGAAATTTGTAAGGACAAAAACATGGGGACATTTTAAACTGCACAGGAAAATGTAAGTAGAGCAAATGTGTTTAATTCTCTCTTGACCTTCAAGTAGTTTGTGTAGGTAGTCAAAATTGTACATATTCATATTCTGATTCTTTATTATTCTTGGATCATGCAATTCTTTGAAAAAGTTAATTAAAATTTCATAGCATCACTTGAACTCTAATAAATAGTGTTACTACATTTGTTTTATTATGTGTGTCCATTGATTAAGGTGATTCTATCTCAAAAATTATGTGGTAGTTTATGAATTAGTAGTATATATTCAATGGGAACACACGGCATTAGCTGGGGTACAAGATTACATCCAGAGGAATAATCTTAATTTTAAAACATTAAATTTCTTACTAGGAGAGAAATATCTGTCAAGTGAAGTTATTTTATTGTGTTTTATGTAAACACCATAAAAGCTATTCTTGTTAATATTTCATGCTTTTCAACCATCTAGTTTTCCTTCTCTTTCTCTCTCACAAGTAGTGATATGGTTTGGCTGTGTCTGCACTGAAATCTCATCTTGAATTATAGTTCTCATAATCCCCACGTGTTGTGGAAGGGACCAGGTGGAGATAATTGAATCATGGAGGCAGTTTCTCCCATCCTGTTCTCATGATAGTGAGTGAGTTCTCATGAGATCTGATGGCTTTATAAGGGGCTTCCCCCTTCACTGGCACTGATTCTTCTCCTTCCTGCTACCATGTGAAGAAGGATGTGGTTGCTTTCTCTTCTGCCATGATGGTAAGTTTCCTGAGACCTCCTTAGCCAAATGGAACTGTGAATCAATTAAACCTCTTTCCTTTATAAATTACCCAGTCTTAGATATGTCATTATAGCAATGTGAGAATGGACTAATACTATAAACTGGTACCGCATAGTGGGGTGCTGATATAAAGATACCTAAAAATGTGGAAGTGACATTGGAACTGGGTAACGGGCAGAGGTTGGAACAGTTTGGAGGGCTCAGAAGAAGACAGAAAAATGGGGGGAAGTTTGGAACTTCCTAGAGACTTGGAGGGCTCAAAGGACAGGAAGATGTGGAAAAGTTTGGAACTTCCTGGAGACTTGTTGAATGGCTTTGACCAAAATGCTGATAGTGATATGGACAATAAAGTTCAGGCTGAGGTGGTCTCAGATGGAGATGAAGAACATGTTGGGAACTGGAGCAAAGGTGACTCTTCCTATGCTTTAGCAAAGAGACTGGCAGAATTTTGCCCTCTGCCCTAGAGATCTGTGGAACTTTTAATGTGAGAGAGATGATTTAGGGTATCTGGGGGAAAACATTTCTAAGTGCAAAGTGTTCAAGAGAAAGCAGAGCATAAACATTTGAAGAATGTGCAGCCTTACACTGCAATAGAAAAGAAAAACCCATTTTCTGGGGAGAAATTCAAGCCTGCTGCAGATATTTGCATAAGCAACAAGGAGCTGAATATTAATCACAAAGACAATGGGGAGAATGTCTCAAGGGCATGTCAGAGACGTTTGCAGTGGCTCCTCCCATCACAAGCCAGGAGGCCTAGGAGGGAAAGATGGTTTCCTGGGTGGGGCCTAAGGCCCCTCTGCTGTGTGCAGCCTGAGGACTTAGTGCCCTGCATCCCAGCCACTCCAGCCATAGCTATAAGGGGTCAAGGTACAGCTCAGGCCATGGCTTTCACAAGGCACAAGCCCCAAACCTTGGCAGCTTCAAAGTGGTGTTGAGCCTGTGGGTGCACAGAAGTCAAGTATTGAGGTTTGGGAACCTCCGCCTAGTTTTCAGAGGATGTATGGAAATGCTTGGTTGTCCAGGCAGAAGTTTGCTGCAGGCTTGGAGTCCTCATGGAGAACCTCTGCTAAGGCAGTGCAGAAGGGAAGTGTGGGTTTGGAGCCCCCACAGAGTCCCCACTTGGGCACTGCCCAGTTGAGTTGTGAGAAGAGGGCCACCGTCCTACAGACCCCAGAATGGCAGATCCACTGACAGCTTGCACTGTGTCCTTGGAAAGGCTGCAGACACTCAATGTCAGCCAATGAAAGCAGCCAGGAGGAGGGCTGTACCCTGCAAAGCCACAGGGGTGGAGCTGTCCAAGGCCATGGGAGCCCACCTCTTGCACCAGCATAACCTGGAGGTAAGACATTCAGTCAAAGGAGATCATTTTGGAACTTTAATGTTTAATGACTGCCATGTTGGATTTTGGACTTGCACAGGGCCTGTAGCCCCTTCTTTTTGGCCAACTTCTCCCATTTAGAACAGATGTATTTACCCAATGGCTGTGTTCCCATTGTATCTAGGAAGTAACTAACTTGCTTTTGATTTTATGGCCTCTTAGGTGGAAAAGACTTGCCTTGTCTCAAATGAAACTTTGGACTTGGACTTTTGTGTTAATGCTGGAATGAGTTACAACTTTGCGGGATGGTTGGAAGGGCATGATTGTGTTTTGAGATATGAGGACATGAGATTTGGGAGTGGTCACGGGTGGAATGATATGGTTTGGCTTTGTCCCCACCCAAATCTCATCTTGAATTGTAGTTCCCATAATCCCCATGCACTGTGGGAGGGACCAGTTGGAGATAATTGAATCATGGGGGCGGTTTCCCCCATTCTGTTCTTGTGATAGTGAGTTAGTTCTCACCAGATCTGATGGTTTTATAAGGGGCTTCCCCCTTCACTGAGTGCTGATTCTTCTCCTTCCTGCTGCCTTGTAAAGAAGGACATGCTTGCTTCCCCTTCCTCCATGATTGTAAGTTTCCTGAGGCCTCTCAAGCCATGTGGAACTGTGAGTCAATTAACCTCTTTCCTTATAAATTACCCAGTCTCAGGTCTGTCCTTACAGCAGCATGAGAATGGACTAATACAAACAGGTTATCTGTACTTATACAGACTAGCAAATTCTCTGAAGGATCCAGGGTTGAAAAAGGCACTAGTTCAGATTTAAATGGAACTGTCATTTGGAAAATACAAATGTGAACATCAATAAAATCATGGTGGCAATAGTTTAATAGCTTCTACATGGCCTTAGTTATAATCTGGCTATTTAAGAAAACAATGCTATGAGAATTTATTGACCAAGCCTGTTACAGAAGGATTGACAATTGCCAAATTTATGAAGCAGTTTCATTTGACCCACTAAATTATGTCAGCATGTAGCAACCTGATTGATCAGAGTTCATCAAATAGTACTAAAAAACCAGAGTTTGGATTAGTGTACCTCAAATAATAAATATATTTGCATTGTATATTTTAGAAATAAAGCAGAAATAACAGCCCTCAGCTTTTCTCAGGGATTGCAATCTCTTTCTATTGAACCCATATCCTATATTGCCTTACTTTTCAAGATTTTTTGTAGATGTTATTTCTCATAGTAAATAACAAGTGCCTTGAATGTGTGTGCTATCTTATCAATTTACATCCTTCAGAGAACTACCTCAGAGCCTTGCACAAGGTGACAAAGAGCCTCAGTAAATAGTTTTTGAATGAATGTGACATCTTTTCCTCAGGAGCTTTCAAATATGTACACATATTCGAAGGTGTTCTCAGAACGTATGCTAATGACAGAGTTTTCTTATACACATACAAGTCATCTGCAACTGTTCAGACTGAATGAACAGAATTTCCAAAAATTACTGAGTAGTTAGAGGGTAATCAAGTTACACTGAATCTCAACAAAACAATTAGAATTTCATTTGCTTATAGTCAGACTTGATAAAAAAAAAAGTACTTCTTAGAAATTAATGTTAATGATTCTTTAGTTTACTCTACTTTAAAACATTAGCTTAACAATCTATCTGGGTGTAAAACCAAAACCAAATTCAGTCATTCAAAGACCATTTAACAGGTCTAATTGGGGAAGTAGCATCAAAATAGATTTTTCCAGACTTGTTAGACAGTGTTTATCACACCAAGCAGCAGAGGACGCCTACAATGCATCAATTCTGTCCCTTTTTAACTATGGGAAGACAGTCTGAGTCAATGTTCAAACAAAAAGTTTTAAGCTAAACTGTAACACTTTAGCAAACATTCAAGTAGGTGAGTTATGCCAAATAACAACTAAAAAAGAAAAATACTTTGCCACAACTTTGCTGAAATGAATCTATTTCATCTTAGAATGAAGACAATGGTTCAAAAATTCCTGGACATAGTTGAGAAAATTAATAAGAAAATTGATTTTCTAATTGTCTTCTCATCTACAGTGACTTGTATATCATAATTATCTCAATATTTTAGTTATAGCTGAATTTAAAAATAGTGGTTTGAGTTATTGAAAAACGCCTGTGCTGTATGTGCAATTCAGCTCATTAGACTGACATTGGGATTTTCTTTGAGATGGAATTCTTTCTAAGCTGGCAATTTGATGCCAAGTTTTAGCCAGATACAATTTAGAATGGTTGTGAAATAGCTCAGAGGGAGAAAAAGAAATGCTGATAATGAAAATACTGACAAACTTTAAGCACAGAAAGCTGTCCAATGCTGCCCACTAAAATGTAAATCTCCAAGTACAGAAAGACTGATTTCATAATATAAATGACTGTAATGAAAGATTCACTTGATACTTAAAAAAAGAAAGAAAAAACTACTGCATGCACTATAAATGTTGTTAGTAAATAAATTGTTAATGTATTAGAATACTCATTTCAAGTTTAAAATATTTGAAAAGCCCTATCTGTACTTTTTGGTATGTTCTCTGGAATAACTCCCAGATTTTCTTTTATAAATAATGTGTGATTTTCTGCATGATGGAGTTGACTAGTTTCAATTGGCTTGTTCAGTATTTCTGTGGTTGATTGTGACTTGTTCTTCAATGAAATATTCTTAAGCATTAACTTCTATGGAAAAGGAGCATCGCCAAAAATGATTTTAAAAGCTAATGCAACGCTTTCTATTTACATTATAGGCAGCATCAATGATGAGTGCAATATTTAATTCCCAGGGTAAAGTTATCTTGAAATCAAAAGATGGAATGATGAGATCAAGGATGTTCTGAGATGTTAATGTGGTTAGTGTTGTCAACAGTCTTGTCAAATGAGAGAGATAATTCACTCTGCTCTGCTTCCCACATAGAATACTGCTTTTACTATTGTCAGATTTCAAGTGTCAAGGCAGTTCTTCAATTCTTCCTTCTTAGATTGCACTCAAGCCATTCTAACTTCTTAGTATCAAAGTGTAATAGTTTGTCATTTACATAAAATTTTATATGGGCAAGAACAATATAAATAAGGAGTGCTCAATAACGCAGTGAAAATAGCATACACAGGCTTCCAGTCTATACAGACCTGAGTTCAAATCCTAGCTTAGACTCTTTCTAGCTAGCTATGTGTTTATAGGCAAATAATTTAGCTCCTTTGAGCCTTTGTTTCTGCTGCTGAGCCAAACTTGGGTCTATTTACCCAGTGTGCAAAAAAAGCTAAACACTGACACCAAGATTTGCAGTCAGAGAAAGTGAGGTATTTATTGCAAGACAACAAGCAAGAAAAATTGGAAAGCTAATGCTTAATACCCAAACTCCCTGATGTCTTACAAGCAAAGGTTTTGAAAGGCAGGGGTACATTTCAGGGAAGCAGAAGTTAGAGGCAAAATTATAAATTAATACATAGAGGGTATACATTGGTTTCTCCCAAAAAGGTGGGATATCTTGAAGTGGGAGCTTACAGGTTATAGGTGGATTCAGAGACTCTATGATTTGCAATTTGTTAAGGAAGGAAGGCTTTGTGTAAAAACTTGGGGTTAGAAGAAAGGAATGTTAAGGTTTCGCCTGGCCTGTAGGCATGATTCGCCAGGCCCTGCAGGAAGAAATTTAGAAAAAGAGCTTCTGTCAGTGTTCAGTCCTCAGTTCCTTCTTATCTTAGGGCTACATGATAGTGGTCAGTGTTTTCCATCTGGTGAAGGTCCAGGTTTCTGAAAAACAAATCAAGAACACATGTTCAGATGTTATTTTTTTGGTTTATGTGGGGAAGCAAAACACCAAGTCCTTCATTTTCCTATGAAGGACCATCACCTTTCAGTTCTTCTAATCCATGTGATTAAAGTTGAGCCCTTGGTCTCAAAAGTAGGAGCATGACCCAGATCTGATCATCCTCACAGACGTTTGTTCATCTACATGAACATGACCCAGAGCAAATAAGAATGAGCTCTAGTATTTTTATTGAGCCACTTCTTTATGTTAGGGTTGCTAGCTTATTGATATACCACTGGGGCTGTTGTCATGACATGGGGGGAGTCTGCCTGCATAGACAAAAGACACAACAATGCAAAGCATGTAAAGCAAGTACAGATAAAAAGCTGAGCCAAGAGATTAGAAAAATCATGTCTTGATGAAAAGGTTTAAGCTGCTGGATTTATTCCTTCTTGTTCCTAGATACTCTGACATTTCAGTTTATGAGTCAAAATTCTTTAAAATGGATTATTATCATCAGCATTACCATCATCATCATCATTATTAATCACTTAAGCCAACTTCAGGCCGGTCTCTGTGACTTGTAAGCAAAAGTATTCTAACACAGTTGTTTTCTCCATAGAGTACCTCCCTAACTACACCTAGAAACATAACTGGTAGCTAGTATTATTTTCAAATCCCCAACAAGCAATTAATGGACACTTTCTGAAGTGTCATCAAAAATAATAATAATGTAACAAGCAGATGATTAAAAAAACCTCACCACACTAAAAATCAACATGTTTCACCACCATTCCTGAAAACCTCGTTTAATAACCCACATTATTGAAAATTTAGAGAGAAAAATAGCTCTATGATAGTGTTGGGCTGGATCATCTATTTCTTGTCTGATTTGAAATTGTGACACTTTAAGTATTTGAGTTCATGACTTTCAATAACTGTGCTCTGTAGCATATTTTTGGTGATTTGGAATGAATTAAAGGTAATTTTGTTTTGAGAATTTTTGACAGCCTCTGACATTCTTGGAGACAACTTCAGTTGTTAACACAACTAGTATTTGGAATCATGGCCTTAGGGTCCCTTTACGCAATGGAAATTCAACTGGCAAAAAGAAAAATAAAAATCTGTCAAATGGTTTTTGGATTAAAAAAAAAGTATCTTATTCTTGGGATTTTTTTTTTAAACCACTGAGTTTACTAGATGTTTGATTGAGCTAACTAACCTAGCCTATGGTTTTGGAATTACATAGAAATGCCTTAGTTAAATCCACTATAAGGAAGATCATGTTTTTCCTTATCCAGTTACAAGAAACCAAGTTCATAGAGGCCAAGTGTAAAAATTTCAGTCTTGCCCAGCTTGTTTCCCAGACTGAAAAACTACACCGAGTATAGATATACACTGACCTGCCGAGATTAGAATTATTTTATAGTTCCTCATTGCTTTGCATATTTTGAGTATTGTTACTTTCTGATACAAGCAAATTGGCTTAAGAAACTAAGCCTTATTTCTCCAAGAAATAATTGCAGCTCTCTATCAGGTGGTATAGGTCTACTTTTGGGGATTATAATAGCTAGTGCTCTATTCCTAACAATGATTCTAATATTTATGAACCCATGGAATTTTTACTTTTCGAATGACTAAGTGACAAAATAGGGAAAAATTCAACTACCGCATCCACAAACAGTTCATTATTAAACTGTTATTGAGTGCCATTAGTGGAGGAGCTAGCACTGTGGGAGGTTTGATGCTTTCCAACTGGCAATTCTCAAGCAACCATAGATGAATCAGACACTTTAACCTGTAAGAAATAGATTTCTCAGGGAATGGATATATTTTGGTCAATAACCATTTAAACTTTAAACTATTTTCTTAGATTTCTTTTTTGCTTTTGTCTTGAAAAGAGGAAGTCTCTAATAGAAATGTTCCTTCCCAGTGGAAACTAATAGTAAAAAATATATATCCCTCACATTTCAATTTTTAAAATCTTATTATGCTTTGTTCTGCATGTACCTCAAAGTGACAGTCTCCTGTGGTCCTAATCACAGGAGCCTGGCACAAAAGATAACACAGCTTGGTGCTACTGAAGGATGACGGCCAAAACATTTTGTCCAAACTCCTACTGGCACTAGATTCCATAAGCAGAAAGCCTGCCCTCTGGCCCTAGTTTGGCTAAAGCTTAGCAACTAAACATGTAGCCACCATTGTTTTTTTCTTTTCTCCAAAGGCAGCCTTGTTATCTTAAGTCAAAGATACAATTTTCAAATATAAATGATTCATTTTTCATACTACCTTGTAGGCTGAAACAATTATCAATAGAAAGGGAGAGGAGAAAGGAGAGCATATAGCCTAAGAAAGGTGATGAGAGCCAGGGAGAAGCCAAATATGGAAAGTCAGGACCAGAGACCTATCAGGTAAGCAACTGTGGAATTGCTTTGGCAAGTTGTAATAGAGAAAGTAAATTTCTAGGATGTAGACAATGGAATGAACAGAAGTGGTAGAGAGAATGGGAGAGAAGGGGGAAGAGGAGGAGGAAAAGGCATGAAAGGAGCTTGAACAGGATTATAACTTGCCAGTGAGGATCATTTTACGAAGTATACCAGAGGAATTTTAAGCTGCCGATGTGTTCTTCCCTACAAGAGAATGTCTGAACAACTCATGCTTAAATTTACTGGTGAAGTCTATTTATTTAACCAGTTATTCATTGTATTCTTTAGTTAAGTCACACTTTTCTTCATGTCTCATTTTAATTCCATATTGCTTTTGAAGTTTTTGTGTCTTTAAATCACAAACGAGGCCGGGCGCAGTGGCTCACACCTGTAATCCCAGCACTTTGGGAGGCCGAGGCAGGCGGATCACGAGGTCAGGAGATCGAGACCATCCTGGCTAACACAGTGAAACTCCATCTCTACTAAAAAAATACAAAAAATTCACTGGGCGTGGTGGCGGGCGCCTACAGTCAGTCCCAGCTACTCGGGAGGCTGAGGCAGCAGAATGGCGTGAACCCGGGAGGCGGAGCTTGCAGTGAGCTGAGATCACGCCATTGCACTCCAGCCTGGCGACAGAGCAAGACTCTGTCTCAAAAAAAAAAAAAAAAAAAAAAAAAAAAAAAAAAAAAAAAGTCACAAATGATTTACAACTATTACCTTCTCCACTTTTCTGTTTTAAATTTTACAACTTGGTAAATGTGGCTATATGTATATGCATGTATAAATGTGTGTGTGTGTGTGTCAGTTTTCCAAGCACAGAAAAAACCTTTTGCTATGCTCTCAGCTCGAGATGTTTTATACTCTTCACTCTATACTGCTGTTGTGGCAATTCTTCCAACTTCATAATACACTGTTTAAAGAAATGAAAGTGGACAGTTTGAGGCTTTGATTCACAGCAGAGATTTTTAAAAATCTTTTATATTTTACAAGGCAAAGGGCCCTTTTGAAGGGCTGATAGAGGTGGGAGAGAAGAAAGGCCTGAGAAAGAAAGCGTTTGGGTTATAATGGACAAGAAGTATAGCAGTCAGAAAAGTCAGCATGGCACTGCCTTGCTGCTACCTTCCTTTCGTATGTGAAATGGCCATTAGCACCATCGGGGAAAAATGCTATTAATAGCTTTTGTGACAAGGATCTTTAGAAGGAAAATGTCATTAGATTGAAAAAATATGAGGGAAAACACCTGTGTAAACAAATCATATAATTTCTTAATACAGTTGCTGGATCCAGATGTTTATATTCTATGAGCCCATTGATACAATGTTTCATAGAAAAGGTGTGAGGAAGGGAGAAGAGCTGTTCTGGTAAATAGAAGCATCTGCATTGGCTTGAAACATCTAACTGCTTTTGAAACATTGGCAAGACCATATTTACAGGGGCTTCAGTGGATCTTGTGTTTTTGGAAAAGGTACAGGAGAACGAAAAAGGAATGCCATCAACAAGTGAGAAAATAACTGTAAAACATCCTGAGGGAAACTTTTGCTCATGACAAGAAGAATGTACGTTCATTTATTACTGATATTCAGGCAATCTCTGAGATAGAGCACATGTGTGACAATGGCCTTGATACACAAAAGGATTCTGAGACACTTCCTCCTCATCAAATCATAACCCAGGTACACTGCCAGCCAGGTCATAGCAGGGAGCTCTCTTATTACAGTGTGGATAGTGCTTGGATTACCTTAGAAAAAAAGTAGAATGGCAAATAATTGACTTTGGCAGACCCAGTATGGTAATGTGAGTTAGAAAGAGGAGATTTGTGCCTAATTTTCATTTGCATTTGTTTTTTTATTACAAAATCACACACGATTTTTCAAGTCAAACAATACAGAAATATAAACAATTAAAAGTAGATTCTCCTTTTTCCTCACACATATTAAGAAACAAGTACCAATAAAATTTTAATGTGCATCATTTAGCACTTTTGTAAAGTGCTAAAAGCACATGTGTGTAAAAACACACACATCAATGTATATATATAATATATATACATTATAACATTTCTTCTCACAAAAAATGGAATTATAGAAAAGAACTTCTCTGCAACCTTTTTTCAGTAAACACATCAAAGATAAACTTCTATGTTAAAACATACAAATGTCCCACATTATTTGTAATGGATGCAAAGCACTTCAATTCATATGTACTATAGTTTATTTATTTACTCTCTGGATATGAACATTTTGGTGGTTTCCAGTCTTTTGCTATTAAAGATAATGCTACAATGAACATCTTCTGACAGATGCCTTTACATAGTTATGCAATAATTTTTGTATACTAGAGGCTTGGTATTAATCATTATGTTTAACAGGTTTTATTTGATATGATTAAAATAACTATAACATATATGCGAAATATGAAGCCAAATAATAAAATTAAGAAGCATGGATCCATCATTCTACTCAAAAAGTAAGTCATTATGATTCCTTTGTTATTTCCATATACTCTATCCCTCTCTCATTCTCCTGCCTCCACTGCCTGCAACCTACTTAATTTGCTGAATTTTTGCATTTTGCTTTTTAAAAGGGTTTTCTTTTATTCCTGAACACATAGTGTATTTGATCTACATGTTTTTGACCTTTATAAACATCATATTTTTTTGTATGTAATCTGAAATTTCTTTTTCTGTCAATATTATATTGAGTTTATCTACATTATTGTGTGTAGTTATGGTTCATTCATTTTTCCTCTTATAAATTATTGCAATTTGTAACTGTCCTACAATTTAATAGTCCATTCTCCTGTATTGCTGGATCACATAATATATGCATGTTCAAATGTCCAAGACACTACAAAATTGTTTTCCAGAATGATTGTAGAAATTTAAACGTTCATAAAAATAGTATTAGAAAAGAAGAATTATGATTGTTTTACATATTGATATCATCACATGAATTTTATCAGATTTACTAGTTTTTGCCAACTTTGAGGTTCTATATCATTTTGCTAGTAATTTGAATCTCCTTTATTCCAAATGAGGTTGAACACTTTTTGATATGTTCATACTTTTTTTTCCTTTATGTGAAATAGTTATTCATGCTTCTGACAAGTTTTCTATTGTTTGTCTTTATCTTATTGATTTGTGAGAGTTCTTTATGTATTCTAGATAACAAAATTTTGTCTATTTTATGTATTTCAAATATCTTCTCTTAGTTTTTAGTTTGTCTTCCTACTTTTTTATTTTGTCTTCATGAACATTCTTATTTTAATATAATTAAATTTGCTCATCTTCTATTTTATGCTTAGCAATTAGTGTGTCTCAAAAAAAATTTTCCTTACTTTGAGAACATAAAACTATTCTTCCATAAACTTCCAGGTTTTGCCTTTCACATTTAAATCATTTATCAAAATTTTTTGGGGAGGTCGGTGAGATAAATGTACAATTTCTTTCTTTTTTACATACCGCCAACTTTATCAGTACAATGTATGACATTGATCAGCCCTCTCCCAGCTAATCTTCAATGACACCTCAGGCATATTGTTGCCACATGCATCAGAGTATGGCCCAAAAAATGGCCACAGGAACAGAGCCCATGTAACATGCTCTTTTTACAATGTTACATGATACTCTTCCATAAAGAGTTGAAGCCTGTTTCCTCCTCTTGAATCTGGTCATGCCAGTGATTACAATGGAGTAACTTCATGACTTCTTAGGCTAGGGCATAATTGGTGATGCAGCTCCTTGTCTGGCTATCTCTCAGAACATATGCTTTTTGAACCTTAAGACACCATGGAAGAATTCTGGCTACACCGAAGGCACTATACCGAAGAAACTACGTGAAAATAAAGAGAAGTATCTAAGGTACCACAAATATTCCAATCCCCAGTTGTTTGAGTCCTCCCATCCCAGGCACCAAAGGTTTTAGATTACCCCTGCTTTTGCTACCATCTCACTGCAACTTAATGAGATCCTGTGAGAGAGAGTAAATTGTTGTTGATTCAAGCCACCAAATTTGACAATGATTTTTTTTTTTTTTACACAGCATTAGATAAACAGAACACAATGTCTCCTTCTAGAATCTCTACTTGTTCCATTGGTCAATTTGTTTATTACTTCTTTGTGGTTCAGTTTTTAAATTTTTAAAATGGAGAAAATGAACACTATTCTCATAAGGTTGTTGTAAAGATTAAAACCATTAATATGTAGTGTTAGGTATTACTACTGGCATGACTACTACTAATGATTATGATTATTTTGGAGCCAATGTCATATTTTCATAATTTTCATATCATTATAATAATTTTTGATATCTGGTAAAGCAATTTCTCACACTGTCTCCTCCTCCACTTCCTCTTTCACATTTCTTTTGAATCTTCCTGGGCGCTTCTTCTTTCTTATGAATTTTGGAATTGTTTGTGAGCTTCCTCAAAATAATATGTTAGGATTTTAATTGCATTTTCATTGGCATTATTAATCAATTTGGAAAGAATTATTATACTTAAGATTTTAGTCTTCCTAGAATTGTAAACCTAGCAAAGTAACATTTCAAGAATAGGGGTCAGAAAAGTTTTTCTGTAAAGGGCCAGATAGTAAATATTTTAAACTTTTAGGATCACATAGTCTCCATCACAACTACTCAACTCTGCCTTTGTTGAGCAAAAACAGCCATAGATAGTACATAATTTAATGGATGTGGTGAGCCAGATTTGGCCCACAGGCCATAGTTAGCTGACTTCTGGTCAAAAAGAGGGTAAAATAAAGCCTTCCTGTGCTACCATCACTATATGCTAAACTGCCATATACCGAGTTGGTTTCTTTCTGAGCTCTCTTTTAGTTTCACTTCAATATTGTCTGTGAGTTCACTCTTTAACATATCCATTAATTTTATTATTTCAACAATGATAGTTTTTATTATATTAAGGGTTTTTTTTTTTTTTTTTTTTTTGAGACAGATTCTCACTCTATCGCCCAGGCTGGAGTGCAGTGGTGCGATCTCAGTTCACTGCAAGCTCCGCCTCCCGGGTTCACGCCATTCTCCTGCCTCAGCCTCCCGAGTAGCTGGGACTACTGGCACCCGCCACTATGCCAGGCTAATTTTTTTTTTTTTTGTATTTTTAGTAGAGACAGGGTTTCACTGTGTTAACCAGGATGGTCTTGATCTCCTGACCTTGTGATCTGCCCGCCTCGGCCTCCCAAAGTATTATAGTAAGTTTTATTGCCTGTACACAGTTTGTAGTTTCTTCTTGATTACTCAATTTATAATTCTATCCATTATTTATTCATGGTGATTTTTCATTTCATTGTAATTTTCATGTATTCTGGATTTGATAATTTTAGATTCAGAAACCTCTATGAGTCTAAATCTGTTGGGATTTTGCTATTGTTGCTGATTCCTGCTGACCCTAACTCATGATGGTTCATTTCTTGGTGAATTTTGTGATCTTTGAATATGAACTTAGAGTTGTTTTCTTCTTCATCTTTCTATATTCCAAAGAGGAATTGAGTTTGCTTTTTCTGAGAGTCGTGGGGTGCTAGTAACCTTGAACATTTTAATCACTTATTCAGAGGCCTACACTTCACTCAGGAATATTGGGTTCCAGTATCTCCCTTTCTCCTTTCAATGTGGTTTTCAGCATTTATTATTAGACAATCCTGTCTTTTCATGTGCTTCCTGCTCACGCCTCTGTTTTTAGCTCACATTTTCTTAATCTCAGAGATTTTCCTTACTCTATGTGTTCCAAGCAATATAATACATATTATAATTATGCAGAATCTAGTATTTTCTTCTTTGTGTCTCCCAGATATTTAAATTTGCCCTATCACTGGAAGCTACAGTATCGGATAAATTCTTTAAAATATAAATTATAAGAAAAAAAAAGAAAGATATACACCTTTAAGTTTTGTTCCATATTGCCATTTGCTCTCCAAAAAGCTGTTAATCAATGTATGCTCTCAACAAAGGTGAATGAAGGTAACAATTCTCTCATACCATTGTCAAGAGTGAGTATTGTTAATCTTTTAATTTTCCCTCTCAGATAGAGACGTGTGAGGCTTGTTACTGCAGGGAAGAAAGAGATTAGGATGCATAGAAGTAGGACGCGTACATAGTTTTACTCTTTATCTCTAAACAAAGATTTAGTAATACTCCAGAGTGAAGTGACCAGCTTTCTAGGCCTGCCCATGGTCTGTAGTGAATAAATGAAGCCACTCAAGGCTTCCTTATCATTTTGAGATGGAAGGAAGAATGATAGGTATCATTTGGCCTAGACAAACAATTGTATGACGAAGTAAAAACCATGCCCTTTTTCTAACTACAGTTATATTCTACCTCTGCCACTGTCACCTTGAGGCAATTGTATTGGTTATACCTTAGTTTCCATGTTTAAGGGAAAATGGAGAAAAAATATATCCTGCTACACATTCTCAATTCATAACTGTACTCAAAGGTCTTTAGAAAGGTGTCACATAAGTCAAGCATATCATTAGGATGCAGTTTCAATGTATGTTCAGAGATTCTAAGGGTAAAAATTCATCAAAATACTTTTTCTATTGACAGAATATTTTCAAAAGTATTAATTTAGGTGTTTAGTTTAACAATTGACCCAATAAAATCAGTGCCCATAATTGGCCTAGAACTAACCTGGTACAATGGGAAAAATAAGAAAAAAGCCTTATGAATAAAATCTGATTGCTATATCCCTCTAAGGGTCCTGGGCTCCAGGTTCCATTAGACAGACAGTCTAAATGCACAGATGTTCTGATATGGGGTTTGCAAATTAAATCAAACTTAGCAAGAAGGCTGATGGCTACCCAGCATATACCTGAAATTTTTTTCAACAAGTATGCCCTCCAACACACTTTCATGCTGAGACATTGTGCCAAAAAAAAAAAAAAAAAAAAAACTTCCTCCCAATAACCAATCAAAAGTCATTTAGTATTTGAGAGGCAACATGAACTGACACTCCTATTAGCATAAAAGTGTTTTAAAATGTCAGGGAAACCACAATGTGACCATTAATACTGCATTAAGTCCAATTATATTTCTTAGCTTGAAAAATCATTTTCTAAAATAATAGTATTCAGAGTCTTCCTCAAAATCGTTCAATTCAAATAAGTAGGCATTGCTTTTAATTTGATTGACCAAAACTTAAACTTAATATACATTCCCAGAGGCCATGCATTACTTTTTATTAAATTATGATAGCAAGTGACACATTTGTATTCTATTTTAATCTCTGCGTTTACTCAACTTCAAAATCAATTAAGACAGTTATAATGACCTCAGTCTTTTCAGCCGGGAAATGCTATCTGAGCAACATTTAAAAGTATATTTTTCTTATATTCTAATATTTTAAAAATATGATTTCTTATAGAAAAAGACTTAACGGATATGTTAATGCTGATCCAAAGGCATATAAGTTTAAAAATGGAACTCAGCCATTTATCTATCATCATTTACTGATAATATTTAAGACCCACCACCCCATCTAACCCAGGACTACATGATTTGGTCTCCCTTGGTCATGTTAAAACAAAATATAAAGGCAAATGATTTGCCATCTCAGATGAGATGTAAAAATGGCAATCCTTTGACATAGGTATGAGTTTGAAGCTTCTTCAATATGTGAGCTTTGTGTTATTTTGCAGCATCAGAGATGGCTGATAAATCAGAGGAGACAGAGCCAGAGCCAGAGAAGCAGGTAGCAAATAAAGGACATATGATTAGGTGGCCTGCCTGAGCCTGCTAGAGCTCAGTAGAAGGCTGACCCCATGCCAATCAGAGGCAATGAAAGTTCTTTCTACCAACAGGGCGAACACAAAAATGCTTTTCTCTTTACTTCCAAATGAAACAAGCAAACAAATAAGATAGATTTAGCAGCAAAAAGGAAAGCTGCTATAGCAATATACAAGGTGGCTTGGAAAAAAGCACAGATCAGATTAATACATGGGCATCACATCTCTGGAGAACAAAGTTTAATTCCAGCTCTTGTCACAAATGAAATGAGTTTGACAGCCTGTAGTGAGCAATCTACAGTTTGAATGCTATTCCTATCAAACTATCAATCCAATTTTTCACAAAACTAGAAAAAACTATTACAAAATTCATAGGGAACTGAAAAAGAGCCTGAAAAACCAAAGCAATCCTAAGGAAAAATAAAAAAAGCCAGAGGCATCAAATTACACTACTTCAAACTATACCATAAGGCTACAGTAACCGAAACAGCATGGTACTGGTTCAGAAACAGACACATAGACCAATAGAATAGAATAGAGAACCCAGAAATAAAGCCACACACCTACAACCACCTGATATTCAACAAAGTTGTCAAAAATAAACATTAGACAAAGGACAATCTCTTCAATGATGGTGCTAGGGATAACTGACTAGCCATATGCAGTAGAATAAACTGGACCCCTACCTTTCACCATATAAAAATTAACTCAAGATAGATTAAAGATTTAAATGCAATGCCTCAAACTATAAGAATCTTAGAAAAAAAAACGCAGAAAACACCATTCTAGACATCAGTCTTGGGAAAGAATTTATGACTAAGTCCTCAAAAGCAGTTGCAACAAAAATATTAATTGAAAGTCGGACGTAATTAAAGAGTATCTGCACAGCAAAAGAAACCATTGCAGAATAAACAGACAATGGACAGAATGGGAGAAAATACTCACAAACTATGCATCTAACAAACGTCTAATATTCAGAATCTAAAAGGAACTTAAACAACTGAAGAAGCAAAAAAAAAAAAAACCCAAATAATTCTATTAAAAATGGGCAAAAGACATGAACAGACGCTTCTCAAAAGAGGACATATAAGTGGTCAACAGACATTTGAAAAAAATGCCCCACATCACTAATCATCAGAGAAATGCAAATTAAAATGACGATAATATACCATCTCACAGCAGTCAGAATGACTATTATTAAAAAGTCAGAAAACAACAGATGCTGACAAGGCTGCAGAGAAAGGGGAAGCTTATATACTGTCAGTAAGAATGTAAATTAGCTCAGCCACTGTGGAAAGGAGCTTGGAGATTTCTCAAACAACTTAAAACAGAACGACCATTCCACCCAGCAATCCCATTATTGGTTATACAGCAAAAGAAAACAAATTTTTCTACCAAAAAGACACATGCACTTGTATGTTTATTGCAGCACTATTCATGATAGCAATGACATGGAATCAACCTATGTGCCCAAAAATGGTGGGTTGGATAAAACAAATATGGTACATATACACTATGTAATACTATGCCGTCATAATAAAGAACAAAATCATGTCCTTTGCAGCAACATGGATGCAGCTGGAGGCCAGCATCCTAAGCAGATTAAAGCAGGAACAGATGCCCGAATACCACCATGTTCTCACTTATAAGTGGAAGCTGAACATTGGGTACTCATGGGCATAAATATGGCAACAATAGAAACTGGGGACCACTAGAGGGAGGAGGTAAGGCAGGGGGCAAGTGTTGAAAAACCAACTATTGGGTACCTGGATGATGGGACCATTTAATACCCAAATCTCATCTTGACACAATATACCCACATAACAAACTTGCACATGTACTTCCTAAATCTAAAAAGCTGAAAAACAAAACAAAAGAAAACAAAACAAAATACTGATTGCATTACTTACTAGCTGTTTGACTGTGGGTGAATTATTCACACTTTGTCTGCCTCAGTTTCCTCATATATAACATAGGGTTAATGATAGTAGCAATGTAATAAGATTAAGTAAAGATTAGTTAAGAAATATAAAGCACTTAGAATTAGGGTCTGGTACATAATAAGTGCTATATACAAGCTAGCCATTATTAGTAGTAATAGTAGTTACTATGTTAAACTGCCTCTGGGCCATGCGTTATTTGTCATATCAAGAGCACTGTTTTCCAGCCTTATTATCTTCTACATAGTCCTGTCTGTTTCCCTGCAACTACTTCTTGCAGCTGTTTCAAACCTATTTCAAAAATACACCAAACCAATCAAAACTATTTTTAAAGATGTAGGACCGAGCTTCTTCACAAAGTGCATTTGTGATTAATATGCCTTCCAATGTGATAAGGGTGTATGAGAACAGACTCCCTTTTTTTGTGTGTGATAAGGGCAGAATTTACTACCGCTCTAGAGAATCTCTATAGTCTTGTCTCTCACAAGCAGTGGGGGAAATAATGCCCTTATCACAGCTAATGAAGTGAGAGGTCCATATCAGTATTACCAGCAGTGAGCCCAAAGAAAAAAGGCCCAGCTCTCCTGGTCAGGTCAAAATATCAGCTGGAGCCCTGGGGAGGCTTTTTACAAATTTCAAAACCGACTTAGGGGGTTACAGTCATTTCTAAAATGCAAAAAGTGCCTTTCTGATAAATAGACTTTCTAGCTGATAACTCTCGAAAGTGAAAAGACTAGTTGGAAAGCAAATTCAACCTAAAATGTAGTAATATTTCTCATAGCCAGTGACTTACATGTGAATCCACCTAGATGGTTACGTATAATTACTGCTTAAAAAAAAAACACAGGTTAAGCCTGTGTGAATCACTTATTATGTAGATATTTGCCAAATATACAATTGTGATTAAAACGTATATGTAATTTTCCCATTCATTCATTCATGAAATATGTCTCAAGTGCCTACTACAAGTTATGCACTGTATGTGAATTCTTTGATATTGGGAATGTGTAATAACATTAAGTCTAGAAAATGCTCTGACTCATGATTCTCATCATTTTATCTCTACTGTGATTCTGAGATTTCTCAGCTTTATATAGATGTATTAAAATTTAGCTCTGGATCCAGGTAACCAAATAAATAGGATTCTGAAATATCCAAAATCCCAGTATATTTTAGATTCTGCCATGGTGATACAATGTTTGAAGTTAATTTACTTTGTGTGAGAGAAAATAATTATCTTGTCTGTGATCAATTAATGGAGACTAAATGGCTAGTAAATATATTTAGTCATTTTTAAGATTTACCTTAAAAACATATATAATCTGCCAAAACCTAGGTTCCAAAAATTGTTCTGAAAATATGAGGACTCTTCTTTGCTCAAGAGTTTATGAATAGCGGTGCTCTCCTGATAGAACCTCTAAAAATAAGCTCTTAATGTTAAAAAAATGATAATTTGGTTCCAAGAACAAATACACAAAAAGGAGAAATTAATTCAATCTCTACTGCATTGTGATCTTATTTCTTTAATTAATTAAATTTAAACATTTCAGTACTGACTATGGTAACTGTTCTATAGGTTTTTTTTTTAATTTCTTTTTTCTTTTTCTTTCTTTTTTTTTTTTTTTTTTGAGAGAGTCTCACTCTGTTGCCCAGGCTGGAGTACAGTGAAGTGATCACTACTCACTGTACCCTCAAATTCCAGGGCTCAAGTGTTCTTCCCACCTCACCCCCAAAAGTAGCTTGGACTAGAGGCACACGCCAACATGCCAAGCTATTTATTATTATTATTATTTTGTAGAAATGGGGTCTCACAATGCTTCCCAGTCTAGTCTTGAACTCCTGGCCACAAGCGATCCTCCCATCTCAACTTCTCAAAGTGCTGAAATTACAAGCATGAACCAACACACTCGGCCTGTTCCATTGGTTTAAAATTCCTCTTGAGCAATGGTTAAAAAATGCTTATGTACAGATTTCTTTTTTTTTCATTCTCCAAGCACAAAACTGATAAAAATAAAATCAAAGTCCATACCATATAATTAATGAGAATTTTGAATAGTCTATATATATTTTATACCTTGTTCTAACAATATTGGAAAGGTATTTATGATGTACACTACTTGCATTATTAGAGTCAGTTCAAGATTGGAACAATGAGCCATAACTGCTGTGCTTTTTTTTCCAAGTGACTTTAAAAAGACCTTTATACCTTGCAATTAATTGGCCAACTAGGGAAATCTGCTGTAGAAATAAATGCAGTTCAAATAGTATTCCATAGTAGATGGCATTTGTTCAGAAACCTTTTTTTCTGAAAACTATTAAAACATGCATGAGAAACTACCAATTACCTAGCCCAGAGAGAGTTCCTTACAAAAAAAGCTGGGGGAATTATCATACAATGATAATAAAAACACTGAATGTGTTACCTAGGGCATGAGATCATATACTCTTGGTGACTTTAGTCACCAGGTTTTATGTCTAATTAGGTCGACCAATGTGTTTCAGCATCAGTTTAAATAGTTGACTCCTTATTGAAAAATTAAAATTTATTTGCATGAAATGTGCAGAGAACTGTAAGCCTTAAAGTGACATTGGATGTTTTACTCACAAGAATACTTTTCATTGTGATATAACATTTTTGATAGCTATCTTAAAGAGCAACAGCAGATGAGAAGGTATTAATCCTTACATTTCCCTAAAGACTCTAACAACCTCAATTTATTGCAGAAGAAAATGCCTAGAACATGTGATGCAAATGCAGTTAGAAAAGTTTCCTCTCTTCTTTTGAACTGAAATCTACAGTTGAACTTCCTTCACCACAGTCTTTCTTACCTCAAACCTGTCAACTAAATGAGGTCTTTTTGCAAGACATGAATATTAATCTGAAATGCTTCTTATTTTCTCTGTCATCTGACCATTAGTGTAATCAAATTAATTCTATTTGGATAAATAAAATTTGACTGTACTTGTTAGAAAACAGTCAATAGTACAATCTGTGCCAAGGTGTGTTATCACCTAACTTTTCTTAAATCAATAGCTGACTTAAAGTGGAACATTCCTAGCAATATTTGATTTGGTAAAGCACCATTTTTAACTCTTTCTTTTCCAGTTATCTGGCACAGGAAAACAAAGGAGTTAACAAAAAGCTTGAGGAAGTATTGGAAGATTAGTCAGCCCTCATCTTGCCTAAAATTAAGTGACTACTGGCCTCTATGTGGGTGTGGAGTTGTACCTACTAAATATTCATAATGGTACTGATATTGGTGTACTCAAGATAGATGTTGACAAATCTTTGTCAGACAAAAGGAGAGGAAACAATAAAACTCACGATGGGAAAACGGAATGAATACACTTTCAGCACACAGACATTTTTCCTGTCTGTTGCCTGAACAAGGATGGAAGGAGATGAGTCAACAAATAATTTGGCATTGGAGAGTAAATTCCAGCCAGATTTAGGATGAAGCAATTTGGCAAGATGGCAAGAATAATTGAGGGCATTGTGACCAAACATGTTCATGTGAAAACTAAATTTCCTCTGTGTCATTCACTAAAGTTGTACTATTTGGGCTTGGGTTGCTATTGAAACACACTCAGGAGAGCATTATTTTCAAGACATAGCTTTTTAAACTTCTGACTCATTTTTGAATGGGATATATAATGCAGGCTTACTTAAATACTTTAAACGATGCTACTTTAATTGAATAGCTGTTGTAAAACATTATTTTCATATAACTAAATAAGCTATATGTACAGAAAAATTAAGAATTTTTAATACTTATTAGTAGCATTGTGCAAATATCTTTTTAATGAGAGAACAGTACTGACAAGTAATAGGTTCAAGCTAGCAAGGGAGATTAGTTTTTGGAAGAATTACTGACCGTACTAAAAATTAGTCATAAAAGCTTGCAATTACTTATAGGTCTCACACCGAGCAATTTGTTTATGCCACTTTGGTGTCTGAAAATAACAGTAAAAATAAATTTAAAGTATTTTTGACAGGCATTACCAGAGAATCATTAATAAGTATGGAAGTATCATTATATAGTGCACCAAAACTATGTAAAAAGTATAGGTAAGAAACAGACATGAGAAAGAGCAAAAAGCTGCCAGTCAAAACAACCACATTGATCACAAGTATTCCCTTAAGTGAGCCCAAGACAACTATCTTTCAGAGTCTTGATTGATGACTATGTTATCTAACCTTATATTTATATTTTTAATCCCATGAGAAACTCATAGGGTTTTTTTTTTTTTTTTGACAACTACTGCATTTGCATTTGTGTTGTTGAAGTCATACTGGTTTCTAATCTGCACAAATTAGTGACCTCCAGGTTGGGTGTTGAATATTATGTCTAAGCATGTCTGACAGATTCCAAGTGACAGATGAAATCATTGAGTTCAACTGGCAACAGCAAAATGGACACAATTAGATTGGTTGTGAAATTCTAGAGATAAAACTTTGCTAGTTGGGGCTGAAGTTCTTTGCAGTGCTAAAGCAGCTAGTTTTTGAAAACCAACTTATATTTGGAATGATATCTTGTAAAGAGCTTTTCCAGCAAAAATTTTATGAACTCTGAAAGTTCAAGTATCCTTTTTCTGAATTTCAAGGAAGTTATTTTAAAGAAAGACTTAGGCAATTAACATTTGACATCTTTAGACATATATATATTTTTTTACTTTCCCTGAACCTACTTACCTGGAGGGGTTCATATATTTTGCTCAACTCTGATTCAAGAAGGTGATTTGAAAAAATTGGATGATAATAGTAGCACTCTAATTTTGCAATCTAACATTATGTAGCACAAAAACACAGCCATCAGCAACATTGAATTAGATATCACATATATGTTAAGGGAAAAACAGCACCTGAAAATCTATATAGGAAAAGCAAGGAGAGATTAGAAATAATTCCGAAAGGAGAAAAAGATGTTGTCTTTATAATTAAGAAATTTGATTATAACAAACAAAGAGTTGCACTTAGTTGACCCTATTATTGAAATGGAAATGACATAACATGACTTGATAGGAAAGTTACTTTTCCCATTTTCATTCTTGATTTATAACTCTAATTTTACATTCAGTTGTTAACAATCTTACGAAGCCAGTGCAAATCTACAGAGATAATGAAAAATAAATGACGTTATAAAGTCTAGTCAAAATTAACACTAGACCATTAAGATGTCAAGTTACAATGGGTAGTTTCATCAGTTATACCATTTTGTAGTACAGTATTGGGCAACTTCAGGGGAAATAAATTATTCAGACTCTGCTCCTTTTAGGATTCTATGAACAACTTCTGCAAGCAGCTTCTGTTTCTTGCTCTGCCAGAGCATGGAAAATAATTCAGGCTTTATTCTTGTAGACTCTGAATGGGTGTCTGTGATGATTTTAATGTCTCTGTTTTAAAATTTCAGTATATTTTAATGACATAGTGAATCATCAATGTTGTCGAAAGGTTTCATTACTCATTGTATCAAGTTGAATGCTCCATTACTCATTATATCACGTTCAAATAAGATGTAACTCCCTTGTAACATAATGCTTATTTATTAAAATATGTTTAGCTTGTCTGGTACATTAATATGTGTTTTTCATAAGAGATGTAATTTTGGTAACAATTTCCCATAAAATTAGAAGAGTTATCTGAAACCTTTGAGACAATTTAGCAGAATATTAATCTTACAAAATTGCTATGCTAATAATATTCTTCTAAGTAAATACAGTGAAGCTTCATTATAGTATTCCTGAAGTGGTCTGCAATCCATCACTTACAGGTGTTTAAAAAAACACAATGTTTCACATCAGATTGCCTTGACATTTATAATTCTAGCCACCTCACAGCTTTCTTTATATGCTGAAAATTAATTTCAAATATTTTATTTTGAATCAGTTCTAAATGAAGGGACACGTTCTATAACAGCACTATAGTCTATTGGGGAATGATTTAGGATACGTTTGCAAGGCTGGTGACACACATTCTTGGATACTTATGTCACCAGCCGATATTACTTCAGTTACCAGTATTAAGTTTAAACCTTAATTGGGAAAAAGTGCAAAAGCCAAAGAAAAACATGAATGATAAAGAGAAGGAAACCAATATTTAATGAATGACAACAAAGCTATGAGATAAAAATTATTATGTCCATTTTATAGGTGAGGAAACTGAGGCTCAGAAAGTTTGAGTAATTTATTCAAAGTTACATTGGTAGTAAGTGGCAGAATAAAGATTCTTACTTGCATATCTAGCTGTTTGGTCTGCATTCTGCCTGGATAAATAGAGGGAAGGTGTTATGAACTCCAAAAGGAATTTTTGTCTTTTCACCAAGGAAAAAATATGTTAAAACTGTTTACATGGCATTAGACATATAATTCCCATTACTTTTCCCCATTTTTAATCAGTTACTCAGCGTACATACACATAATCATGTTTTCTTTGAGCATATTGGGATTTACTATAATGACATTGACACTTGGTCAAAAAGGCAGATGAGGAAAATGTAGTCTTAAAATGTATCAAGATAGAATTTAGATATAATTTAAAAAATTATTTAACTTAAAATATATTAAAGAGGATATGAAAGAAGTCATAGACTCCCTCTCTGTGGAGGTAACACCAGATGGCAAAGTTCTCCATTTATAAAACACTTGGTGTACTTGTTTAGCCAATACCTGCTTACTACCTTTGACTCAGGTCATGAGAAGCCTATATTACCTTGGATCTCATTAAAAACAAACAAATTTTTAAAACCAAACCAAACTAAACAAAAAGCTAGACATACCTCTTTCCTTCTGAACACTATCTTCATTGGACATGAACCCAAACTGATGTAGCCATTTCAATATCAACCTGAGAATGCAGCCACCACCACCCAGAGGAGAGCCAAGATAAGAATCACAGAGTAGTGGAGCCAAAGCTTCTGTATTACATCAGCCCTGAAGACTGCTCTGCCTCTGGATTTTGAGTTACTTGAACCAGGAAAATACACCCATATAAAAGGAAACCTATACTTATTGAGGAAAATATTTTCATTGTGTAGCATTTTATAGATAGTAATTAGCTACTTGAATTCATGCTGAACAGCAGGTAAAATGTAGACAATCTGCTAAAAAAATTAGAGAATCACCATTTTACTAGAAAACCTGTTCTGAATTTCATATTTCTTCCAAAAGCAAATGAGTAAAAAGAAAATATTATTTTAGTGCCAAATTTTGAGGAGATGATAATAGGATGTCCAAATGACAGCAAAATTATTTCCTCAAATCTTTATTGAGATAAGCCCCATTAGGATGGTAAAATTTGGTAGTTTTAGAGTTGATGCGATGATAGCAAAACAATATCCATCTACATTACCAGAATCATAAATAGATAGTGCTGAAGTTTTCTGAAAATATTAACACAAGTGAAATGAGCATTTGCACCATTTCACTGCACAAGGGTTCTTAATTTGTTTAAGAACAAAGAGTAATTTCTAATTATAGTGCAGAAATTACAAAAATACATAAATTACACCAAAGATATAGACACTATTCCTATTCTATATATGTTCCTTGTGTAATCAATTTCATTCACGTATATAAATTCAAAGAACTGTTGAAGAAATCCACACTATACAAAATGAAAACATAAGCAAAATCTGTATATTTGTGCATTATTTTTCTTGGTATACCATTGCTTCTTCTCCATTGTATATTTTAAAGCAAAACCATTATTACAAAACCTTTAGTTAAAGACAACGGAGAACAGAGAGGTCACGTCATTTGTTTAAAGGCACACAGCTACCGACAGAGCTGGGATACCAACTCAGGTCGGTTTGATTCTCAAACCCCACTGTACCACAGTTGCTCTCTGAATCTCAAAGAATCCATTTTGTTCTTGACAGGAAATGAAGGAAGGAAAAAAAAGAAGAAAGAAAATAAACAAAGGAAAGGAAGAGGAAGGGAGAAAGAAAAATGAAATAAAGGAACGAAAGGGATAAGAGAGGGAGAGGAAGGATTAGTGTGGGATTAGTATTCTACAGGATTAGAATTAGCATTAAATTAGTATTCTCCATGTGGAAATATAATGGAGATAATAGTATTTGAGAAGTCTGTGTGCAGAGTTATAGTTACTGTTATATCTGCTGTAAAGAATGTAAAGGTATATGAGGAGCAAGACACAGTTTAAATGACAAAGGGTGGCTTGAGAGAGTTTATTGCGTTTTCATGACTTCCACAAGCACCCACCAAGCCACGACAAATACATATAGTTTGAGTAAAATAGTATACATGATAAGCAAATGTGACTTCCTAGCCTAGATCTTCTTCTTCCCCACCCATCTGACTAGATTGTTATCCCTGCATTCCTCTTATAATAATGGAGCAGCAACTACTGAGACATAGTCTTTTATCACAAAGATCTTATGGCCCAATAGGGGAATATAATAGTAATATACAGATGATGTATTTGTTTAGCCAATACCTGCTTAGTGCATAGTGCAAAGTAGAGGAAAATATTCCATAATATAACTAAGGCCCAAAGCAAATGGGGTTCAAAGATAAATGAGTAGCCAAGGATTAAGAAATACCTAGACCAGAGATAGCTACTTGGTTCAATGTTTCTCAGCTAAAGGCCATAGAATTAATTATGCCCCAGTCTAAAGGCACATGGACAAAAGATTGTCTTGTATCTACCATGCACATAAACAAAAGAATAGGTAGAATGTCTGCCAGGTATTGGCCATACGTGATATAGCCCAACCTAGTTTATCTTATCTTTTAGTTTTAAATGATTATTCACATAGAATATTTTTCTATGTGGCCCTCAAAGATTACTTCTTCTGAGCTTCAGGCCAGTGTACACGAACTTTGTAATGTTGATCTACCCTTTCTCCATGTTGCCTTCAAAAGTTTCTTTCTAGGATTACAATTTTAGCACATGGGCAGGTATAGAGGGCTTCATGGAAGAAGTCATTGACCTTAAAGAATGACTGGTATTTCTACATGGAGAGAGGAAGAGAAAGACAAACCAGAGAGAAAGCACAATATGATCAAAGGCAAATTACTGGGTATCATAGGTTATTTTCAAAATGTCAGCATTCTAGTTTCATTAGAGCACAGCTTTAATGTGGAAGAATAATTACAGATGAAGTTTGGTATCATGTGATAGAAGATCTTATATGCCAGAGTCAGCAGTTACTACCTGATTGGGTGGCAATGGGGAAGTGTTAAAAGTTTTGAGTGGGGACTTGATCAGAATTACCTTAAGGGAGCCTACTCTGACAGTATGTGCAGCATACAGTCAGATAAAGAGGAATAAGTGGTGAAAGACCAATTAGAAGACTATTTCAGTAGCTCAAGATGAAAGTAATGACAGAATTAACCAGAGTATTGGAAGTGGAAAAAGGAGAGGGGACAGATGCAAGAGATATTAAGGAAGTAGAATCAGAAGCACTTGGAAGTTGATTGCATGCGAAGGGCCAAAGAGTGAAAGGAGTCTAGGGTGACTGAAGTGCTCAAATACGAGTGACTGGGAAAAAGGGTTCTACTACTAACAGAAAAGGAAAGTCAGGAAGTATAGTTTAAGAAGGATGTATGCAGAAAAGACAGGTGAGGTATCCAATAGGAGATATGAGGCCCACATTAGGAAACATGGATCTGGAGTTCAGACTATAGTTGAATGTCACATACGTAAGAGGTGACTGCAAAGAAGTGATAGCAGAAGTCCCTGTATTGGGTAAAGTACATGGCAAAGTGTGACATACAATGAGAGGGGAAGGTAGCAATCTTTCAGATGTTGTATGAATGGAGATGAAAGTGGGAAAGATGAGCTCACCGAGCTCAATGAAAAGTACTGTGAAAAAAAAAATATTAGAGCCTGAAATAGAAATTCCAGTTGTCACTAGACAGAGAAACAATGGTGAAGGCCCTTGTTTAAGTTCCTCCAGGGCTAGACAGAAGGAAATAAGATCTTCTCTGGAAGAGAAGTAAAAGGCAATGTTACAAATGCTATATAAAGCTATAAACACTACAGAAAACTGTAAACACAACACACACAATTGGACTTGGCAACCTAGAATAGCTTTGAAGTCATATCGAGATTTTTATTACAAACAGGTAGTTTCTATTAGGTATTATATATTAGGCTATGGATTCCTGTAAAACTACAGCAGGTTAGTCTTAAACTGAACTTGAATAATCAATGGATCAACGTTTCAACATATGTTCCTTTTACTTTAATTCAAAGCATCATTAAAACAAATATCGGATGCATTTTTACTGTCCTTTGATCTATGTCTTCTGGGGATTTTAAATAACATTTCCTAGTCAGTCAAAGCTGTATTTAAATTGTATATTAGAAGTCTGACTTAAATTCATAAAAACAAGGACATTCAGAGCTAGTGCTGAAAACATTGACCTTAACTTACCCCATCAAAACCATTGGAAAAAGTTTGTTTTTTCTTTTTGTGTGTACTTTCATATTTTTAGATAAAATGAAAATGTGAAAAATTAAAGTGTAAATTTGGCTATCTGATGAAGTGGCCAAAAAGAAAGGACAAATCGAAGAGAAAGAATAAACTACAAATCAAAAATAGGGGAATTACTGCATACTCTCCATATATTAACCTAAAGTTCTTCTTTGCGTCTTTAAATTAGTCCCAAGAATAATTTTTCTTACTGGAGAAAATTAATTATATATTTAGCTCCTAGTCCTCTATTTGTGAATCAGGAAGCTAGACAACATTGTAAACCTGGCAATGATTGTTTCCATTATCTTCTGTTCCCTGATTGTGTCTTGTATCTTATTCTCTTGCTGCCACATCCTTCTCCTGAGACTGCATTATAAGTTTTCTGGTTTACTTTGTAACTAATCTTCTCAAAACTCGGCTGCTTGTTTTTCTCTTTTTGTCTTGATTTTTCTCCTTTAAGAATGGTTTTTCTTTTAACATAGAAACTAGCTAATCAGATAAAGCCCTTACGGGAGCTAATGCTATCATTGATTTCTACTTTGTTCTTGAGAGTGGCTAGAACTTTCGCTAAAGGTAACATGTCCATTTAGAGGGACTTTGGGCAACTCACTTTTCCGTATCTGGGCTTTAGTTTCTTCTTTTGTAAAATGAGGAAATTGGGACACTATCAGCTCAACATTCCTGTGGTTTTTAAACTTTTCCTATAAAAAGTTGACTTTAAAGATATTTCTCTTATAATCTGAGTCACAGATATCCTAAAGGTATAAATTGAAGACCAGGCAAGAAAACAGGATGAGAAGGCCCTGAAGGAAGAGGGTCTTTGCTACCCCTTATATCATACCCTGTACGTAGCTGCTAATTCTGCTTGTCTGTAAGACTGTACCTGAAAGGAAACTATGCATTTACTTCTGTAGAAATTTGAAACAAAAGGTCAATATTCATTGAAAAACTTGGCTACATTTTGTTGACTAGAAACATTTTTCAAGTGAAAGACATTTGGGACTACATTGGCTCTTTAGCACGCATTTCTTTTTCTTCTTCCCCTTTTTCTCATCCTACCTTTATTGTCTTATCCTGATGAGTACACCATGCCTGTAGGAAGTCAATTCAGGGGTGGATCATGAGCAAGTTGCACATTTACAGCTGGACAGCAAACAGAAGAATCATGCTATTGGTGGGTTTCTAAAACAGGCCAAATTGGGAATTCCAGGATCTGACAGTATTTTATTTAGTATTTCAGCATGCATCATTTTCAAGTCATAAACATTTTCTCTTTAATTCCAGTATACAGTGTGGCTGCTTTTCAGACTGAGTTCTTTCAAAACAGTGCAATTATGCCGGATACAGATTAACCTTTTTTAAAGCATACTCATTTAGCAGAGGTTTTTTATGTCTGCTTCTGATAAAGTTTTATAGTGATCTGCTTTGCATAGCTGTTATCCTTTTCTGAGTTGCTGCTAAGAACCATAACTTCTACAGAAATTAGCTCTTGGTTCCTTCTACAGTAAATAAAGGTTCTTATCAGTTAAGTTTTGTTTTTTTTTTTTTTAGCACTTTTTCGTTATTAATCATTCAGTCATTAAGATCAGGTAAATAGAGTTGACTTGCTATTTATAAAAGGATAACTAACACTCTTATTTAGATTATAGATCAGATTGCTTAGCCTATTTGGGATCTATCTATAAATGCATTCTTAAGTGATTCTTTCTTTCTAGTAGAAAGAATCCTTTCTGATCTTTACCTAAAGAAATAACCAGAAATTTTTAAGGCCTATGGTGACAGTCAATGGGAACTTGTAACTATATGAAAACCAACGCAGTACTAAAGCCTCCTTTAATGGTCATAGCCTTCTTGGGAACTCTGGTGTAACTTCATGAAGACTCAGGGGATTCTACCTTGCAAAATCCTAGGTGCTATAATCAGGTTAATTGTAAATCAATAGCATGGAAGTAGCAAATGCAGTGTCTCAGCTCAGCTCAAAGGTTCGAACTTTTACAAATTTTATATGAATATTGCATTAACAATGATTCTCATCGTTCCCTCTCAATGCAGTGCTCACCCATCACTCTCCATTTGTAAGAAGACACAGTCATTATTATGAAAGATAAATGACTTTACTTAGTAGTCTTAACCCATACTTTGGAGCAGTTGATTCTCATAAGTTTTATCTGATAAACTCTTCCTCTTTTGGATGCTTCATGTGCTATGATAAGCATTCCACTTACTGAATATTTCATTGTCTCCATATGAATCAACTTACTCCCTCTGACTTTCAGTGCTGAGCGTATTTAGCAGAACTCTGTATGTCCTTGTAATATTAGTATGTTAGATAAGAAACAAGACTATACAAATATCTGAAAAAGCCAGTATAGATAAGGCACAGATATCCTAATCAGAAAATAGAATATAAATCATTGTAAGGTAAAAGAAAATGTAGAATATCACCATACAATATTTTATTTAACCTTAGTTAAAGAAATAGAAGTACTATAGAAAAAAAAGTGCAGAAACTCAAAACGTGGTGGATACTTACTCCAAGGTATCTACTTCATTGGCTTATTCCTTAGTTTGGTGTCAAGCACATCTAACCCAATTTTCTTCTGAATGTCCCTAATGTTAGTCCTGCCCAACAAATATTACCAATATAAAGTAAGTTTTAATCAGTCAATAAGAATAACATCAGTACCAACAAATCAAAGAACAAAATATAGCAATGGGCAAATTACGAAAGAAAAATATGGAAAAAATGATGCAACCTCACTATTCAATCTGGCAAAAGAAGTAAAGCGTGGTAATCTTCGATGTTTAAGAAGTTGTGGAGCACTAGCAAGTCCCATACAATTAAAGTAGTGCGTTAATTAATAGAACTTGCCTTAATGGCAATTTGGCAAAGTTTAATACTTTGAAGCAGTGATTTTCTAGAAATTTATCCTAAGAGAAAATCAGAAAGGAATTGCAAGATTAATCTATATAGATATTTGTCATAAGTGTTCATTGTAATAGCTTCTTAAAATAGCAAGAATTTACAGGCCCAATTATGGGAGATTGATTAAATAAATAACAGTATATTTATATTATAAAATAATGTGATACCAATAAATTTTTTTGAATTACATTTAAAGGAAATGATTGTGATATATTGTTAAGTAGAAAATCAGGTTATAAATACACTTTTACTGAAAAAATTATAAAAAGATTATATATCTATATGTTTATATATCTAAAAAAGTATATATGCCAAAATAGTAACAATATTAACAAATATTATTAAAATAAAATATCAACCATGATACAATTGGTTATCTTTGGGTGCTGGGATGGATGATTTTCATTTTCTTCTTTATATTTTTCTGTAATTGACATCTACAAGTCTGTTTCATGCTATTAATATAACCAATTTATTGGAGACTTAAGAGATTTTCTTTTAATTTAATTCATGTTATCTATTATGTATTGCTTTTAAGATATGTAGCCTTAAAAATTCACACATTTGAATGCTTTAATTTTGTAATCTTCAAGTAAATTTGAGATTTTAAAATATTTTATTACCATAGAATATCTATTTTAAAAAACATTAAAATACAACTAAATTTAAAGAATGAGAAAGGTCTGTAAATCTCACCACCCCATGTTTGATTGCACCTACTTTTCTTTTTAGGCGTATAGCCTCTGCTTATATTGGGTATGTGCATGTGTGTGTGTGAGGCACATTTTCACTTTTAAAAACTCAAAGTCACACATCAAGATAATACAATCTTTTCATTTAATTATTTGTCACAAACATTTTCTACATATTAAATCTTTCTTATCAGCATCATATTTAATAATCGCTTAATGTTTCTTTAGTACGGATGTATAGTATTTAGTGAATCTTATTGGATATTTAATCTGTTGCTATTTATTTAATGTTATAAATAACACTGCAAAATATTTTTGTAGTAACCCCTTGGTGCACATACATAATCTCCTTAGTATAAATCCATATATTATTTAAAAGGTCATGCAAAATTCCATACCTTTGATGAATACTGACACATTCTCTTCCAAAAAAAAAGACTGCACTAACTTATGGTTTCACAAATTACAGATGACAATCTTTATTTCCTTCACCTTTAGCAATAAAGAGTATTGTTATTTCTTAAAATGCTTTGCTAGTTTGATGAAAAAATACTGTGATTTAGTTTTATTAATGTAATTTCTTTGGCACAGCCCATCATTTTTTAAAAAATTTATTCGCCATTTAATTTTCTTTTTTCCTGTTTTGACTGTTCTTGTTCTTTGCCAATTTTTGTGGAGAGGTCATCTGTACCTTATTTGATGTCTAAGAGCTCTTTTTACATTGAGGATAGAAATCTTACTCTAGGATATATTTATTCTACATGGACTTTTTCTAGTTTGTCATTTGCTTTTCAGTTTTGTGATTGCTATTACACTTAACTATTGGCATTTCATATCTGCAGATTTCTTCATCTATATGCTCTCTAATTGTTTTTCAATGATTAGTCATGCATGAGCAGCAGAGAAGAGCTGTTATTTCACCTAACATATTCGATTCTTATCTGTAAATTCCTTACCATCCTTCACGCATATGCTTTATTGTGGTATTATTTTTTAGACATTATCTCTAAACAAATAGAATGTCCAAAATCTATCTATAGGAGCATGATTTTCTGTTAGAAGGCATTTTTAATTCTGTCAAGCAGTTCCATATAAAGTAAGGGATAAGCCAGACACATAGAGTGGAAATAAGAAAACTAGAGAGCTGATAAGTAGACTCATAATGCCCTTGCTGTGGTTTCCTGAAAACCTTATATCAAATTCATGGCAGGAGCTGAACCACATGCTGTGTCCCTTGTCAGACATTCTTTTCCAAAAAGGATATCTAATAACTTTATGAACGTGTGTGCAGAAGAATAATTGCAAGCCCTTTGGGGTTTTTCCACCAAGACTTTCGGTATCCAGTGTCTCACTTTCAGATTATAAATCTGCCCCTGAAACTTGCACTTTGGAGGGTGCAACTGAACTAAGAAGCAATGAGAAGGATTAGTGGATTGCTTTCTCTCCCTGTGTAGTAATAAGATATAAGCTCTATCCACAGGCTTCTGAAGCCTAACTAGTTTACAACATGACAGAAATTATACTTTTAGGATTTACATGGGTGCATCCATTCACGGATCTTATGCACAAACATTACCTAAATACTTATGATACAGCTCCTGCTGTCGTATGGCTTTAAAATGCCAAACTCTGTAAATAAAGTGTAAAACCACATATTTTTAAGGTGGAATTACCTAGTTCAGCTGTCATATGGGGAAACATGCTCAAAGATCTGAAGTGACTTGCCTGAGGTAATACTGAATTAGTGATTCTTTCACAATCACTATTACTATCAGGCAGAGATGCTTAGAATGTAGAAAACAATAAACAGATGTGGACACCCTAAAGTAAGCCATAGTAGTATGATTTAAGGTAGGCCCTTGCCTTGATCTCCTCAGTGATACAATGTATAAAATTCTACAAGTATAATCCTCTAAAATGAGGAATAATTCAAGGTGTTATTTGGGATATCTGAGATTAAAGTCCTATGTAGAATGAGAATGATCCAGATAGAGGAGAAAAGAATCAAGGAAGAAACTTTATTGACTTGGCAATATTATGAGAGATCAGATTGAAATATACAGGATTTCATACATAATACACCTCACAACAGTTTAAATGTTGAGGTGAAGTAAGACATCTGTTGGTACTTCTTGGAGGACTCAGTGGTAGAAAGAGCAACTTCGGATTCCAGTTCTTTTATTGTATTCTCACTACACTGTGTGACACATTTAATTATAAAACAGAAAGGGCCAGTACTAACAAAATATTAATTTGAAGCGCCATTTTAGTATTAATTCAGAGGAATTATTTATCTGTGAAGATCCACAAGCCTCTTTACAGTATCCTCTTTCATTTATTTATTTATTTATTTAAAAATTTTTTTTGAGCCGGAGTTTCAATCTTGTTGCCCAGGCTGGAGTGCAATGGCGCAATCTCGGCTCACCACTACCTCCGCCTCCCAGGCTCAAGCGATTCTCCTGCCTCAGCCTCCCGAGTAACTGGGACTACAGGAATGTGCCACCACGTCCGGCTAATTTTGTATTTTTAGTAGAGATGGGGTTTCTCCATGTTGGTCAGGCTGGTCTCGAACTCCCGACCTCTGGTGATCCACCCACCTTGGCCTCCCAAAGTGCTGGGATTACAGGAGTGAACCACTGCGCCTGGCCTACAGTATCCTCTTTCTTAAATCAGGTGTAGAATATTCAAAATGCAAGGACTTTTAGAGATAATTTAGTCTACCCTTTTCGTCTTACAAGAGAGAAAATAGAGGTCCAGAAAAAGGAGATGACTTACACAAAGTCATTATGCGGCAGTTAGGCGGACTTGAACTCCAGACTTCTGGCTCTCAGGTCAGTGATTGTGTGCCTACCACTCTGCCTCTCACCAAGCTACTTATCAGCTCTAAATTGAGTACTATTTCAAACTGGATAGAGCCACCTCCTTATGTCAGGATCTTTAGAAAAGCCACATGCCCAATATTTCTTCCTTTCTTCTACTTTCTAACATTTTCTATCTTTCTTTCTCCCCACCCGTTCCCTCTCCGTCCCTTCCTTTCCTTTGTTTTCCTTCCAATAAAGAGTGATATCATTGGGAAGTAAGAACATAACAATAACAAGACAGTATTTGTTGAGCCAACTTGGTGCTAGTCGTTCTTAAAGTTTGAGTTTTATTATTATAGTGGGAGCTCCATTTGGTGACTGCAGTGGGAATAAGACAACAGGTATTTTTCTGACATTAGGTGGAACTGTTTTGTAGGAATGATTTACAACAATACATTTTTAGGTTGGGGACCCCGTTACTTAAAGCATATCTGTATCACACGATAGTACACACACGTGAACACACACACAAATGTTTTTAGGAAGATGACGATATAAATTGACTGTGTAGGTAATAAATTAATATTTCTCCTTAAGTGAAATTGAATTTTCTAAAATTAGCACTTGCTTAAGCCTATTTACCTGTAGGAACCATTTTTCAGATGAGTGCATACTTGAATTGCAGAATTGTATGATCCTAAAATTACAGATTACGAAATAAGGTCCTGAGGGTATGTCATGGCATTTTCTTTCCACTGCGTGCTGGTGCGTACATTCTCTACTACCATATCTCTTTGTTTTCCTAAAGAATGGTCCCCTTCCCATTTTCAGTTGGATTGAGAACTAGAGGTACTGGCAAGCTAAACTCACATGTTGTTTTCTCGTGTAGTACAAATAACAAAACAGAATATTTAAATAAACCTTTTCATCATTATTTTTGGAAACTCTGGAATCAAAAATATTGCTTCAAGCTTGTTTCATTCAAAATGTGTTAAATTCAAAGGGAAATGTGTGAGATAGCAAGATGGGGCTAAGACACGCTAAAGGAGTAGGCACTGGTTTTTCTTCAGTTCACAGAGAGTAATACCAGTTACCATAACTTGAATAAAAATAGCACTGTAATTAATAAAAAGAAACGTTTCTCTTGGAACCTAGAATCTACTATGGTTTCCATCTTATGAGTGTTTGCTTTGTCAGATTCTAAAACAAAATGTGTTACAAAAGCAGCAGTAAAGACAAATCAAGTGTCTACATTTAAGAGCTAAACAAAAATTTCACATTTGTATAGTGCTTTACAGTTTTTAAAAGCAATTCCAAAATTATTCGTCATCTTATTGGAGCCTTATGATAACCATGTGAGACAGATAACATGGGTCATTTTTTTTTTGTAGGCAGCGTAAGTATCTTTATTTTCCAGACAGTGTTACTGAGGTCCAGAGACACTGAAGCAATTCATAATAAGTGGCTATAACAGAACTAGAATCTAAGTTCTTTCACCTGTGAATCAGTATATTTTCTAGTATGATTTGTATTTTTTGAATTAAGAACAAATCCTCATTCTCGATGCTTTCATGCTTCAGCTGCACAAATTACTAGAAATAATGACATTATTAGGAACGGCACACAAAATTCTGTTGTTCAAAATATTTAATGTATGTGTCCTGTTAAGTAGAAGCCACAACTTTTCATCAGAAAAAGTTCATCATAAAGCTATCATATTGTATCAGTACATTATTGCACTGCTATATAGAAATACCTGAGACTGGGTTAACTATAAAGAAAGAGGTTTAATTGGCTCATGGTTCTGCAGGCTATACAGGAAGCATGATGCTGGCATCTACTCAGCTTCTGGGGAAGCCTCGGGAAACTTACAAACATGGTGTAAAATGAAGAGGGAGTGAGCACTTCACATGGCCGGAGCAGGAGGAAGAGAGCGAAGGGTGAGGTGCTACACATTTTTAAACAACCAGACCTCATGATAACTCACTCACTATCATGAGAACAGCACCAAGGGGTTGATGCTGAACCAAATATGAGAAACCACCTCCATGATCCAATTGCTTCCCACCAGGCACCACCTACAGCACTGGGGATTATAATTGAACGTGAGATTTGGGTAGGGACACAGATCAAACCATTATATTTCAATAGCTTTTTGGATACAAGTGGTTTTGGCTACATGGATTCATTCTATAGTGGTCAATTCTGAGATTTTAGTGCACTCATCACCAGAGCATTGTACACTGTACCCAATATGTAGTCTGTTATCCCTCACCCCCGCCCAACCTCCCTGAGTCCCCAAAGTCCATTATATCACTCTGTATGTCTTTGCATCCTCACAGCTTAGCTCCCACTTATAAATGAGAACATGCAATATTTGGTTTTCCATTACTGAGTTAACATCACTTAGAATCATGGCCTCCAACTCCATCCGATTTGCTGCAAAAGACATTATTTCATTCCTCTTTTTGGCTGAATACTATTCCATGGTGTATATATACCACATTTTCTTTATCTACTCATTGGCCAATGGGCACTTAAGTTGTTTCCATATATTTGCAAGTGTGAATTGTGCTGCTATAAACATGCATGTGCATGTGTCTTTTTCATATAATGTCTTCTTTTCCTTCGGGTAGATACCCAATAGTGGGACTGCTGGATTGAATAGTAGATTTATTTTTAGTTACTTAAGAAATCTCCATACTATATTCCATAGGGGTTTGTACATGTATTTTTTTGGGCCTCAGAATATAAAGTAAACTTGAATGATTTCTGCCATGGTCTGAATGTTGGTGTCCCCCCAGTGTCATTTGTTATAATCTAACTCCCAAGGAGATAGTAGTAAGAGATGGGGCCTTTGGGAGATGATTACATCATGAATGTGGAGCTCTCATGAATGGGCTTAGCATCCTTGTAAAAGGGCTTGGGGGAACCTGTTTGCCACCATCCTGCCCCCCAACCTTTTGCCATGTGAGGATATAGCAAGAAGACACAATCTTTGAAGCAGAGAACAAGCCTTCACCAGACACCAAATCTGCTGGTGCCTTGATCATGGACTTTCCAGCTTCTAGAACTGTGATTAGTATATTTTTGTTGTTTATAAACTACCTAGTCTAAGGTATTTCACTGTAGCAGCCCAGACTTAGACAATTGCTGTAAGTTACCCCATGTAACATACAACAAATACATGGATTTGGATAACTAGAGTGAAATTGAGTTTGAAAATGAGGAACTATGGAAGAGATAAAGTAAAATAGAGGGAGAGGGAGACGAAGAGGGAGAGGGAGGGAGTGTGTGTGTCTTAATAGCCTATGACATAGCAGAAATTGTCAGGGATGAATTAATAGTTCTGCCAAGAATAATAAGTAGAAAATAAAAGTTTGAAATTAAGAGTGCACAAGTCCAAGATCCTCCACCCTTCTTTTTGAATGCCCACTTGAGATTCAGGAACAGCTATCTAGAGATTCAACTGTTTATATGTTAACTGCCTAGTTGATTAAAAAGAGTAGGTGCTATTCTTGAGTTGTTAGGAGAATCACTGAAAATGAAACATTTCTGAGCTGGGTAACAGGGAATGGAGCTATAATAGATCCATGGTGTGAAAGGGGAAGTGAAAACCACACTTTTCAGCTGTTATTGTTAGAAAGTATGTTCGGTCTTAGGAGCAAAGGCATTTGTAAATTTGATAAAGTTTGTAATATTTAAAAAGACCAAAAGGTTCACTTTGGGCTCACTCAGCCAGAACAACAGCAAGGAAAGGAAAAAGCTCAACTCTTAATTTGCTCCCATAGCATAATGTATTTCCCCTATCACCTCTTAATGTTTTATTGTGGCATTCTGTTTATTTTTCTGCCATTCTTAATGGACTAAAAAATCTGTGGGGGCTGAAACTTTCTGTATTGTTCTCTGCTTCATCCCTAATGCCTTGCATAGCATCTGGCAAATAAAAATATTTCAAATGTATTTATTGATGGAAAGAAGAGAGGAAGTAAACAAAGAAAGGTAAGAAGATGGGAAGGTAGGAGGAAGGGAAAAAGGGAGCAAGGGACAGACCTAGAGAAGAAAGGAATTAACCAGAGTTGATTTTATTATACTAAACTACATTTATGCAATACATCTGCTTAAATTTCTATTCCTGATTAGAATGTAGACCAAACAGCACTTAAATATTATGCCATGTGCACTTTTATGTATGCATGTTATGCTTCCATAAAGGGTTAAAATGTGTCTTTGAAAAAATCCTACAGTGAACTCAAATTTTTACAGACTCAGAGTTGACACTTTTTATGGAATGAATTTTCCCAGCTGTCACCTTAAACTTCAAGTTTTTGCCCTTAATACAGGCATACCTCAGAAATACTGTGGTTTGGTTTCAGATTACTGCAATAAAGCCACTATCACAATAAAGCAAATTATCACAATAAGTGAGTCACTCCAATATTTGGTTTCCCAGTACATATAAAAGTTAGGTTTAAACTATACTGTAATCTATTAAGTAGGCCACAGCATTATTAAAAAAAATGTGAATATCTTAATTTTAAAATACTTTACTGCTAAAAAGTGCTAAGGATCATCTCAGCCTTCAGTGAATCACAATCTTTTTGTTGTTGGAAGGCCTTGCCTCGGTGTTGTTGGCTGCTGATTGATCAGGATGGTGGTTGCTGAAAGTTACAGCTGCTGTGACAATTTCTTAAAATAAGACTACAATGAATTTTGCTTCAACAATTAACTCTTCCTTTCTCAAAAGATTTCCCTGTAGCGTGCGATGCTGTTTGATAGCATTTTATCCACAGTAGAACTTCTTTCAGACCTTTCAAACCCTGCCACTGCTTTTTCAACTAAGTTTATGTGATATTCTAAATTCTTTGTTGCCATTTCAAAAATGCTCATGGTATCTTGACCAGAAATAAATTCCACATTGAACAACCACTTTCTTTATTCATCCATAATAAACAAACATCTCCGTATCCATTCAATTTTTATCATGAGATTGCAGGAGTTCAGTGACATCTTCAGGAGCCACTTTTTTTTTTTTTTTTTTTTTTTGTAACAGGGTCTTGCTCTGTTGCTCTGGCTAGAGGGAAGTGGCATGATCACAGCCCACTGCAGCCTCAACCTCTCAGGCTTAAGCAATCCTCCCCCTCAGCCTCCTGGGTAGCTGGAACTACAGGAGTGCACCACCACACCCAGTTAATTTTTTTTTTTTTTCTGTAGAGATGGATTTTTACTGTGTTTCCCAGGCTGGTCTCGAACTCCTGGTCTCAGGTAATTCTCCCACCTCAGCCTACCAAAGTAATGGGATTACAGGCGTAAGCCACTGCACCCAGCCTGGCTCCACTTCTAATTCTAGTTTCCTTGCAATTTGTACCACATCTGCAGTGACTTTCTCCACTGAAGTCTTGAACCCCTCAAAGTCATCCATAAGGGTTAGAATCAACTTCTTCCAAACTCCTATAAATGTTGATATTTTGACATCCTTCCATGAATCACCAATATTTTAAATGCCATCTGAAATGGTAAATACTTTCCAGAAACGTTTCAATTTGCTTCGCCCAGATTCATCAGAGGAATCACTATTGATGGCAGCATTAGCCTTACAAAATGTATTTCTTAAATAATAAGACTTGAAAGTCAAAATTACTCCTTGATTCTTGGGCTGCAGAATGGAAGTTGTGTTAGCAGGCATGAAAACAACATTAGTTTCCTTGTACATCTCCATCAGAGCTCTCGGTTCACTAGGTATATTGCCAAAAAGCAGTAATATTTTGGAAGAAGTCTTTTTTTCTGAACAGTAGGTCTCAAGAGTGGGCTTAAAATATTCAGTATTCGGTGCTACAAACAGATGGGCTGTTTTCAGGCTTTGTTGCTCCATTTTCAGAGCACAGGCAGAGTAGATTTAGCATAATTCTTAATGGTCCTGGGATTCAGAATGGTGGATCAGCATTGGGTTCAACTTAAAGTCACCAGGCACATTAGCCCCTAACAAGAGGGTCAGCCTGTCCTTTGAAGCTTTGAAGCCAGGCATTGGCCTTTTCCTTTCCAGCTATGAAAGTCATAGATGGGATCTTCTTTCAGTACAAGGCAGCTTCATCTACGTCTTCATCTGTTGTTTAGTGTAGCCACCATCAACAATTATCTTAGGTATATTTTCTGTATAATTTGTTGCAGCACTTACTGATTTTCCTCATGCTTTTATGTTGTGGAGATGGCTTCTTTCCTTAAACTTCATGAACCAACCTCTTCTAGCTTCCAACTTTTCTTCTGCAGCTTCCTTACCTCTCTCAGCCTTCATAGAACTGAACAGAGAGAGTTAGGGCCTTCCTCTGGATTAGACTTTAGTTAAAGGAAATATCGTAGCTGGTTTTGTCTTCCATCTAGACCACTAAAACCTTCTTCATATCAGAAATAAGGCTGTTTTACTTTCTTATCATCTGTGTGTTCACTGGAATAGCACTTCCAATTTTCTTTAAGAACTTTTTCTTTGCATTCATAACTTTGCTAACCGGTGCAAGAGGCCTAGCTTTCAGCCTGTCACTGCTTCCAACATGCCTTCCTCACTATGCTTAATCATTTTGAGCTTTCGATTTAAAGTGAGGGACATGTGACTCTTCTTTTCACCTGAAAAATTGTAGGTCATTTTCAGGTTATTAATTGGTCTAATGCTCTCCTTTGATGTAAAAAGAATCATTCTGCCTTTTAAAATGGGAAAATAAAGGCAAATATGTTAAATAGCTTATCCAAGAATATAGTCAGAATTAGAAATATTAAGTGGGATTAAAAAGCTTCCAAACTCAAATGCTGTAGTCATACCACGATGGTAGCTCTCTTGTCATTATAGCTATGAGAAAAAAATGTGTCTGGTGGCTTTCTGTTTTGATATTAGAGAAGATTGTTAGTATTTACTCTATAGATACATAAAATGGAAACACTAGTTTTAGCCATATCTCATTAATTATTTGGAAATGAAAAGGAGGAAACATAAGATAAAGTTGTAAAGAAAACAGTGTTGATATAAACCAATTATAGAAGAAGAAAAATAATATTGTTTCACCATGCAGTTATGTTAAAAAGTATTTAGCAAAATTCACTGGAAATATGTGTTAGTCTGGTTTTGTGTTGTTATGTAGGAATACCTGAGACTGGGCAATTTATGAAGAAAAGTGGCTTATTTTGTCTCACAGTTCTTCAGACTATACAGGAAGTGTGGTGCCGGCATCTGCTTCTGGAGAGGGCCTTAGGAAGCTTCCAGTCATTGTGGAAGGCAAAGGGGGAGCAGGCACAGCACATGGTGAAAGTGGGAACAGGAAAGAGAGGGGGAGAGGTGCCACACTGTTTTAAACAAGCAGATCTCTGAGAAGGAACTCACTCATTACCATGGGGAGGGCATCAAGCCATTCATGAGGGATCTGGCCCCATGACTCAAACTCCTCAGGCCCAACTCCAACATTGGGAATCACATTTTAACATGAGATTTGGGAGGGGACAAACATCCAAACCATGTCAATATATTGTATATTTTATTTAGGCTCTACGGTAAGTAGTTTAGGAAGATTAGGCAAAGTCTACTGTTGTAAAGTAAATGAAAGATTAGCTAAATTCCCAAACAGAAGAAGAGTAGAAAATCAAATCATACATTTAAAGATAAAGATTTTTGTCTCTGCACAATCTTTTATTGGAAATCATTGTGAAGGCTTGCCTGTAATGACACCAACTGCTGTGGTCATACATCCACTTATGTGAAATAAAGATAAATCTTTATGCTTAAATAGTTTTGAAAGTGTTTGTGACATATATTTATTTATGATTCATTTCAAAGTTGCAAGAAAGAGTTGTAACTAAAGTATTATATAAATTCATATAGGCCACTTTGCTCCTAAGGAGGCAGAATTAAATGTCTTTAGTAAAAGTGGATTGAGAAATAGAAATATATTAAAGATATGCAAAGAAAATTGAGAGTGCTGATTAGTTAAAATGATTCAATTTAAAATAAGTGTTGTAGTTAAGATAGAAATGCAGCATCAGAACCTCAGCAAAAATATAAAATAGATGGACTTTCTTTTTGAAACCCTCCTTCCCCATCAACTTCTATATCTTCATGCTGCTCTGGCCCCTTCTATGAGAGACAAACACTACTAATGTGATATTGATTAAATGGATTAACTCCCCAGGGACATTTGCATTTTAAAAGGCCACCATAGAAAGGGCCATATTCAACCCAAAGGAAGCCTGGCAAATATGACCAATTTTAATATGTATCCCCATCAATTCAAGACATATTGTAGTTTTCTGTTTTGTGCTTTTAAATTCTGGGAATTATAATTTTGGTTTCTTTTTTTTTTAATATATTTTTATTTTTTCTTTTTTTTTCTTTTTTTTATTATTATTATACTTTAAGTTTCAGGGTACATGTGCACAATGTGCAGGTTAGTTACATATGTATGCATGTGCCATGCTGGTGTGCTGCACCCATTAACTCGTCATTTAGCATTAGGTATATCTCGTGCTAACCCTCCCCCCTCCCCCCACCCCACAACAGTCCCCAGAGTGTGATGTTCCCCTTCCTGTGTCCATGTGTTCTCATTGTTCAATTCCCACCTATGAGTGAGAACATGTGGTGTTTGGTTTTCTGTCCTTGCGATAGTTTACTGAGAATGATGATTTCCAATTTCATCCATGTCCCTACAAAGGACATGAACTCATCATTTTTATGGCTGCATAGTATTCCATGGTGTATATGTGCCACATTTTCTTAATCCAGTCTATCATTATTGGACATTTGGGTTGGTTCCAAGTCTTTGCTATTGTGAATAGTGCCGCAATAAACATACGTGTGCATGTGTCTTTACAGCAGCATGATTTATAGTCCTTTGGGTATATACCCAGTAATGGGATGGCTGGGTCAAATGGTATCTCTAGTTCTAGATCCCTGAGGAATCACCACACTGACTTCCACAATGGTTGAACTAGTTTACAGTCCCACCAACAGTGTAAAAGTGTTCCTATTTCTCCACATCCTGTCCAGCACCTGTTGTTTCCTGACTTTTTAATGATTGCCATTCTAACTGGTGCGAGATGATATCTCAGTGTGGTTTTGATTTGCATTTCTCTGATGGCCAGTGATGGTGAGCATTTTTTCATGTGTCTGTTGGCTGCATAAATGTCTTCTTTTGAGAAGTGTCTGTTCATGTCCTTTGCCCAATTTTTGATGGGGTTGTTTGTTTTTTTCTTGTAAATTTGTTTGAGTTCATTGTAGATTCTGGATATTAGCCCTTTGTCAGATGAGTAGGTTGCGAAAATTTTCTCCCATTTTGTAGGCTGCCTGTTCACTCTGATGGTAGTTTCTTTTGCTGTGCAGAAGCACTTTGGTTTAATTAGATCCCATTTGTCAATTTTGGCTTTTGTTGCCATTGCTTTTGGTGTTTTAGTCATGAAGTCCTTGCCCATGCCTATGTCCTGAATGGTAATGCCTAGGTTTTCTTCTAGGGTTTTTATGGTTTTAGGTCTAACGTTTAAGTCTTTAATCCATCTTGAATTAATTTTTGTATAAGGTGTAAGGAAGGGTTCCAGTTTCAGCTTTCTACATATGGCTAGCCAGTTTTCCCAGCACCATTTATTAAATAGGGAATCCTTTCCCCATTGCTTGTTTTTCTCAGGTTTGTCAAAGATCAGATAGTTGTAGATATGTGGCATTATTTCTGAGGGCTCTGTTCTGTTCCATTGATCTATATCTCTGTTTTGGTACCAGTACCGTGATGTTTTGGTTACTGTAGCCTTGTAGTATAGTTTGAAGTCAGGTAGCGTGATGCCTCCAGCTTTGTTCTTTTGGCTTAGGATTGCCTTGGCGATGCGGGCTCTTTTTTGGTTCCATATGAACTTTGAAGTAGTTTTTTCCAATTCTGTGAAGAAAGTCATTGGTAGCTTGATGGGGATGGCATTGAATCTATAAATTACCTTGGGCAGTATGGCCATTTTCACGATATTGATTCTTCCTACCCATGAGCATGGAATGTTCTTCCATTTGTTTGTATCCTCTTTTATTTCCTTGAGCAGTGGTTTGTAGTTCTCCTTGAAGAGGTCCTTCACATCCCTTATAAGTTGGATTCCTAAGTATTTTATTCTCTTTGAAGCAATTGTGAATGAGAGTTCACTCATGATTTGGCTCTCTGTTTGAACTAACGAGCAAAATAACCAGCTAACATCATAATGACAGGATCAAATTCACACATAACAATATTAACCTTAAATGTAAATGGACTAAATGCTCCAATTAAAAGACACAGACTGGCAAATTGGATAAAGAGTCAAGACCCATCAGTATGCTGTATTCAGGAAACCCATCTCACGTGCAGAGACACACATAGGCTCAAAATAAAAGGATGGAGGAAGATCTACCAAGCAAATGGAAAACAAAAAAAGGCAGGGGTTGCAATCCTGGTCTCTGATAAAACAGACTTTAAACCAACAAAGATCAAAAGAGACAAAGAAGGCCATTACATAATGGTAAAGGGATCAATTCAACAAGAAGAGCTAACTATCCTAAATATAAATGCACCCAATACAGGAGCACCCAGATTCATAAAGCAAGTCCTGAGTGACCTACAAAGAGACTTAGACTCCCACACAATAATAATGGGAGACTTTAACACCCCACTGTCAACATTAGACAGATCAACGAGACAGAAAGTTAACCAGGATACCCAGGAATTGAACTCAGCTCTGCACCAAGTGGACCTAATAGACATCTACAGAACTCTCCACCCCAAATCAACAGAATATACATTATTTTCAGCACCACACCACACCTATTCCAAAATTGACCACATACTTGGAAGTAAAGCTCTCCTCAGCAAATGTGAAAGAACAGAAATTATAACAAACTGTCTCTCAGACCACAGTGCAATCAAACTAGAACTCAGGATTAAGAAACTCACTCCAAACCGCTGAACTACATGGAAACTGAACAACCTGCTCCTGAATGACTACTGGGTACATAACGAAATGAAGGCAGAAATAAAGATGTTCTTTGAAACCAACGAGAACAAAGACACAACATACCAGAATCTCTGGGACACATTCAAAGCAGTGTGTAGAGGCAAATTTATAGCACTAAATGCCCACAAGAGAAAGCAGGAAAGATCCAAAATTGACACCCTAACATTACAATTAAAAGAACTAGAAAAGCCAGAGCAAACACATTCATAAGCTAGCAGAAGGCAAGAAATAACTAAAATCAGAGCAGAACTGAAGGAAATAGAGACAAAAAAAACCCTTCAAAAAATTAATGAATCCAGGAGCTGGTTTTTTGAAAGGATCAACAAAATTGATAGACCGCCAGCAAGACTAATAAAGAAAAAAAGAGAGAAGAATCAAATAGATGCAATAAAAAATGATAAAGGGGATATCACCACCAATCCCACAGAAATACAAACTACCATCAGAGAATACTACAAACACCTCTACGCAAATAAACTAGAAAATCTAGAAGAAAAGGATAAATTCCTCGACACATACACTCTCCCAAGACTATAATTTTGGTTTCACTTAGTTTCTCATGGCCACATACTTTGAGCCTCATGCTTACATGAGGTTCGTAGATTATTAATTTAGAACTATCACTTTTGCATGACATTCTTTGGAATATTTCTTATATTCACTGGACTGTGAGCTCCTTAAGGGTACTGACTCTTCCTTATTCATTTTTGCATTAGAAGTTTATCACACAGCCTGCGAACAAGAAAGACTCAATAAATGCTGGTGGAACAACTAAATGCATTAATAAGTAGAGACTTGTCTACATACCTTATAGACACTCAACACAATGTCACACAGCAGAATTTAACAGAATATATATCATAAAATGCCTAACAAGTATTAACACTGTATATTAAGACTTTTACAATTAATCATATATGTATGCATATTTGCATATGTGTACATCTCCCCTACCAATGTATGAGATCTTTAAGAAGAGAAAGCATATTTTATTCATCTTTGTAATTCTTAAGCACAGTGCCTGACACACAATAGGTGCTCAATTCACTTTTGTTGATTAAATCATTTATAGGTTATATAGATAAGTAAAAAACTAAGGTATAATCAATCTGTCTTTACCTCATGAACACTTCTTATTCTTTTCCAAATGAAAGATTTTTTTCTGTTTTCTTGGAAAGTATGACACTACTGTTAAGGACTATTAGCTGATTTGAAAATGTATACCCAAATGACAGTAATCAGTGGTGGTGTGTCAACTATAGGGGCAAGAACAGGAAGTAAGGGCAGAGTTTCTACTTACCTCCTTGAAATATTTTATTTGATTTTATTTAATTTTATTTAGTTTAATATTCTCACCAATTATCCAGATACAATGAAATTATATGTGGTCAACACTATTTTAAAATTTAAAATGTGTACAAAATGAAAGATATATCTAAGAGGCAGAAATTATCAGCAGGTATCCTATAATCCTAAAGCTGACTATAAACAATATGAATTAATGATGCAACTCCATGTGATAAAAGATGAGGTCATCCTAGTATACATTAACAGAAGTTATAATTGTTCTTTCTCTATTTATGTCTGACCACCTACCCATCTACCGGTCAAAATTTCCAACAATCTTGTGAGTTTTATTGTATTATTACCTTCAATATATTGATGGGCAAACCAGACTCACTAGGTTAAATAACTTGCTCAAGTCACACAGCTATGAAGTTCACTTTCAACTTAGGTCATGATGCCTCAGAATTCATAATTAGACACACACAGACATACACATGTGCACATATACACACTTTTAACAAAATGTATACATGATCATTTTGAAAGTTAAAGCAACAAAAATGTATGTAAAGAAAAAAAACCCTGAAAACTCTATCTTAAACCCTCCTTCTGTCTTTACCATGTCCACATCCCAAATCTCAATCCCCCAAGGTAACCACTGCTGTTTCTGTATATTGTTATATACCTTTTTTTCTAATAATGAAACACATTGATGTATAGATACAGAGTGACAGAAATATATAAGTACAGAAATACAGAGTAGACAAAATTTGTATTTTTTCACAAGGGGGACAATATCATATATTGTTGTTCAACTTGTTTTGTGGATGCTTTTCCTTATCAATGTACACAAATCAGCTGCAGTCAATATTGTTAATTACTTACTGTTATAATCTCCATCTTACAAGTTCTAAGAACAGGGTTTAGGTGCATGTACATGGGCTCAGAAGATTTGGCTTCAATATTTAGGCAAAAGGATTCACTGACCTCTCCAAAGGCATAGAAGAAATGCAGTGAATAAGCAAAAAACTTATTCATCACTATCTCCCATTGTTCAATAACATGTGCCATCTAGAGCAGTCCATAAGCCTCTCCAATGTTCTCCTGTACAAAGCCTACTTGTTGCCTGAAACTCTGTGCTTTGGTTCATGCTGCTTCTTCTGTCAGGAATAGCATGCCTGGTTCTTCTTCACATGTTCAAATCGTACCTATTTTTCAAAGAGAAGTCCAAGTCTCATTTCAATACTGGAGATTTTCCAGTTAGTCCCATCCCTTCCTTATATCCCATACCATGGTAGGCAGAATTCTAAGTATAGTCACTTAATATTCTTGTCCCCTGGTTATTCAATCAAACATTAATCTAGATATATTTCTGAAGGAGTTTTGAAGATGTAACTAAAATCTCAAACCAATTGATCTGAAGATATGGAGAGTAACTTGGAGGGCCTGGCAAAATCAGGTGAGCTCTTTAAAAGCAGAAAATTTTCTCCAGCTGGTTATAGAAGGAGAAGTCAGAGATTCAGAGTACAAGAGGGATTTGATGTTCCATTGCTGGCTTGAAGCTGGAGTTGACAATATCAGAATAGAATACTGAAAACTTCTACAATTTGAGAGGAGCTAATCAATTCATGTTGTCTTAAGCCATAAATTTATGACATTTGGTTATCCAGTAACACCATAGGATGGTCGTGATTCAAATCAACACTTGACTATATTACTTTATTTAGAAAATGTATGTGAAAATAATTAAACACTGATATTCTTAGATTTTTTTCTACATGATAGTCTTATCTCCTTAGTACACTTTTAAGCTCTTCTATAGAAGAGACCATGTTTTATATGGAAAAAAATAATAATTATAATCTTTCCCACTGAGCTAGGCACATCACTGATACTTAGTAAATAATTGACAAAGTGAACATACTATAAACAAAATGTCCAGTTCATTAGTCTTTGCTTTGATTCCTGAAATATCGTGAGAAGCTGCTTGTATACTTAGCTATCTGTCATAAAACTATCTTTATAAAAAAGCAAATAATTTGAAAGACCATGTATTACTAGCTAATACTCATTATAGTAACAAATTCATGTGTTTCCTAAAGAATTAACATGTGCTAGCTTAATAAATGCCATAATTAAGGTTCACATGGATGCTGTAGATGTTATTATTGTGCTTGTTACCGAGGCAACCATATGTACTATGTTCAAAAAGGTTGAAATTTTTCCCCTCCTAAGTGAGTGAAAAAGAAAAAAAAACTTACTTAAAAACCTATTTAGAAAGGAACAACCTGGCATTTTTAAAAGCTGGTATTTCACTTCATTTTATCAAAAGTCATTTCAACCGAAAATGTCAGATTCAAAAGCACCTACTTTTTAATCAATCCATTTATTTATTTTTCAGGGATTGCTTTTTGGTAGTTTTTCTGTGGCTCTAGAGCTTTATTTTTATCTCTTTACCTCATCCTCCCACATCAGAGAAAACGTCACATTCATCTACATTACTCATTAGAAAATACAACAAGTATTTTGGTATTGTGGCATTATTACATACAGTCATATCATAAAACAAACTCTGTATATTCTAGTGACGATATTTACTAATTTTGTTCAGTCACCATGTAAATATTTGGGAATTTTTTTCATTGTTGTCATAATTATATTGAGTCATTGACAAATAACATACTTTACTTCCATTATCAAACACTTAAGCAAAGAATATTTTGAGAAAAAGACAACAAGCTTTGTACAAGGCGAGAGGAAATTTGACTGGTTTATTGTGTTTTTTCTAGGGGAAAATATGCATACAGACAAAGGGGACACAGTAGATACCATCTATTTAGATTCTCAAAAAAATCTTTGACAATAATCCATATCTTCAAAGTCTGTTAAAAACAAAACAAAATTAAACAAACAATAAAACAAACCACTTTCACCACACAATAGATAGTTTGCTTCAATTTAGGAAAGAAGTAGGCATTTCTAAAACAGAGAATTACAAATAGTGAGTTTCCCCAAGGATCTGTGTGGTTAATGTCTTACAAATGATCTCGAGGTAGTCTTCAAGCTGGAAGTTGTCCTTAAGTTCTTCTGGGCAGTTAAAGGGTGGAGGGATGTAGGAAGGTGTAGAAAGGCCCCAGTGACTGTGCAAAGTGGCAACGTGGCTTAGTGTGAGGGAACGTTCTCAGGGAAATATTACTTAAACTATACCAGAAGGAAATCCAAGAGAGGTTCTGAGAGCCAAGAGAAATTGTTCCCTGAATACATCTGCCTAGTGCGTTGTTGAGGCAAAAAGAAAAAGAAAAAGAAAGCTATGTACTTCATTAAGAGAGGAGTGAAGGAGGTAGAAAATAAAAATCATCCACCCTTTGATTAAAAATTATTGTTGCAACATTAAACAATTATGATCAGTGAACTAATGACAAAAAGCAAAGGAATAAAAAGACATAATAAGGGGTTGAGCAGATTTTTTTTCAAAAAATTAAAACTAATAAGAGGTAACTAAGCTGAGGACATAATTTACATTTTTCCAATTTTAATTTATTGAATTCCCAAATACTAGAATGAATGAAACTGATGAAACTTGAGAAAAGCATCTCCAAAAATAGAAAAGACATTGAAAACCTACATTCTACAGTGAAGAATAGATTTATGGAAACTCTTATTGCCAGAGGTTTTTTATTTCATCTTTCTCAAGTGATAGACTTTTATTTCTAACTGCTTGTTTGACATCTCTTCCTGATTCTCACCCAGACACATTAAAGTCAACATCTGTAATAACAAATCCTTTATCTTCTTCCCCTTATGTACGTTTTACTCTTCTTGTGTTCCTTTCTCACTGAATAGCATCCCATGGTGTTTTTCAGGCCTTCCTCTCCCAAAGAACCCTCTGAATTATCACAAAATGGCATAGCCACCAGTTTTCAAATCCTGCCAGTTTGATCTCTGAAATATGCCCAAAATCAGGACCCACTTTTCTATTCCCACTGCCACATCCTTGGTTCTGCCCTGAACCATTTTTGCCTGAATTATGTTAACTTCTTATGCTGTTCTAATCTATTCCTAATCTTTCATTTCTCCTCTTTGCAAATCGTCTTGCACCTAGTTTCAAGATTTACCTTTAAAAATCCCTGTTTAATTGTATGATTTTCTTATGCAATAGTTTTCAAAGACCTCTCACTGCACGTAGGATAACCTCCAAACTCCTTACTCTGCCATTTTGATCCCAATTATAGTCTAATCCTAACTGCTTCAGTCCCTTCCCTTACCACTGCTTTTCACTCCAGGCTCCTGAAGCTCTAGGCATAGCAAACTACTTGCAATTCCCAGCATAGCTCCATGAACCCTCATGTTCCAGCTTCTCTTACAGCATTCTAATTAATCTTTCTTATTATAGTTAGCTGTCTAATGGTCTGCCTCCTCACAAGCCCATGAACACTTAGAGAGCAGAGCAAACACCTTTTGTTACATAGTCATAAAGGGATAAAAAAGCATAACTTAATAAACATTGAAAGAATGAATGATTGAACAACTAAATGAACAGAGACCATGTAGCCTGTAGCCTGAAAATGTGAATTGCTTCCATAATATTTTTGGATAAATTCGTATGTGACAGAACCACAAAAGGATCAAAGATAATATCTAATTCATTTTTTTTCTTTTTGTTTTTTGAGACGGAGTCTCGCACTGTCTGTCGCCCAGGCTAGAGTGCAGTGGCGCCATCTCGGCTCACTGCAAGCTCTGCCTCCCCAGGTTCACGCCATTCTCCTGCCTCAGCCTCCCGAGTAGCTGGGACTACAGGCGCCTGCCACCAAGCCAGGCTCTTTTTTTGTGTTTTTTTTTTTTTTCTTTTTTTTTTAGTAGAGACGGGGTTTCACCGTGTTAGCCAGGATGGTCTCGATCTCCTGACCTCGTGATCCACCCGTCTCGGCCTCCCAAAGTGCTGGGATTACAGGCATGAGCCACCGCGCCCGGCCATATCTAACTCATTTTTTAAAGATAAGATGTATTGCTAGTTCGATGCCTAGCACAAGGTATACCCTTACTACATATGGAAGCAGTGAAAGAATTGTATCAGTTTGAGCTCGTCCACAGCAGTAATTTAAAGGCACAACTTTTCTTTTTTGGAAGTTTTCAGGTTCATACATTTCTTTTTGCATAGAAAAATTATTAAAACTCTTTTTGTTGGTTGCTTGGGTAGACTCCCCTATTTGAAGCACCATACAGATTCTTGTCATTTTCTATGCCTCTACGGTGACGGCGCAATTACAAAAATAAGCCGAGTTTTGAAAATAAGCCATTTCATATTTACAGTAAAGGTGCTGATGCTTCATCTGGAGAAATTTTTAATAAATTTTCCTTATCAAAATGTAACTATGCAGTAATTACAAATTCAGACATTTTGGATTTGTGTATTCTGTAAATAAGTGGTACTCATATGCTTATTGCCCACTTCTATTTCTATGCAGCCCCTCTTCCCACCAATAAGTTTTATTTCCAGTATTTATGTTATTTTCTAAGACACAGCCTCCCAGACGCCCCACCCCCAACCCCACCCCTTGCACAATAGAGGCATAAAACATCACCAAACATTTTTATGGAATCAGATTCCATTTTATGGAATCATTCTTTTTTTTATTTTTTTAAATTGTCTTATTTTTCATTGCAGAAGTAACATCTTTTCAGCATGGGACTTGCTACTTCAGGAATATATATATATATTTTTTTCATATAGTATTTCATGTAGTTTTGCTTTGCTGCTGCTGTTTTTATCACATAAACTAAGCCCACATCCCCCAAAAGGGAAGTGGGGAAAAGTCATACATTTGTCAGTAGAGTCCTGGCATTTGATTTTTAGACATCCCTTGAGCTTGTAAGACAACATGCTGTCAGTCGTGAGAAGCTCAGTGCATGTAACACAAAGAGTTCAAGGGCTGACTGCTGAATCTAATCTAAGTGACAGGTTCCAAAAACCTTTCATACCTGGGCTTTGCTGAAGGGCTCACATCTATAGTTCATCTGTCCTTTTCAATGTATGTACAGTAGCAGTTGGGGCTATGCAATTTTCCTTCTCCAAGAAAGGTATTGATTGCTCAGGAGTTATTGTCAGCATTTTAAAATAAAATATGTTTTACTTTTATCATCAGAAGGAGAAGTATATGGTAGATTGTAATTTACTGGTGCTAACTCGGGACCTGCAGGTTTGTTGCTTCAGTGATTTAGTGGATTCTCAATGGATAGTTTGTTACATCTCTAATTTGAACATATATCTGCAGCATGTGTTTAATGTTATGCAGTTGTCAGTGAGGCATGAAGGTTTTGGCACTACAAAGCAGAAAAGTGAAGGGACTGTATGGCTCCGGGGACTGGTCATGAGGTAACTGAGCTAGTTGGAGAATCAAATCCAAATTGCACCAACACAAAGGTCATAGAGAGAAAGGATAGCTGCTTAGAAATCTGAGAAAATACTAGTGGCAAAACCAAATCTGCCAGCAACCCAACAAAATACCCCTCACCAACAAAAGAGGAATGAACTTAGTTCACATATGTCGATAGAGAGGTGTAATACTATTCTTTAACCCTCAGTGTGACCTGGCTGTGTCTGGAGGATGTTACTTCTCTTTTTTTGGACTCTACATCAATGTGTTTATAAAGTAGTGATCTGCTGGCGGTGAGAAAAGTCTGTTGGGAAAGGTACTAGTTCAGAATTCCAAGGAATCTTCAATAGGAAAAAATAAATAAATTGCCTTCCAAAATATTTAAATAATAGAAGATATTGTGCTAAGGTAAATTAAAGAAAGGGGAACGACTAGCCCAAAAATGCAAAAATGAGATCAAACCAGACATTTCCATGTGTAAACTAATAAGTCTCAAAATTTGGGGGTATCTTTTGTTGCATGATCACTTGTTTTGCTCATTTCTTCACCCTAGGGTTTTGTATGAGCCAACACAATAGCAGAACGTTTTCTTTTCTTTCTTGTTAAATTATTATAATACTTAAAAATACATTGCCATATATTACACTGATAGGCTCTTTCTGTTACCAAGGCTGTGCAGAGAGCTAATTCCTGCTTATCCTTTTCTTCTTTGTATTATTTTCCTCATCTCACTCCCTATGCCAGACATTCTTAGATGTCAGCTCACCACAAAGTATCTCTTATTCAAATGCAAGTTGTTCCAAAGCATGGTTTCATAACTCATTCTGAAAAGTTACTGTAAAATATACAAAACCTGATTTTGTTGCCACCCAGACTGTTAGAAATAAATTATGAAATGCTGAGGCCAGGGGATAAACGTGCCTTTTGAAAGCAGAAGCACCTGTGCTAGATAGGCTGTTTCTCCCAACAGGGTGAGACAATAGGAAGATACTCGCCTGTGGGAAGTTTGCAGTGTTTGTGTTTTGATTTTTCAATAAACTGCTTCCCACTTCTAATTATTTTTTGAAGAGTAAAATGAATTTTTGAAATCCCTCCAGCTTTTAAAACCAAACAGGCTTTATCAAGCTTTTTGCTCAAAATATCTTTTGCAGCTAATGTGACCTTCAAATATTTCAATTCTAACTACCAAAGATTCAGATAGAATTGTCAAATCTCTCTTATTCTTTCTTACCAACTCCTAATCTGCTACTCTGTATGCTCTGTAAGCACAGTTTTGGAAGCCAATAAATTAATATTTGAGGTGTTTAACAGTCTGCTCGGTTGCAGCCCTTATATCTTTGAGGACACAGTATACAGTCAGACTTTATATGGGGAATAAACAGTCTTTGCCATAGATGATTTTAAAGCTTGGGTGCTTTAGTCTTTTACTGGATGCAGTAAATTTTAGGTAGATTGTAATCCCATTCATACTTTGGCTTTTAGAGTGCCTAACAACTTTCAGCAACTACAAATCATTACGCAAATGCAATAGAATCACAGTTTGCAAAATAAAAATCTTACCATTTTCAGTAAAAAATAAAAAGGATATTCTTTACGTAGTTTAATTATAGCTAACTTTTTTTTTTTTACCTGATCTAGCTCCCAAAACTACACTGTATTAATTCATTTGGTGCTTATGACCATCATGGCTTAATACAGACTGATTGAAACAGCATATAGCCCACTCCGAAAGATTCACTGTCTTCCTTAAAAGCTTTTATAGCATCATCCTACTAGGTATATTAAAAATAAAAAGTCGATTTAGTGTAACATAAGTCAGCCATTTAATAAAATTTGAAAATCCTACATAGAGAGTTAGTAACAACCAAAATGCTTTTTCTGAACATTAAAAAGAAAAGGTTTCTAATTAAATTTATAATGGAATGAACCGCTATGGAGAAACAGAGCATGAACTTATTGGGCTAAACTTCTTTAAATGCATCTTAGCCTTATTCATTGTGCCTGCTGTGTCACTATTTTGTACTAATGCAGCAGATGAGACCCTTATTGCAGAAGCTGAAAAACACATTTTATGAGATGAATTATCTTCACATCTAAAACCATTAAATAATTAGTTTAAAAATAAATGCATGACAAACTCAATAGCCGTATGCCTTTGTTAAGCTCCATAAGGGAATATGTTCTACCTCATCCACTTCTTTAAATACCATAGCTCTTGCTGTAGTACTTTCCGTAATCTAAAATTAAACCTTTTTTGGCTGATTAATATGTATTGAATAATATTTTTGGTTTCTCTGCTTGAATTAAGCAACAAGGTAAAATTTACGTAGATAGCAATAAAACAATGGGAATTCTGTTCTGCTGGCTTGAAAAATAATGTTTTCAGTGAGTATTTTTTCAGTCAATGAATAATACCTTAATGGTTGTTGGGGAAATAAAAGTACTAGTATATATGCAAAATAACAGTCACATTTAAGGAGGGGCCTGATGCAGGGTTCACGTGTCAATGATTCATGAGGACTTATTTCCTTCTGTTGTATTCGTTTGTTTGTAAATAAAATAAATCTATTTCCAGTCTATCTTCACTAATTTTAATTTCACTCACACTTGGAAACGCTTCCGCAAATACTGCAGGATCCTATAATAATAGTCCAAAATATCGCTTTTTATGTAAGCATTATTACTCTTTTATGGGCTATCTTTTTAAAGTATTCTATAATGGAAGCTTTATAGTTTCAGTTATATCTTTATATTTTATCAGCATTTTCCACTTTTGTAAATTGCATAACTAGTCAGCTCTACTACACCTGTTTGCCTAGGACATAATACTTGATCAGATTCTAATTCTAAAGTGGGTGAGACACTTGAATTTGGCTATTTATCATGGGTTGCTCTTGAGAGAAGCAATATGTTCTGTTTTTTATACAATTACAAAACTAAACTCCTCTAACATTCCCCATGACCTCTCATTGCACTTCATGATTGATTTGCTGTTTAAAGCTACTGGATTTAGAAACCATAAGGTTATAAATGAGGACAGTTCAAATCTGTGCACAGCAGAAGGACTGCTTTTTTCAGATTTGGAGAGGGACTATACGAGCGGTTTTTGACACATAGTCCTTCTTAAAATCAAACAGCGAATGTGAAATCTCATATATATATTATATATATTTATATATCTTATATATTATATAGTTATATATGTTATGTTATACTATATAATGTTATATATTATATAATATATAGTTATATAATATATTATATATAGTTATATATTATATTATATATAGTTATATATTATATATAGTTATATATTATATATAGTTATATATTATATTATATATAGTTATCTAATATATTATATATAGTTATCTAATATATTATATATAGTTATCTAATATATATATATAGTTATCTAATATATTATATATAGTTATATAATATATATTATATATAGTTATATAATATATATTATATATAGTTATATAATATATATTATATATAGTTATATAATATATATTATATATAGTTATCTAATATATTATATATAGTTATATAATATATTATATATAGTTATCTAATATATTATATTATATTATATAGTTATATAATATATTATATATAGTTATATAATATATTATATATAGTTATATAATATATTATATATAGTTATATAATATATTATATAACTACAGTTATATAATATATTATATATAGTTATGTAATATATTATATATAGTTATGTAATATATATAGTTATTTAACATATTATATTATATATAGTTATATATATTATACATATACACACACACACACACACACACACGCACACATAATGCTCTTTTGGTTCAGCATTTATTTTGGGAGCCTTGAGATTCCTTATATAGGCGTGATATATAATTTAGCCTAATAAATACATAAAGATTTAAAATGTCATCGTTTCTGAACAGTGGATGGATATAGATATAAAAAGCTTAAATGTATTCCTTTAAGTCTGATGCTGAGTTTTACGGCAGGTTCAGAATTTGATATTTCAAAGTTTCTAATAGAGACAAGCAAAATCAATTTTGAAACAGCAATTAATGAAGAATGGCCCTTAAGATTTATATAATAGATTGTTCAAAATTATTTCCTCTATCACTATCCAAATCTGTGTATGTGGGCAGATCCCCAAGACAAGGCCCTGGCAGCTGAGTAAGCAAACAATCATTCTGTTTGTCTTGCCTGAGGAAAGTTTTCTAGGAAGAAGGACAGAGTCAGACAGCTCAAGCAGATGATCAGACATCACGGTAATCTGACCTTGTTGGTATAACCCATGAAGTAGAAAGAAAATTAAAGTATTATCCTCTAGAAACTTTATTATAAGTTGTACATCCAGAGCCTCCAAATCACCATTTGTTCAAACCAAACATATTGACCTGTTGTAGTAGACAGCATTCACATTCTATGATTGACATCCTATTTCCAAGTGCTCTTGTTTACATTTTGGGGTGGTTATAACATGCATCCTTTCCTTCCTTCCTTCCCTCCTTCCCTCCTTCGTTCGTTCGTTCCTTCCTTCCTTCCTTCCTTCCTTTTTCTCTTTTATTTTCTCCAATTTTCCTCCTCATTCTCTTCTTCCCTCTCTTCCTCCCCCTTCTCCTGCTTCTTTCTCTCCCTCTCTCTTTCTGACCCCCCCTTACCCCTCCTTCCTCCTTTTTCTTCTTGTTAATGACCAAAGAACCTTACAGTTGAATACATGGACTCTTGGCTGTTTTGAAAAAGTTGAACAAATACCACAGCAAGTGGAAAGAAATTGGAAAAAAAAGTCATTATGATTAAAGAATTTATGACAAAATTACTTAGATAAATCTAGTACAATGAGAAATGGTCTATCCTCTTTTTCAGTACCATCTTAAATTCAAGCAAGGGACACCCTGTGGTGTACAGATTCATGGAGTGGTCTTCACGACCCCTACCTTTTGATATCCACAAGCATATGTAATTCCTCCCTTTGAGTGTGGGCCAGACCTGCAACTTTCTCCTAATGACCAGAATAGGGCAAAGACAATGGGATGTACATCATTACATACACATGATTACATGATTATATAATATTTTAGCACCCATTTTCCTTGAGCTTGTCTCTTCTGGCTTTGAGGAAGCAAAAAGGGATGTTGGAGATCAAGACATGGTAAGGAACTTTGTGTTGCTTCCAGGAGCTGAGGGTGGCCACCAGCTGATAGCCAGGAAAGTTTGCTTGGAACACAGTAAAGATCATTTATTTATAAACTGACAATGGCTGCTTTAACACTAGTAGAGCAGAGTCAAGTAATTGTGACAAAGACCAACCGGCCCATAAATTTGAAAATTTGTACTCTCTAGTCCTTTGTGTGAGAAGTTTGCTAAACTTCTGTTAAGTCATTACTGTCACTACAACACATATTTATTATACGTGAAAATATTTATTATAACAGTATAATTAATTCTTTTTCTTTTTCTTCATTCCAACTTTCATTTTAGATTTGGGGGGTACAGGTGCAGATTTGTTACATGGATAAACTGCATGTCATGGAGGTCTAGTATACAGATTATTTCATCACCTATGTAATAAGCATAGTGCCCAATAGGTAGTTTTTTGATCCTCATCCTCCTATCATCCCCACACCCTCTAGTAGGCCCCAGTGTCTGTTGTTCCCTTCTTTGTGTTCATGTGTACTCAATGTTTAGCACCATCATAAAACTGAGAATATGCAGTATTTTGTTTTCTGTTCCTGCTTTAGTTTGCTCAGGATAATGTCCTTCAGTTCTGTCCATGTTGCTGCAAAGGACAAGATTTTCTTCTTTTTCATGGATGCATAGTATTCCATGGTATATATGTACCATATTTCATTATCCAGTCCACCGTTGATGGGCATCTAGGTTGATTTCATGTCTTTGCTATTATGAATAATGCTCCAGTGAACATGTGAGTGCATGTGTCTTCATGGTAGAATAATTTATATCCTTTTGGGTATACCCCCAGTGATGGGATTGATGGGTTGAATGGTAGTTCTGTAGTAACTGCTTTGAAAAATCTCCAAACTGCTTTCCACAGTGGCTGAACTAATTTACATTCCCACCAACAGTGTATAACTGTTCCTTTTTCTCTGCAGCCTCACTACTAGATGTTTTTTTTTACTTTATACTAATAGCCATTCTGACTGGTGTGAGATGCTATCTCATTGTGGTTTTAATTTGCATTTCTCTAATGATTAGTGACGTTGAGCATTTTTTCATATGCTTATTGGATGAATGGATGCCTTCTTTTGGACTGTATCTGCTTATGTTCTTTGCCCATTTTTTAATAAGGCTGTTTGATTTTGTTTGTTAATTTGTTTGAGTTCCTTATAGTTCTGGATATTAGACCTTTGTTAGATGCATAGTTTGCAAATATTTTCTTCCATTCTGTAGGTTGTCTATTTACTCTGTTATTTTCTTTCGCTGTGGAGATCTTTGTTTTAAATAGGTCCCACTTGTCAATTTTTGGTTTTGTTGCAAGTGCTATTGGAGCCTTTGTCATGAAATCTGCCAGGTCGTATATCCGGAATGGTATTTCCTACATTTTCTTGTAGGGTTGTTTTGTAGTTTTCAGTTATGAACTTAAATATTTAATTCATCTTGACTTGTTTTTTATATGGTAAAAGGAAGAGATCCAGTTTTAATCTTTTGCATATGGCTAGCCAGTTATCTCAGCACCATTTATTGAATAGGGTGTCATTTCTCAATTACTTTACCTACTTTGTCAAAAGTCATATGGTTGTAGCTGTGTGGCTTTATTTCTGGGTTCTATAACCTGTTCCACTGGTCTATGTGTCTGTTTTTGTACCAGTACCATGCTATCTTGGTTACTGTAACCTTGTAGTATAGTTTGAAGTCAGGTAGTGTAATGCCTCCAGCTTTGTTCTTTTTACTTAAGATTAATTTGTCTATTCAGACTGTTTTTAGTTCCTTTTGATTTTTTAAACAGTATTTTCTAATTCTGTGAAAAACATCATTGGTAGTTTAATAGGGATAGCATTGAATCTTTACATGTCTTTGGGCTATATGGCCATTTTAATAATATTGATTCTTCCTACCCATTAGCATGGAATGTTTTTCCATTTGTTTTTGTTGCTAATTTATTTAAGCAGTGTTTTGTAATTTTTGTTGTAGAGACCTTTCTCCTCCCTGGTTAGTTGTATTCTTAGATATTTTATTTCTTTTTGTCACTATTATGAACAGGATTGTGTTCTTGATTTGCTTCTCAGCATGGAGGTTATTGGTGTATAGAAATGCTACTAATTTTTGTACATTGGCTTTGTACCCTGAAACTTTGTTGAAGTTGTTTATCAGATCTAGGAGACTTTGGGCACAGACTATGGGGTTTTCTAGGTATAAAATTATATCATCTGTGAAGAGAGATAGTTTGATTTTCTCTCTTCTTATTTGGATGCCTTTTATTTCTTTTTCTTGCTTGATGGTTCTGGCTAGGACTTCCAGTAGTATGTTGAATAGGAGTGGTGAAACTGGGCATCCTTGTCTTGTTCTGATTCTCAAGGGGAATGCTTTCAGATTTTGCCCATTTAGTATCATATTGGATGTGAGTTTGTCATAGATGGCTTTTATTTTGAATTATATTTCTTCAATGCTTAGTTCTTGAGGGGTTTTTAACATAAAAGGATATTGGATTTTATTTAACACATTTTGTGCATCTATTGAGATGATTATGTAGTTTTTGTTTTTAGTTCTGTTTATGTGTTGAATCATATTTATTTATTTGCCTTTATTGAACCCACCTTGCACCCCAGGAATAAAACCTACTTGATTGTGGTAGATTAGCTTTTTGATGTGTTGTTGGATTTGGTTTGGTAGTATTTTGTTGAGGATTTTCTCATCTATGTTCATCAAGAATATTGACTGGAAGTTTTCTTATTTCACTGTGTCTTTGGCAGGCTTTGATATCAGAATGATGCTGGACTCATAAAATGAGTTAGGGAGGACTCTTTTCTCCTCAATTTTTTGGAATAATTTCAGGAAGAGTGGTACCAGCTCTTACTTATACATTTGGTAGAATTTTGGTGTGTATCTGCCTTGTCCTGGGCTTCTTCAGGTTTGTTATTACTGATTCAATTTCAGCACTCCTAATTGGTCTGTCCAAGGTTTTAATTTCTTTCTGGTTCAATCTTGGGACGTTGTATGTTTTCAGGAATTTATCCATTTCTTCTAGATTTTCCAGTTTGTGTGTGTAGAGTTGTTCTTAATAGTCTCCAAGTGTTTTTTGTATTTCTGTGATGTTGGTGGTAATGTCTCCACTTTGTATCATTTTTTACATCTCAATTCCCTTCAGTTCAGCTCTGATTTTCATTATTTCTTTTCTTCTGCTAGCCTCATAGTTGGTTTCTCTTGTTTCTCTAGTTTCTCTAGGTGTGATGTTAGATTGTTAATTTGAGATTTTTCTAAATTTTTGATGTGGGCCTTTAGTGCTATAAACTTTCCTCTTAACACTGCTTTTGCTATGTCCCAGAAATTCTGGTATGTTGCATCTTTGTTCTTATTGGTTTGAAAAAATGTCTTGATTTCTGCCGTAATTTTGTGGTTTACTCAAAAGTAATTCTGGAGCAGGTAGTTTAATTTTTATGTAATTGTATGGTTTTGAGATATCTTCCTAGTATTGATTTCTATTTTATTGTACTGTGGTCCAAGAATGTGGTTGGTATTTTTTTTATTTGTTGAGAATTGCTTTACTGATAAGCATGAGATTGATTTTAGATTATGTGCCATGTGCAGATGAGAAGAATGTATATTCTGGTTTTTGGGTGGAGTATTAGGCAGATGTCTGTTAGGTCCATTTGGTCAAGTGTTAAGTTTTGGTCCCAAATATCTCTGTTAGTTTTTTACCTTGATGATCTATTATTGTCAGTGGGGTGTTGAGATCTCACAGTATTATTGTATGGTTACTTAGTTATCTTCATAGATCTCTAAGAACTTGTTTTATGAATCTGGGTGCTCCTGTGTTAGGTGAATATATATTTGGGATAGTTAAGTCATCTTGTTGAATTGAAGCTCTTATCATTATGTAGTGCCCTTCTTTGCTCTTTTTGATTGTCGTTGGTTTAAATTTGTTTTTTTTTTTTTCTGTAATTAGAATAACAACCTTGGCTTCTTTTTGCTTTCCATTTGGCTGGTAGATTTTTCTTTACTTTGAACTTATAGGTGCCATTGCATGTGAGATGGGTCTCTTGAAGATAGCATACAGGTGAGTCTTGCATCTTCAACCAACTTTCCTTTTAAGTGAACACTTTTAAGTGGAGACTTTAACCAACTTTGCCTTTTAAATGGAGAGTTTAGCCTGTTTATATACAAGGTTAATATTGATATGTCCGGATTTGATCCTAGTCATGTTGTTAGCTGATTGTTATATAGACTTGATTTTGTAGTTGCTTTGTAGCAACTTGCTTTGTAGCTGCTTTGTAGTCATTATGTACATTATTTGTGTACATAATGTAGTACAAATACATTATGTATGTATTTAAGTGTGTTTTTATGGTGGCCTGTAATGATCTTTCATTTCCATGTTTAGTGCTCCCTTAAGGACCTCTTGTAAGGTAAGTCCGGTGGTAACAAATTCCCTTAGCATTTGCTTGTCTGAAAAAGGTTTTATTTCTTCTTTACTTGTGAAGCTCAATTTGGCTGAATATAAAATTCTTGGTTGGAATTTCCTTTTCTTTAGGATGTTGAATATACACACCCAGTATTTTCTGGACTGCTGGGTTACTGCTGAAAGATTCATTGTCAACCAAATGAGCGTCCTTAGCAGGTGATCTGCCCTTCTCTGTAGCTGTCTTTTATATTTTTCCTTTCACATTGACCTTGGAGAATCTGAGGACTCTGTGTCTTGGAGATGGTCATCTTGTATAGTATCTCACTGGGGTTCTCTGAATTTCCTGAATTTGAATGTGGACCTCTCTAACACAGGGGAAAAGTTTCATGGGTGATATCCTCAAGTAAGATTTCCAAGTTGCTTACTCTCTCTCCCTCTTTTAAGGACCCATATGAGTCATAGATTTGTTCTCTTTACATAATCGCATATTTCTCAAGGTTTTGTTCATTCATTTTTTTTCCTTTATTTTTGCCCAACTGAATTGATTCAAAGAACCAGTCTTTGAGTTCTGAGATACTTTGTTCAGCTTGGTCTATTCTGCTGTCAATACTTCAAATTGTATTATGAAATTCTTGTAGTGAGTTTTTCAGCTTTATCAGCACAGTTTAATTTTTTCTTAACATGGCTATTTCATCTTTTATTTCTTGTATCATTTTACCTGATTCCTTAGATTCCTTGGATTGGGTTTCAACTTTCTCTTGAATCTTGATTGTCTTTTTTGCCAACTAGAGTCTGAATTCTAAGTTTGTCATTTCAGCCATTTCAGCCTGATTTAGAACTATTGCTGGGGAGGTACTGTGGTCATTTGAAGAAAGAAGAAATTCTGGCTCTTTGAGTTACCACAGATTTGCCCTGATTCTTCTCAACTGTTTGGGCTGATGTTCCTTTAATCTCTGATGTTGGTATCCTTTGGATGAGTCTTTTGGATTTTATATTCTTTGATGGCCTTGAAAGTTTGACTGTGGTAATAGGTAGATTCAGTCAACTGGCTTTGTTTCTGGATGATTTCAGGGGGCCCAGGCTCACCTCAGCACTTCTATGCTGCATGCTGTAACCCTGGGGGGCTGGAACCAGACCCATGGCTTTATTTCCTGACTCCTCAAAGTTAGGCACCTGTTGTAGTGGAGGGGCTGAGGCATTCCTGGTCTGTTGGCAACAACAATCTGATGGGGGCTGCTGGCAAAAGCACTATATTGAGGTGGTGGCAATGGGTCTACACTCACTCATGTGCACATGGTGGCAGGGCTGGTGCTGTGGTGGTGAGGTTTGTGCACAAGTGCATGCGCCAGTGGCAGCAGGGTAGAGAGGTCCATGCTGGAAATGTGCTAAGGGGAGACACTGGGTGAGTGCACACTGGCAAAGCCATGAGGGGAAGCTGAGTGTGGGTGCATGGTGGCAGGGGCTCATCTGCTGAAGCGCTCTGATAGTTAGGCAGAGTTTGCCATTAACAGAACTATGGTGGCCACGAGGAAGCACCCCAGTTGGTCATTTGAGGCTGTACTGCAAACATGCATGGGCAGGGAGGGACTCTAGGAGTGCCCAGCAGAGAGACGGGTGCTCAGAACACACTGACCCTGTCCCATAGGCAAGACAGCCCTGCTCTATCTAGGTCCTACCACTAACAAAGGCCAAAGCCACCTAAAGGAGCATGGCAGGCCTTGGGAGATGGGTATCCCTGGATCCCTGGCCATACTCCACTGCAGCCATTCCTGCACCAAACCCTCTGGATTCTGCACAGGCTGTAGTCCCGTCCCTGTCACTTCTCCAAGCAGCTCTCCCTGCCAGCTCAAATGTCTGCACTGGGTTATGGGGCCTCCTGCAATTAGGATTCAAGAGGTCCATGGTGAGTGGGCCCCTATTCACCTATTTAACTCACCCCTTCTTCAGGAGCCACTGGGCTCCTGGAATAAGTCTCTTTGCTTGGCAGCCCAGTGCGGGTTTCCCAGCTTCCTCCCGCTTCAACCTATTGTCAGTGTCCTCCCTCTGTCTACTTTTCATGCCTTCCATCCAAAGATCTGTTTGGAGTGTGTCAGTCTTCTTGAAGGTCTGGTCTCTTGGTCAGTAATTATTTTAATATAAATGGATTTAACTCCATTCCCCAGATTCCCAGGTATCCTGGCATCTTCCTTATGCTCTATAGATTTCTCAGTACCTGAAGGTCACAGTTCAACAGAAGCTATGGCAGAGCCAGCTGGGCCTTATTAAGAAGAGGAGTTGGAGCAGTGGAGACCCACCAGAATTCATTGGGCATGCACAATCTATGTATTTTTTCAAAATAAAAACAATAATAATAATATTTATGAAATAGCAATATGGTAATTTTTAAACTATAGATGTCTTTATTTTTACTTATTCAAATATTGCTGTTTCATGAACAGAAGAGTTAGATATGCCCAATAATATCATTCAGTGATCTTTGAAATTTTGCCAAATTTGAGTTATACAAAAACCATATCTTTGTGTATATATATATATATATATATATATATATATATATATATATATTTCTAATTTTGTTTTTATGAATGTATATCTGTCAATGTAGGAAGACAGGGCATATTCTATGTAATAGTTTGTTGATAATCACTTTAAAATATTTAAGCACATTTTTGTTGCCTCTAGTTATACTCTTAACTTGGGCCTCACAAATGTTAGCAGTGAGCCTGATATTTTAAAAAGAATGTCCTTCCAAATTCAGAATTTTACCTTCAGGTGAATACAGACATGAGCGTGCACACACACAAGCGTATTTGTGTGTACTGTATCAGGGTTAACTGGAACAAATTTTGCTTTTCTAAAGAAGTCAACAAATATTTAGCCATCCACTTTTATTCATGTATTCACTTGTGTAAAAATTGGCAAATTTGAGTAAGTCAAAATATTTAAAGTTATTAAAACAGGTAAGAGAAGGCTAGAAAAGCTAGGAATTTAAGTTAGAAATGTCTCGACTAGATTGTGAGATGCAATTTCTGAGAAAGTTGTATATGCAGCTGGTGGCCCCTAAAATGAAAGGCAATGGACATTAAATGGGATTGAATTAATTTATACATATGACTATACCTTGATCGACTCAAAGAAGAAAAGTATAATATGTTGGTGTCATTCAAGACAGAGTACTGAGAACCTGTAGTTGGTTAAGCTTTAGCAGAGTACTCTGGGGCAGACAAGACAGCTGAGTAATCACTTAAGGGAAAATAAGGTTAGATAAAAAATCATTTTATTTTATGATTTAGGCAAGGATACATAGTTCTTATCATTTTTTCACATCATTTACCACACAACAAATGCATAAAGTGATTAGTAAAATGAAGTATGGAATCATCACATTTAAAACCTTTAGAAGATGTAATTTTAGATAAGTAGGATTATAAAATTGTGCTATAAATATTAGATGTTTTCATGGAAACAGACTACTTAATAGATTTTCTATTTTTAACCGATTTTCACGGTGCTATTTTCTTACTTAAAATATGTTACTATGAAGATATGATCAGCATACGTATACTTTCTAGACTTAACTTTTTGCAAAAATAAAATTTGAGCAAAAGAAATTCTGAGTTCAACCACTACATTCCTGAACACTAGTTTTGTTAATAGACTTTACTTTTAAGAGCAGTTTTAGGTTTCCAAAAATATGAGTGGAAAGTAGAGAGAGGTTCTATATATTTCCTCACTACCATTTCCAATTTCCCTTATTATTAACATTTTACATTGATGTGGTTACATTTGTTACAAATTATGAGCCAGTATTGATACAGTAATATTATTATCTAAAGTCCATAAATCCCATTAAGTTTCACTCTTTGTGTTCTACAGTTTATGAGTTTTGATAAATGACAAGTATCTACCATTACAGTACTATACAGAATAGTTTCATTGCCCTGTACATCCCATGTTCTTTACCTATTCATCGCTCCCTTTTACCAGAAACCCTGGCATTCACTGATTGTTTTGCTATCTCAATGGTTTTGCCCTTTCCAGAATGTCATATAGTTGTAATCATGTAAAATTTAACCTTTTTTAGATTGATTTCTGTCACATAGTGATACACATTCAGGTTCCTTTATGTCTTTTCATGACTCGAGTTCATAGTTCATTTATTTACTTTTTACAGGTTTTTATATTTAAATAGTATACAGTATTTTAATCTATTATCTTGCTTTTTTGAGAAGGTACATGTGATAATATATTCATAAAATTTATGAAGATCAAATCAGTGTAATTGGGGCATCCATTACCTTAAATATTTGTCTTTTTTTCTGATAGAGACATTCTAACTATTCACTTGCAGATATTTTGAAATATAAAACAGATTATTTTAACTATCATCACCTACTTATCTATCAAACATGACGTCTTATTTCTTCTATCAAACTGTATATTTTTACCCATTAATCAAACTCTCTTCATTACTCAACTTCCCTTTCCTTTACAGACTCTGGTAACCACCAATCTACACTCTATTTTCATGAGATCCAGTTTTATAGCTCCCACATGTGAGTAAGAACATGAAATATTTGTCTTTCTATACTTGGCTTATTTTACTTAATAGAATTACCTACAATTCCATCCATGTTGCTGCAAATGATAGGATTTTGTTCTTTTCCATGGCTTAATAATATTCCACTGTACTTATATACTACATTTTCTTTACCCACTCATCCACTGATGGGCATTTAGGTTGATTCCATGTTTTGGTTATAGTGAATAGGCCTGCAATAAACATGGGAGTGGAGGTATCTCTTTGATATATTAATTTCCTTTTTTTGGAGATATATATATATATATATATATATATATATATATATATATATATATATATATACACACACACAGAATGAGAGAATATTTATATATTAGGGGAATTGCTGAATCATATGATCATTCTATTTTTAGTTTTTTGAGGAACTTTCATATGATTATCCATAGCGGCTATACTAGTTTGCATTCCACCAAAAGTGTGAGAGGGTTCCCCTTTCTCTAAATCCTTGACAACATCTGTTATTCCCTGTATTTCTGATGAAAGCCATTTTACCCAGGGTGAGATGATTCCTCATTATGATTTTGAATTGCATTTCTCTGATGATTAGTGATGTTGAAGATTTTTTCAATACTTGCTGACAATTCATATGTCTTTTTTTGAGAAATGTTTATTCAGATGTTTTGCCCATTTTTTAATCAAATCTTTTTTTGCTATTGAGTTGTTTGGGAATATTACATATTCTGGTTACTAATCCCTTATCAGATGTATAGTTAGCAAATATTTCTCTCATTCTGTGGATTGTCTTGTCACTTTGTTGATTATTTCCTTTGTATCAAGCTCATTAGCTTGATGTAATCCTATTTGTCAATTTTTGCTTTTGTTGCCTACATTTTTGAGGTCTTACCAAAAAATATCTTTGCCCAGACCAATGTCCTGGGGAGTTTCCCCAGTGTTTTCTTATAGTAGTTTCAGGTATTAAATTTAAGTTTGAGGTCTTAAATTTAAGTCTGTAATTCATTTTTATTTTATTTTTTATATGTCAGCAGATAGGGGTCTAGTTTCATTCTTATGCATATGGATATCCAGCTTTCCCAGCACCATTTATTGAAGACACTGTCCCTTTCCCATTATATGTTCTTGGCACCTTTGTTGAAAATGGGTTGGCTGTAAACTTATGGGTTTATATCTAAATTCTCTATTCTGTTACATTGGTTTATGTGTCTGTTTTATGCCAGTACCATGCTGATATTGTTCCTATAGCTTTGTAGTATATTTTGAATTTAGTTAATGTGATGCCTCTAGCTTTGTACTTTTTGCTCAGGATGGCTTTGGCTATTTGAGTCTTTTGTGGTTCCATGTACATTTTAGAATTGTTTTTCTATTCCTGTGAAGAATGTCATTTTAATAGGGATTGCATAGAGTTTTTAAATTGCATTGGGTATTGGTGCCATTTAGTTATGTGATTCTTCCAGTCCATGAGCTTGGAATACCAATTTTTTGTATTCTCTTTAATTTCTTTCATCAGTGTTTTATAGTTTTCTTTGTAGAGGTATTTAACTTCTTTGGTTAAATTGATTCCTATGTATTTTATATTCTTTGCAATTATTGTAAATGGTATTGCTTTTTGACTTTTTTTAGATTGTTCACTGTTGGCATATATAAATGCTACTGCTTTCCACATGTAGATTTTGTATCCTGCAACTTCCCTAAATTTCTTTTACCAGTTCTAAGATTAAATAGTTTTTTGGTGAAGTCTTTAGGTATTTCAAAGTGTAAGGTTATGTTATCTGCAACCAAGGCTAATTTGACTTATTTCTTTCCAATGTTAATGCTGTTTATTTCTTTCTCTTGCCTAAATCATCTGGTGAAAGTGGGCATCCTTTTCTTATTCTAGATTTTAGAGGATAAGATTTTAATTTTTCCCCATTTAGTATGATGTTAACTGTGGGGTTGTCATAGATGGTCTTTATTACTTTGACATATGTTCCTTCTATACCCTGTTTTTTGAGTGCTTTAATCATAAAGAGATGTTGAATTTTACTGAATGCTCTTTCAGCACCTATTAAAATTATCATACAGTTTTGTTGTTGATTCTGTTTATGTGATGTATCACCTTTATGGATTTGCATATGTTGAAACATTCTTACATCCTTGGGCTGAATCCCACTTGATCACGGTGAATAATCATTTTAATGTGTTGTTGAATTTGATTTGCTAGCATTTTGTTGAGGAATTTTGCATCTATGTTCATCAGTGATATTGGCCTGTAGTTATCTTTATTTTTTTCCTTATCTGGTTTTGGTATCAGGGAAATGCTGGCAATGTAGAATATGTTTGGAAGTGTTCCCTCCTCATTAAATTTTTTTGAAGAATTCGAGTATAATTAATATTATTTTTCCTTTAAATGTTTGGTAGAATTTAGCAGTGAAGCCATTAGCTCCTGAGCTTTTCTTTGATGGGAGGCTTTTTATTATAGCTTCGTTATTCTTGTTTGTTATTTGGGTTTTCTTTTTCTTCCTGGTTCAGTGTTGATAAGTTATATGTTTCTAGGAATTTATTCATTTCTTCAAGGATTTCCAATTTGTTAGAATGTAGTTGTTCATAATAGTGTCCAATGATTCTTTGTATTTCTGTGGTCTTATTTGTTACGTCTTTTTGGCTTCTGATTTTATTTATTTAAATCTTCTCTCTTTTTTTCTTAGTCTATCTAAAGGTTTGTCAATTTTGTTTATCTTTTTTAAAAACATCAACTTTTCATTTTGTTGATCTGTATTATTTTTAGTCTCAATTTCATTTATTTAGGTTATGATATTTATTATTTCTTTCCATCTACTAATTTTGAGTTTGGTTTGTTCTCGCCGTTCTAGTTTCTTGAGCTGCATCACTAGTTGTTGTTGCTTTTTTTAAGTCTTTCTACTTTTTTGATGCAGGCATTTGCTTATTACTATAAAATTCCCTCAGTACAAGTTTTGCTGCATCGTATTGACTTCGGTATGTTGTGTTTTTATTTTCTTTTGTTTTAAGAAATATTTTAAATTTTTTCTTAATTTCTTCACTGACCCATTGGCCATTCAAGAACATGTTGTTTAATTTGCATGTGTTTGTGTATTTTGAGGTTCCTCTTGTTGTTCACTTCTAGTTTTATATCATTGTGGCCAGAAAAGATAGTTGATAAGATTTCTATCTTTTTTAGTTTGTTGAGACTTGTTTTGTGGCCTATTCTGGGGAATGTCCCATGTGCTAATGAAAAGAATGTGTATTCTGCAGCAGTTGGGTGAAATGATCGGTAAATATCAGCGAGGCTTATTTTTCTAGTCTATACTTTATCTCCTATGTTTCTTTATCAATTTTTTCTCTGGATGATCTGTCCATTGCTGACAGTGTGGTGTTTGACGTATCCTACTATTATCATATTGCAATCGACCTCTCCCTTTAGATCTATTAATGTTTGTTTACATACTTGGAAGCCCTGGTGTTGGGCGCATAGATATTTATAACTGTTCTATTAATTTGCTCAATTGACTCCTTTATCATTATATAGTGACCTGCTTTATCTTTTTTTATAGTTTTTGATTTATAATCCATCTTATATAAATATAGCCATTCCTGCTCTTTTTTAGTTTCCAGTTGCATGGAATATCTTTTTCCACCCCTTCCCTCTCAGTTTTTGTGTATCTTTATAGGTGAAGTGGTTTTGTCTTAGGAAACATATAATTGAGTCTTGTTTCTTTATCTATTCAACCACTGTATGGTTTTTAAATGAAGTGAGTTTATTTACATTCAGTGTTATTTTTGATAAATAAGGACTTATTTTTGTCATTTTGTTGTTTGTTTTCTGATTGTCTTGTAACTACTGTCTGCCTTTCTTCTTGTCTTCTTTTGTGGTTAAGTGATTTTCTCTGGTAGTATCTTTAAATTTATTGGTTTTTATTTTTTAGGACCGTATGATAAGTTTTTACATTGTAATTACCATGAACCTTACAAAAAATGCTTACAGTTATTACCAGTTATTTCAAACAGCTGACAACTTACTTTAGCTGACAGAAAAAGGAATATAAACAAACAGAAAAAATGATAAAACAACCTCTACAGTTTAACTCCACCCCCCCCTCCACATTTTGGCTTTATGCTGTCCAAATTTACATATCTTATATTACCTATCTCTTAACAGGTTGCTATAGGTAATATTGTTATTGATAGAATTGTCTTGGGGCTCCATACTAGAGTTATGAGTGGATTGCACACACCAGTTACAGCATTGGAGTATTCTGGGTTTGTATTTGTACTTAATTTTACCAGTGGGTTTTATACCTTTATATGTTTTCTTTTTACACATTATTGTCTTTTACTTTCACATTGCAGAACTCCCTTTAACATTTCTTGTAAGGCTCGTCTAGTGGTGGTGATCGGCTTTTGCTTGTCTAAGATAAACTTTATTTCTGTTTCATATTTTACAGATAGTTTTTCTGGGTACAGTATTCTTCAATGAGAGTTTTTATTTTTTTTAGATCAGTGCTTAGAATATGTCATCTCACTCCTTCCTGGCCTGTATGATTTCTGTTAAAAAGTCTGTTAACAGAATAATTTCAGTTTTTTTCTATTATATTTGCTTTTTTTCCTTGTTCTTTTAGGATTCTCTTTTTCCTTGAACTTTGAGAGACTGATTATGTCCTAGGGTTGTCTTATTTGGGTCTAACCTGTTTTGTGTTCTCTGATCTTTCTGTACCTGGATCTCTTTCTCAAGTTTTAAAAAGTACCTGGATCTTTCTGTACCTGGATCTCTTTCTCAAGTTTTAAAAAGTATCCTGTTATTATTTCTTTGAATAAGCTTTCCACTCCTTGCTCTTGCTCAATGCCCTCTTGAACACCAATAATTCCTAGATTTGGTCTTTCGAGATAATTTTCTATATCTTGTTGGGTATATTTGTCTTTTTTCATTTTTTTTCTACTCTGATTCTATATTTTCAAATAAGCTGTCTTCAAGCTCACTGATTCTTTCCTTTGCTTTATCTGTTCTGCTGTTGAGAGCCCCTTATGAATTTTTCAGTTGAGCAAATTTATTTTTCACTTTCAAGATTTCTGTTTGATTTTATTATTTTAATCTCTTTATTAAATTTCTATTATACATTCCTGAATTGCTTTTCTGTGCTATCTTGGAGATCACTGAACTTTTTAATAAAACTATTTTAAATTCTTGATCAGAAAGTTTACATATCACCATCTCATTAGGGTCAGTCTCTGGTACTTGGCTTTGTCAATTTGAGGAGATGATGATTGCTACCATTTCTTATTTGCTACCGTTTCTTGTGGATGTACAGCTATGCCTTTGCATTGAAGGATTCGTTATTTAGTCCAATTGTTTCTGTCTGGGTTATTTAGTTTTTTTATTACATACATTTTCTTAGAGTTTTTTTGTAATTTGCCTTTTTTTTTTTTTTTTTTAGACGAAATTTCACTCTTGTTGCCCAGGCTGGAGTGCATTGGCAGGATCTCAACTCACTGTAATCTCTGCCTTCTGGGTTCAAGTGATTCTTCTGCCTCAGCTTCCTGAGTAACTGGGATTACAGGTGCCCACCACCAAGCCTGGCTATTTTTTTTAATTTTTATTTTTAGTAGAGATGAGGTTTCACCATGTTGGCCAGGCTGGTCTTGAACTCCTGACCTCAGGTGATCCACCCACCTTGGCCTCCCAAAGTGCTGGATCACAGGCATGAGCCACCACACCTGGCAGATGCTGCCTTATTTTTAGCAGTATATGGTGACTTTAGCCAAAGTTTTCTTTTGTTCTAGTAAGGAATCAATGGTACTTAATCTGAATGGGGGAGATCCCAAAGGAAATATTCTGGAAGTATGGAATGTCTGGCTAGGGATTTGTGTCCAGGGGATCTGTATTAGTCAAGGTTCCCTAGAAGGGCAGAACTAATAGGATATATATATATATATATATATATATATATATATATATATATATAAAAAATATATTATGTATATATTTATAATAGATATATTTTATATATAAATAATTTATATTTATATATAAATATAAATATATACTACAGATATTTATATATAAATATAAATATATACTACGTATATTTACATATATAAACATAAATATATACTACGTATATTTACATATATAAACATAAATATATACTACGTATATTTACATATATAAATATAAATATATACTACGTATATTTACATATATAAATATAAATATATACTACGTATATTTACATATATAAATATAAATATATACTACGTATATTTACATATATAAATATAAATATATACTACGTATATTTACATATATAAATATAAATATATACTACGTATATTTACATATATAAATATAAATATATACTACGTATATTTACATATATAAATATAAATATATACTACGTATATTTACATATATAAATATAAATATATACTATATATTTACATATATAAATATAAATATATACTATATATTTACATATATAAATATAAATATATACTATATATATTTACATATATAAATATAAACATATACTATATATTTATATATAAACATATACTATATATATATAAACATGTACTATATATTTATATATAAACATATACTATATATTTATATATAAACATATACTATATATTTATATATGAATATAAACATATACTATATATTTATATATGAATATAAACATATACTATATATTTATATATGAATATAAACATATACTATATATTTATATATGAATATAAACATATACTATATTTATATATGAATATAAACATATATATTTATATATGAATATAAACATATATATTTATATATATGAATATAAACATATATATTTATATATATGAATATAAACATATATATTTATATATATGAATATAAACATATATATTTATATATATGAATATAAACATATATATTTATATATATGAATATAAACATATATATTTATATATATGAATATAAACATATATATTTATATATATGAATATAAACATATATATTTATATATATGAATATAAACATATATATTTATATATATGAATATAAACATATATATTTATATATATGAATATAAACTGTGTATATTTATATATATGAATATAAACATTTATATTTATATATATGAATATAAACTGTATATATTTATATATAAATATAAACTGTATATTTATATATAAATATAAACTGTATATTTATATATAAATATAAACTATATATTTATAATATATATATTTATAATATATTATAAATATATATATTTTAAATATATATATTTATAATATATATTTATAATATATTATAAATATATATATTTATAATATATATATTTATAATATATATTTATAATATATATATTTATAATATATATTATATATATTTATAATATATGTATTTATAATATATGTATTTATAATATATATTTACTATATATATATTTATAATATATATTATATATATAAAATATGGGAATTTATTAAGGATTAACTTACACGATCACAAAGTCCCACAATAGGCTGTCTGCAAGCTTGAGGAGCAAAGAGAGCCAGTTCGAGTCTCAAAACTGGAGAACTTGGAGTCCGATGCTTGAGGGCAGGAAGGATGCAGCACGGGAGAAAGATGTAGGCTGGGAGTCTTGCCTTTTCATGTTTTTCTGCCTGCTTTATATGCACTGGTAGCTGATTAATTTGTGCCCACAAGATTAAGGGTGGGTCTGCCTTCCCGAGCCCACTGACTCAAATGTTAATCTCCTTTGGCAACACCCTCACAGACACATCCAGGAACAATACTCTGCATTCTTCAATCCAATCAAGCTGACACTCAGTATTAACCATCACAAATCCACATCTTGTCAACTTGAACCCATACACATCTCCTGAGATTATACATAATCTTCAAATAAAGACAATAATAAGGTCATAATTATCCCTAACTTAATATAACTATTCTTCGTACAACTGGAAATGCACCAATCAGTCCCCAACCCAAATACTACTACTTAAAGTTAACAATACGTAAATACTGATATGAAGTCAATAAATCTGATGTCACATGATAAAGAAAAAGGAAATAAAATGAAGATATTTTCTTAGTACAAGTATATACATGCACAAACATGTTTTTAATAAAAGAAGGAGGAAATACTCATGACAGTTACTGTCCTCGTTTCTGCAGCTGGTCACGTGGAGCTCATATTGATGACTACTTTCTTCTATTACACATTCTGTATTCCCTTTGCCTTCAGCAAGCACCTCAGCAGGTGGTGGGTTTTTTTTCCTGGTAGAGTAACCCAAACCTTCATTCCTGGGAGGTCTGGATCATTTGTAGTCCTGCCTGGATTGGGCGGTTATAGTTTCTCATTGACCTTAATCACAGGGCAGGGTAATACTAAGAGACAGGATAATGGATCTCCTGTACTCCATGCTTACTCTTCCTTACCTCCATTATGGGGTAATAGACTGGTTTCATCTTGATAGTCCGGGTCAATCTTCCTGCCAGTACTCTAAGTCCCTTCTTAGCCTGTTGACTTAAAGGTAGGAGGATCCCAGTGGCCAGGTAACAATCTGAACTTCCAGTTTAAGGAAATTGTTGTTGTGTCTCCTGGTGGCAGCATTCCTCCCTCTGGAACTAAGACCTCTAAGCAAGCAGAGCATAATGTTGTGGGAACAGGAAGCAAAAATTTTGCTAGTGGATCGCTAGGGGTGATAGCAAGTGGTGCCATTTCCACTTCCACCCCTTGATTCCTGAACTCGTGAATCCTGGCTATGGGAGAAAGAGTGCCATATATTGGACGCTGATTCAGAGCATACACAGCCTTCTGGAGAACTGTGTTTCAGCCCTGAAAAGTACTGCCACCCAGTGGTCGTTGTAATTGTGAATTCAAAAGGCCATTCCACCGTTCTATCAATCCAGCTGCTTCAAGATGACGGGGAACATGGTAAGACCAGTGAATTCCATGAGCATGAACCCACTGCTGCACTTCTTTAGCCATAAGTGCTTTGGTCAGAGGCAATGCTGTGTGGAATACCATGACCATGGATAAGGCATTCCATGAGTCTACGGATGGTAGTCTTGGCAGAAGCATTGTGTGCAGGATAGGCAAACTCATATCCCTACTAAGTCTCTATTCCAGTGAGGAGAAATCTCTGCCCTTTCCATGATGGAAGAGATTTAATATAATCAACCTGCCACCGGGTAGCTAGCTGACCACCCCGAGGAATGGTGCCGTATTGAAGGCTCAGTGTTGATCTCTGCTGCTGGCAAACTGGGCACTCAGCAGTGACCGTAGCCAGGTCAGCCTTGATGAGTGGTAGTCCATGCTGCTGAGCTCATGCATAACCTCCAGCCCTGCCACCATGGCCACTTTGTTCATGGGCCTATTGGGCTATGAAAGAGGTGGCTGGGGAAAGAGGCTGGGTGGTGTCCACAGAACAGGTTATCCTGTCCACTTGATTATTAAAATCCTCCTCTGCTGAGGTCACCCGTTGGTGAGCATTCACATGGGATACAAATATCTTCACAGTTTTTGACCATTCAGAGAGATCCATTCACATACCTCTTCCTCAAAGTTCTTTGTCACCAATTTTCCAATCATGCTTCTTTCAAGTCCCTGACCATCCAGCCAAACCATTGGCTACAGCCCATGAATCAGTATATAATTGCACATCTCTCCATTTCTTCTTCCATGCAAAGTGCACAACCAGGTGCACTGCTCAAAGACCTGTCCACTGGGAAGATTTCCCTTCACCGCTGTCCTTCAGGGATGTCCTAGAAAGGGACTGTAGTGCTGCAGCTGTCCATTTTCGAGTGGTGCCTGCTTATCGTTCAGATGGTTCACCATCTGTGAACCAGGCCCTAGTTTTCTCTTCCTCTGTCAATTGATCATAAAGAACTCCCAGTGAGGCCATCGGTGCAGGCTGGGCAAGAGAAAGCAGGGTGGCAGGAGTGAAGACCATGGGCATTTGAGCCACTTCCTCATGTAACTTACTTGTGCCTTCAGGACCTGCTCGAGCCTGATCACATATATACCACCTTTATTTGATGATGGAATGCTGCTGTGTGTGACCCACTTTATGGCTAGGTGGGTCAGAAAGCACCCCGTTCATGATAGGCAATTCAGGTCACATGGCAACTTGATGACCCATAGTCAAACGCTCAGTTTCCACCAAAGCCCAGTAACAGACCAAGAGCTGTCTCTCAAAAGGAGAATAGTTATCTGCAGAAGATGGCAGGGCCTCGCTCCAAAATCATAGAGGACTCCACTGTGATTCACCTATGGAGGCCTGCCAGAGGCTCCAAACAGCATTCCATTCCTACCTGCCACTGACACCTTAAGCACCATTGGATCTGCTGGGTCATATGGCCCAATTGCCAGAACAGCTTCCACAGCAGTCTGGACCTGTTGCAAAGCCTTCTCCTGTTATGGACCCCACTCAAAACTGGCAGCCTTTCAGGTCACTTGATAAATGGGCTGGAGTAGCATACCCAAATGAGGAATGTGTTGCCTCCAAAATCCAAATAGGCCCACTAGGTGTTGTACCTCTTTCTTGGTTGTAGGAGGGGCCAAATGCAGCAGCTTATTCTTTACCTTAGAAGAAATATCTCGACAGGCCCCACACCACTGGGCCCCTAGAAATTTTGCTGAGGTAGAGGTTCCCTGAATTTTAGTCAGATTTATTTCCCATCCCCTGGCATTCAAATATCTCACCAATAAGTCCAGTGTGTTCACTACTGCTTGCTCACTGGATCCAATCAGCATAATGTCATCAATGTAATGAACCAGTGTGATATCCTGCAGAAGCTAAAAGTGATCAAGTTCTCTCTGATAAAATTATGACAAAAAGCATACCCCTGAGGTAGGACAGTAAAGGTATATTGCTGGCCTTGCCAGCTGAAGGAAAATTGCTTCTGGTGGGTGTTATGGACAGGAATGGAGAAAAACGTATTGGCCAAGTCAATAGCTGCATACCAGGTACCAGGACATGTGTTAATTTGCTCAAGCAGTGAAACCACATCTGGTAAAGCAGCTGCATTTGGAGTCACCACTTGGTTAAACTTATGATAATCCATTGTCATTCCCCAAGATCAATTTGTCTTTCTCACAGGCAAGATGGGAGAGTTGAATGGGGATGTGGTAGGAATCACCACTTCTGTGTCTTTCAAGTCTTTGATGGTGGCATGAATCTCCGTAATCCCTCCAGGGATGTGATATTGATTTTGATTTACTATTTTTCTAGGTAGAGGCAGCTCTAATTGCTTCCATTTGGCCTTTCCTACCATGATAGTCCTTACCCTGACAGTCACGGAGCTAATGTGGGGATTCTGCCAGCTACTAAGTAGGTCTATGCCAATTATGCATTCTAGCACTGGGGAAATGACCACAGGATGAATCCGGGGACCCACTGGACCCACTGTAAGTCAGATCTGAGCTAAAACTCCATTAATTACCTGACCTCCATAAGCCCCTACTTTAACTGGAGGGTCACAATGATGTTTTGAGTCCCCGAGATTCAACATCAGCTCAGAGCCAGTGTCCAGTAGTCCCCATAATGTCTGATCATTTCCCTTTCCCCAATGCAGTTACCCTGGTGAAAGGCTGGAGGTCTCCTTGGGGGAGGAAGGGAGAAAGATTCACTGCATAAATTGTCAAAAATGTAGTGAGGCCTTCCTCAAGGGGACCCAGCCTCCCCTTCATTCAAGTGGTTCTGGGTCTGTAAACTGGGTCAAGTCTGGAAATTGATTTAGGGGCTGCTATTCTCTGTTTTTATACTTCAAATTAGTCTTTTGTCCATTCGACCTAAAAGTTTTCTCCTTGTATAAATTAAGTAGGAATGCAGTAGGCTTCCTATCAGTTCACTTCTAGGAACACCATGATTAATTAGCCAATGCCAGAGATCTACATGAGTCAGACTATTCTGATTGCTGCTTTGTCTCTGCTGTCCATTACGGTAGCCATGGCCACCTTGCCTTTGATGGCTGAGTGCTGCCACTTGGCCCCCACCACCTTGGGATCCAATTATTCCCATTGTATTTAAATTTTGTAGTTGAGTAACTGTGGTCCCCACTGTTAAATCACACATACAGAGAAGAGCAATTACAGGGCTCTTCAAAGATGCAGGTGCTGCCCTCACAAATCTATTTCACAAGGCATTGGTCAAGGGTATATCTTCTGGACCCTTTCAGCCGGGATGAGTAGGTCTAAAGTGACTAATCCACTCCACCATTCCAATCTCCCTAAGCCTTTGGATCCTTTCCTTTATATTTAACAGAGGGAGATCAGGCATTTCCAGCTCACTCACAGTGGGCCATCTTTTAATTTTATCTCAGCTAACCAAGTAAACGAGCTATTTGAACCTTTTTTAACTCCCTGAGCTGCAACATTAAATGGCTCAGTACCTGCTTCTGAAGCCAGGAGACAGAATCACTGATTTCATCATTTTCTTTCATCACTTTGTCCACTAAACTTAGGAGCACCCAACCAGCTTCATTATGTTCCTTGGTTCTCCACATATGGTCAAAGATATTATGTACAGAATCACTAAACTCCTTGCCTCTCATGAGTGATGAATCAGGAGTGACAAATGCATTTATTTTGCATAACTTTCTAAGCAGTTCATACCAATGACTGTCAGTGTTCTTCATACTATTAAAAGTAGAGTCCTTAGCATTTTGGGGTCTAATCATATTGAGCAGCCAACTCCAGAAACCCAAAAACCAATGAAAGAACTCCATCTGTATTATTCTGTTCCACTAGAACCACTCCTGGTACCAAAATCTGTATAAGTCAGAGTTCCTTAGAAGGGCAGAACTAATAGGATATATAGCCTATTAATTTATTAAGTATTAACTTACATGATCACAAGGTCCCACAATATGCTGTCTGCAAGCTTGAGGAGCAAGGAGAGCCAGTCTGAGTCTAAAAGCTGGAGAACTTTAGTCCGATGTTTGAGGGCAGGAAGCATGCAACTCACAAGAAAGATGTAGGCTGGGAAGCTAGGCCAGTCTCGCTTTTTCACTTTTTTCTGCCTTCTTTATATTGGCTTGCAGCTGATTAGATTGTGCCCACCAGATTAAGGGTGGGTCTGCCTTCCCCAGCCCAGTGACTAAAATATTAATCTCCTTTGGCAACACCCTCACAGATACACCCAGGAAGAATTCTTGCATCTTTCAATCTAATCAAGTTGACACTCAGTATTAACCATCACAGGATCTATTGTTCGAATTTCCTATAGTATGGTGCTATGGAACAGCTACTCTAATTTGGTGTTTCCTTTGGCTCAGTTACAGAGCAGAGTTTTCAGGGCTAGTGATTGTAGTTGCACCTCTTTCCTTTGTTTCTAGCTGTCCTCAGGGATGTTTCTCCCTTCAGTCCTGATGTTTCCTATGGGGTGAGGCAAACACAGATCTCCTGCCAGGGAACCCAAGATAACAGGGAATCAGGTTGTCCACCTCAACCTCACTTTTTCCAGTGCAGAAACTATGAGTTGGGGGAAAATTTTCTATGTGCTTGGTGTGTTACATTATGTAGCTAGTCAGACATGAGCAGAGCAGGAGAGGGCTCCACTGCACTCCTCCACATACACCAGGAATGTCATGCGACCACGAGGTGATAGTCAGGTGGTTGTTAACTGTATCTCTAAAATAATTGGTAACAGTCAGTGCCAGGGAAAGGAAGTCTCCCAATAAACAAAAACACCTGAAACTGGTGATCGATCAGCAACTTCCTGATAAGATCTCAGGAGTTGGGTGAGTTCACACATGTTCTCTAAGAGGCAAAATGGTGGCGTTCAACTGGTATATTACCTCCAAGGGACATTCAGCTGGTAAGGGATGAATGCCCAATGTGAGCATGCATACAACTCCAGTAAACACTCTGTGCATCCTCCTCTCTTTAGTGCTGGAAGGCCACTGTGCAGTGGACATCCCATCTCAAGGGAAGAATCAGGAGAGAAGGAACACAAGACTCTGGAAGTATGCTAGTGCATAAAAACCCCAAGTCAAAAGGTCAAACCGTGGACTTGTCTTTCAAGTCACTTGCTTGGCCCTCTTTCAAGTGTACATCCCTTCCTTTTATTCTTGCTCTAAAGTTTTGTTGTAAACTTTCACTGCTGCTCTAAAATTTGCCTCGGTCTCTTCTTCTGTCTTATGCCCCTCAGTTAAATTATTTCCTCTGAGAAGGCAAGAATTGAGATTGTTGCAGACCCATACAGATTCACTGCCGGTAACATATTTAGGTGTCATGTGACTTGGATAACTTCCACTGCTAACATACTTTGATGCTGTGTGACTCAGATACATTCCCTAGTGGTAACAGATTATTCCTCACCTTCTTTGGCTGCAGGCATTCAAACCCTGTCTATGGTTTTCTTCTCCTTTTCTCTCTGCTGCTTACTAACCAAACCCCTGAACAAGTCCTCTTGGCCATAAGTGACTCGGGTCCCCCTGGATGATCTCTCAGCTCACCCTAATGGGTGGCTTGCAGGGGTGGGAAGGAACTTGGGGGTCCACACCGAGTAGAACTGAGGCACTAATGACCCTCCTGGACAGGAAGTTTGTGAGAGTGGTAAGGCTAAATCCCAAAACCATGCAATGTTTGGGGTTTCCTCTGCTTTTTCAACTAAAATGGGCTCTTTCCCAAGAACCTGCACTGACTATTTTCCTGTTTTCTCTGTGTGTGTTCAGAAATGGCCTTGTGCACCCACTTTGAGTGCCACATGACTTCTTAAGCACACACTCCCTGTTATTTGTGTATCTGTGGCTTTTACTGCATTTGTGCAGCAGCAAAGGCATGGGCTCCCTTGTGATATTCCTAAGATTTATACTTGTTCTTACTCTACCAGCTCCGATGACCTCCAACTCTTTTCCAGTCGGCTAGTGCATTGCTGGGACAGACACTAATTGGAACCCTGGCTCTGTCAGCTTCTTATGACTTACCATACGCTTTTCATTCCTGTTATGACCCAGGGCCAAGTTTTCTGGTGGCTCTTGAAGCAGTTTGTCCACCGGCTTAGGGCCTCACTCTGGCCTTTTAAGGATCCCACCTACTTTTGAGTCATCACCCCTTTGAGAGGAAGAAAAATTCTTTCCTTGCCATTTGTGAGTTCTTACCCCAAGCCCTATTTCTCCAGAGGTTACTACTTTATGTCCAGAGGACAAATAAAACTTGCCCACTCAAATCTAAGGGCTACTGTTTTTGCGAGCATTTGAAGGCTTTCCATGACTATTACTCTTGCTTCCTCCCACTTTCTCCTTTAGCCTCCATTTCTCTAATTCTATGCCCTTCTCAAAATGCATCAAGACCTTCAAGGTCATATTCAAAGGGAGATAGAAAGGAAGTCCATTCCCCTGTGGTGATTAGATGAAAAATAGCCTTCTTGTCTACTTAAAGAACATGGTAAATGGAAATCTGAGAAAAGAGATAATCATTTTGTTACTTGAGTGCTTCAAGTGAAAGTTACCATAAGGTCATGGAGACAAGGATGTAGGCTGGCCCAAGGCCACAGGCATGAGAGACCCATAGGACAGAGATGAAGTGTGGTCCCAGGCTAACAGATTACCATTAGAACAGAGATGAAAGATTAGGGTATATGGTAAGACCAGTTCATTCTGGAACCCCACAGATGAACAGGGGGCCCACTGTTCACTCCAGTGTCTCCTTTGTTCTCAAGTGGGTAATTGTGATGAGATGGGACCAAGGGTGCAGGGTAAGAATGGTTCATTCCAATATTCTAAGGATGATGAAGGGTGCCCCATTAAGGATAATAGTAAGGTAGAGGAAAAACCTTCTTTTGCCTTTTTTATTTTTTCTCTTCCATTATTTCTTCACAGATCAGTAATCATGTCTACGTACCACAGGACATGCCCCTCGGATGCATCCCCCAAAACTGGGAAAAGTTTGATATCCCCAAACCTTAAAACAACAACAACAACAACAACAAAAAACTAGTTTTCATTTTTAATACTGTTTGGCTTAAAAAGGAACAGGGAGAAATTTACAAGTCAGCCTTGGAACCCAGTACCCCTGAGCAGGAAGTCCTCAAATAAGCCTTTTAAGTCTTTTATAACTGAGAGTAGAATAAAGAGGACAGGACTAAGAAAAAGAAGAAACACATCAAAAGGAGGCGGACTCAACTATTGGCTGCTCTGCAAGCCCACCAGCCCCTTCCAGGTTTCCCTAAGGACACTCCTTCAAATAAGTGCCATTGATGCAGGACGCCAGGCCACTGGAAGGCAAACTGCCCCATTGGGACAAATGGGAAAAAGCCTCATGTGGTGTGCCATCTCTGCCACAAGCTTAGCCACTAGAACAGGACTGCCCTGAGGGCTGATGGACCCCAGGACAGAATTCTTTCCCCTGATAACTTTGAGCAGAAGGAGCTCTCTGCTCCAGCTGGCTGTCAAATGAGACATTGTCACCAACAAGATAAAGCTGAGGGCAACTCTGGAGGTGGCAAGTAAAATTATAATTTTCCCTTTTGGGTTCAAGAGCTGCCTACTCTGTGCTAATCTCCTTCTCTGAACAATTCTCCTTCAAGTCTCGTTGGGCAATCAAAGTAAATGGCATCCCCTCCCTCCAATAGAAAAGATTCACACCCCTTTATATGACTTGAGGGACCAATTAACATTCTTTCACCAGTCTCTGGTAATATCTAAATACCTCAAACATCTTTGGGGCAAAAATATGCTTTCCAAGTGATATGGTTTGGCTGTGTCCCCACCCAAACCTCATCTTGAATTGCAGCTCCCATAATTCCCATGTGTTGTGAGAGGGACCTGTTGGGAGGTAACTGAATCATAGGGGTGGATCTTTCCCATGCCGTTATCATGATAGTGAATAAGTCTCATGAGATCTGATGATTTTATAAAGGCGACTTTCTCTGCACATGACTTCTTGTCTGCCACCATGAAAAACATGACTTTTCTCTTCCTTTGCCTTCTGCCATGATTGTGAGGCCTCCCCAGACACGCTAAGCTGTGAGTCAATTACACCTCTTTCCTTTATAAATTACCCAGTCTCAGGTATGTCTTTATTAGCAGCATGAGAACACATTAATACAGTAAACTGGTACTGGTAAAGTGGGGTGCTGCTGTAAATATACCCAAAAATGTGGAAGCAACTTTAGAACTGGATAACATAGAGAAGTTGGAACAGTTTGGAGGGCTCAGAAGATGACAGAAAAATGTGGGAAAGTTTAGGACTTCCTAGAGACTTGGAGGGCTCAGAAGACAGAAAGATGTGGGAAACTTTGGAACTTCCTAGAGACTTGCTGAATGGCTTTGACCAAAATGCTGATAGTGATATGGACAATGAAGTCCAGGCTGAGGTGGGCTCAGATGGAGTTAAGAAACTTGCTAAGAACTGGAACAAAGGTGACTCTTACTATGTTTTAGCAAAGAGACTGGCAGGATTTTGCTCCTGTCCTAGAGATCTGTGGAACTTTAAACTTGAGAGAGTTGATTTAGGATATCTGGGGGAGGAAATTTATAAATGGCAAAGTGTTCAAGAGGTAGTAGAGCATAAAAGTTTGAAAAATTTGCAGCCTGACAATACAGTAGAAAAGAAAACACATTTTCTGGGACAAAATTTAAGCCCGCTGCAGAAATTTGCATAAGTAACAAGTAGCCGAATGTTAATAACCAAGGGAATGGGGAAAATGTCTCCAGGCCATGTTAGAGACCTTCACAGAAGCCCCTCCCATCAGTCTGCTGGTTTTATGAACAGGAGTTCCCCTGCACAGGCTCTCCTGCCTGCTGCCATGTAAGATGTGACTTTGCTCCTCCTTTGTCTTTTGCCTTGATTGTGAGGCCTTCTCAGGTCCAGAGGCCTGGGAGGAAAAAATGGTTTTCTGAGCCAGACTCAGGGCTCCCTTGCTGTGTGCAGTCTAGGGAGTTGGTGCCCTGCATCCTAGCCCCTCCAGCCATGACTATTGGCTAAAAGGGGCCAAGGTACAGCTCAAGCCATAGCTTCAGAGGGTGCAAGCCCCAAGTCTTGGCAGCTTCCATGTGGTATTGAGTCTGTGGGTACACAGAAGTCAAGAATTAAGGTTTGGGAACCTCTGCCTAGATTTCAGAGGATGTATGGAAATGCCTGGATGTCCAGGCAGAAGTTTGCTTCAGGGGCAGGGCCCTCATGGAGAGCATCTGCTAGGTGCAGTGCAGAAGAAAAATCAGGTTGTGAGCCCCCACACAGAGCCCCCAGTGGGGCACTGCCTAGTGGAGCTGTGAGAAGAGGGCCACCATCCTCCAGACCCCAGTATGGTAGATCTACTAATAGCCTGCATCACGCACCAGAAAAAGCCACTGACACTCAACGCCAGTCATGAAAACAGCCAGAGTACAGCCCCCATCCTCTGAGATCCATGCAGAACCATAAAACCCTGAACCATAAAAACAAAAACAAAATAATGAAGTTTTCCTCTCTTCTTGTTTTATGTCCTTAGGAGCTTGACCTTGTAACCGTGTTCAGAAACTTTGTCTTGGTCATCTCCACCATCTGGAGGACAGGATTTTTGGAATTCGTGTCATAGTTAGCTCACAAAATTATCTTGAGCAAGTTAAAAGCCATTTCAAGCTCAAAATTCACTGCTCTAGCCTCCTTCTGGGAAGAGAAATGGAAACTGCCCAATGCTGCAGTTTAGTAGCTAAGGCTTTGTCTTTTTCCAATGGCAGCATGGGTTCAGAGTTAAATTCCTGGCTTAGGGAATCAGTGCTTTCTGCTTGATATCTGTGTGACCTTTGCCATTTATTGATTCTCTGCTCCTCCATGAACAATATCTGACTTTCCTTCTTAAATTTTTCTTTCTCTAAGCTACTTTGGAGATTCTAGATCCTGTAAAAACTGCTAGCCACCTTATTGAAAATACCCTGTACACTTGTGGTTAAATCATAACCTTAGTTAAGGCTTATTGATTTCGCCTGTGAGGTTACTTTTTGTAAAGTTTAAAAGCCAGAAATATTGGATGTATGGTCTACCTAAAGCAGGGTAATAAGATATTTAAAAGAATTTATTTAAAAGCATGCTATGATTAAAATTCAACTTTTATTAAAAGCAGATATCTAAACCATGCATATATTTAAAAGGTCTTTATATTTTTTTTCTCTTCTTGGATTGTGTTTTCCTGTAGTAAAGGGTTTTTTTTCTTCTCAATCAGCTGAATTGTTTTTCTCCATTTGTCTTCTTGCCACTCTTGATGCACAAATGAAAGGATCTAAGATAGTTTCTAACAGCCTGGGACATCTTGGGAAAAACGGAGAAAGTGAGACAAACCTCATTTTGGGAAAAACTTCTGTTTTCCTCAGAAAGCCACAGGAATTGAAAGCAGATACATTTCTCTCAAAATCTAAGGCTCTGTTCTGTTTTGCATTGCATTATCTGATGTTTATGACTTTTGTGGATATCAGAAATTACTTCACGTTATGAGAGCGCTTTAGTGTATAATCACTAGGTAGGAAATATACTTTTAGGGGTGACTACTTGCAGTTAAGGTGGGATATGCATCTCTTTACACGTTTGGATCAGAGACGCATGCTCTTGCCCACATAGAAGATATGGCGATCTCCTCACTCCCCACTGAGAGGTAAGACTCCCATGGGAGATGGACTGATTCCTTCCTTATATGGAATCCAGGATCTGGTATAAAAATGGGACCCTTAATTTTCAGGGATCTGTTTTGCCTTCCAGATGTGCCTGCCTGCTTATTAGGCCCTAGAACCTGCATGCTTTTCTGGCCCTGTTTCTCAAAGGGCTCCACCCTGTAGCCAGTAATCCAAATAAGAAACTTAAAATTAACAAATGAAAAATCTTACAACTACTGAATCTTCTGCCTCTCTGTGTATTTATATGTGTTGCGTGTGTGATGGTTATATATGAGAGAGCTCTGAATGATTGGCTTAAAAATAATAAGAGCTTAAATCAAATATTTTTTCAGAAAAATAAAAACTGTAATGCATTTTGTTTCATGTTACTTAAGTAATCTTTAATAAATAAAGACAGTTTTAAAGATTATTGGTAAAATAAAAAATCTTCAGAAATTTAAACATTTGGTCTAAATTAGGCAGGTAAGACATCCAGTTTTCTAAATGCTTTAAGGTCATAATCTGCTTCTGTGACTATTGAAAATTGTTCAACTTACCTGTTTGGGAACCATTTGATTTTAGGTAATGCCTGGGCACGTGTGGAGTTATCCATTCCCTCTGGCTACACAGGAAAGGGTCAGAGCTCATCTGCACTTCTGTCTAGTGTCCCAGGCTTTATACTTAATAATTAAAATCACTTACTTGCCAGGTTTTTCACCAAAAATAAAAGTTGCTAAGAGTTAACATTGTAACATGTAGTTGAGAGTACTGAAGAAACAGTGTTACGCACAAGGTGTGTTGGAAAGTAAAATGCGTTTTTAGTAAAAGATTATAAGAAGGCATGGAAATGTGGATTTTTTTTGCCTAGATTAAAGGGTTAAGGCTTGTTTTAAGTTAGATAGGAAAGATCTCAAGGTTTGCACAAGTTGTGAAAGGTTTGTAAAAAATTAATCTTGTAAAAGAAATTCTGTGTGTGAACATATTGGCTAAAGTTAAAAGGGTATTATTCAGTTTTCCAGTAAATTGAATATTAGACTAAAACCATGACAGGTTTTTCTTAGAGAATTTTTCTGCTTTTTAACAAAAACATGGTAAAGGGTTATGAAAAGCTTATGAGAATCTTAACTTATGGTCAGACTGAATAAAAGTGTATAGATTTCTCTATGAGGTTTTATTAACAAATGGGTTTGACATCAATAGTACACTAATGCAAAGGTAATACCTGGATTTCTTTCACCTGTATTTGTATAAATGTATTATTGGTATGTGTCCTAAAGTTATGCAAAACTCCTATAATTCTGATATGACTTAGTATATGTTATCAGTAATAATTATTGTTATATAAGATTATTATGTGCCACAGAAATAACAAATTTCCTTGTCAATTGTGTCTTTGACTGTGGCTGCCCTTAGACATTTTGTTATCCACAGACAATTGTTTTGTTTTAATTTTATAATCAGCTGTAGGCTTAAATGCAGGTTTCTGATAACTTTGGAGATTGTGACATTAAAATAGAAGAAAAGCTTTCAGGACTATCATGGAGAGCTGAAATGTTCATGAATATCAATCAGAACAGGAGTGAACTGCATGGAGTAAATGTTCTAGAAGAATTAAATAATCCTTTTGTGATTTTTTTCCTTAAAAAGTTGCAAATCCTTTGTTTTTCAAAGCCAAGAAGACTTTTCTTTTGAGCTATTTATAGCTTTTAACAATTGAGTAAAGTATACTCCTATAAAAAATTTTGGAGCATATTTCTACCAGATTTCTCCAAAATTTGGAAGCCATTTGTGAGTATTCTTAACATATGGCAATTTAGTTATTTGCATAAGTGCAATAAGAATCTGTCTTCTTTTACAACAGACACAATTGGAGAAACTTGGTTATTTTAGCAAGGCTTTGACTGGAGTGATGTGCTTTGATTCCTTTTTAAGGAATCGAATGTGACTTACACAGCCAATGAAAGCCCCTTGGGAAAACTCACCTTACACTTTGTCTAAACAGTCCCTGTACAGGGTTCCTGACATGTGGTAAGTAGAGTGTCACTTTCTAACAGGCCCAGGAGCCCTAAGTTTTCTTGGGACCTCAAGAGGGGGGAGATTTACCCAAGTTATACAGGTATTTGATGGCATAAACTCATGAGTGGGCTTAAGGCTTTAAAAAGAGTCTTATCTGAGATTCCTTATCAAATAAAGTTCCCTCAAAGCCAATTTAAAAAGAGCCTATATGGTAAATAATTATTCTTGCTGTGCTTTATCCAAATAATGAGATCATGTATAATAAGACTAAAGCTTATTTTGCAAACAAATCAGTCTTATCATAATTTGTTTTTAATAAAATTGAGGATTGGAGAGAGAAAAATTATGTTTCAAGAACTATGGTACACCTATTATTATATTCTAGTCCCATCAGTTGTTCTTGAATCTTTGTCTGAAATTTAGACTAACCTTGCTTATTCCTCCTAACCAAACAGTGATCTCTGGCTACAGCTCAGAAGAAACAAAAGGGATGGGTAATGTAAAGTTCTAGATCAATATTCTAATTCTGGAGGTATATTGGAATTGACTAGCAACCTCATAAACCCCAAGTTCTAGTAGGCATGACTATAACCACCAACTACCTAGGCATGTTGGCAGCCTCAGGAAATTTTGGAGTCATCCTCACCCCCTTATTTTGTTTTAACATTCTTCTGCTTTTTTTTTTTCTTGAGACAGAGTCTTGCTTTGTCCCCCCAGGCTGGAATGTAGCAGCACAATATTGGCTCATTGCCACCTCCTCTTCCCAGGTTCAAGTGATTCTCCCACTTTAGCCTCCTGGATAGCTGAAACTATAAGCATGCACCACCATGCCTGGCTCACTTTTGTGTTTTTGGTAGAGACAGGGTTTTGCTATGTTGGCCAGGCTGATCTCAAACTCCTGGCCTTAAGTGATATGCTTGCTTCAGCCTCCCAAAGTGCTAGGACTACAGGCATAAGCCATGCCCAGCCTTGTTTTAACATTCTTCTAAATCTAATAACTCATTTTGTCCCCTCTCACCTTCAGGCCTTCAAGCTCCAGATAATCCTCAGTGAGGTATACTGTCCGCTCAATATCCAAGAGTCACCCTTCTACAAGGGACCTCTAGACTGCCCATAAGTGAGACATGACAGAGGTAAAGTCATGCTCCTGTCTCCCTTGGACCTGGCTGGAAACTGCATTCATCAACCCATGGAACCACCCCCCTGCCATGAAAGCTAGCAAGAGGCCAAGACCCACAGAACAACCACCATCATCCCTCTGTCAGCAGGAAGCGGTTACAAAAGACTAACCTTTGCCCATTTTCCCCAAAGAATTGGGGTCTTGGAATCTTGAGGGAGGAAATGTTACAGTAGGTAGCTAGTCAGACATGAGCAGAGCAGAAGAGGGCTTACACACACACACACACACACACACACACACACCCCACACACAAAGAATCCTGGGCAACCATCAGGCGATTGTAAGGTGGTTGTTAACTGTGTCTCTAAAATAACGATTGGTCACAACCAGTGCAATGGAAAGGCAGTCTCTCAATAAACAGAAACACCTGGAGCTGATGATCAGCAGCTTCCTGATCAGGTCTCAGAAGTTTGGCAAGCTGGCCTACACATGCGCACTAAGAGGCAAAATGGCACAGTTTAACTGGTATATGACTTCCAATGGACATTCAGCATGTAAGGGAAAAATGCCTCAAGTAAGCATGCATACAACTCCACTAAACACACTGTGCATGCTCCCCTCTCAAGTGCTGGCAGGCCAGTGCACATGGGGACAGCCCACCCCAAAGAAAGTCTCAAGGGTGTAGGGATGCAAGACCCCGGGAATATGCCAATGTATTAAACCCTAAGTCAAAAGGTCAAATCATGCACTTGTCTTTCAAGTCACCCACTTGACCCTCTTCCAAGTGTACTTTCCTTCCTTTTGTTACTACTCTAAAGCTTTTTAATAAATTTTCACTTTTTGAATTCTTGTCTGCAACTTAGACTAACCTTGCTTGTTTCTCTGAACCAACCAGTGATCTCTGGCTCGACTCAGAAGCAACAAATAGATGGGTAATGTAAAAATATGGATTAATATTCTAATTCTGGGGGTACAAATCTAAAATTTGCTTCAGTCTCTCCTTCTACCTATGCCCCTCAGTTAAATTCTTTCTTCTGAGGAGGCTAGAATTGAGGTTGCTGCAGACCTGTACCGATTCACCACCAGTAGCAGGTACTAGAAAGATTAAGGAGAGGAACATTCTGGTTATGAAGGTCCAATTCTCTTACCATATGTTCCAAGTTGTTTTTTTGTTTTGTTTTGTTTTAATTCTCTGTAGTCCTGGGAACTGCCTCACTCTCATATTTGAGTTCTGGGATATTGTTGGTGATAGTCTCTGCAGTGTATATTGGTTTTTATATTTTGTGGAGGGGGAGTGAAGCCAGTTTGCTTCTATGCTGCCATTTTGAAACCCTGCCACAAGTCATTTATTCCTGTTGTTGGAAAATATTCCATTGATTAGGTGTAATACCATTTGTTTATCCATTCACCTATTGGGAAAGATCTTATTTGCTTCAAGTTTTGGCAATTGTAAATAAAACTGCTATAAATCTGTGCAGGTTTTTGTGCAGATAGAAGTTTTCATCTCATTTGTGTAAATGCCATAGAGTGCAGTTGCTGGATTGTATGGTTAGTAAATTAGTCTATTTTTATGCTGCTGATAAAGACATACAAGAGACTGGCTAACTTATAAAGAAGCAGAGGTTTAATGGACTCACAGTTCCGTGTGGCTGGGGAGGCCTCACAACCATGGTGGAAAGGGAAAGACATGTCTTATATGGCTGCGGGCAAAAGAGAATGAGAGCCAATGAAAGGGGTTTCCCCCTATAAAACCATCAGATCTCATAAGACTTATTCACTACCTCGAGAACAGTATGGGGGAAACTACCCCCATCATTCAATTATCTCCCACTGGGCCCCTCCACAACATGTGGAAATTATGAGAGCTACAATTCAAGATGAGATTTGGTGGGGACACAGCCAATCATATTAGTAAGAATATGCTTACTTCTGTAAAAAGCTGCCAAACTCTCTTCTAAATTGGCTGTAACTGTTTGCATTTTCATTAGTAATGAATGAGAGTTTCTGTTGTTCCACATCCTCTCCAGCATTTGGTGTAAGCATTTAGAATTTTAGACATTCTACTAGGTGTATCATGGTATCTCCTCGTTGTTTTAATTTATAATTTCCTGATGACAAATGATGTTGAGCATATTTTATATCATATATATGTACACACACACACATTCTTTGGTCAGATGTCTGTTCAGGTTTTCAGCCCATATTTTAATTGGGTTGTTGCTTTGTTCAGTTTAAAGAGTTATTCATACATTTTAGAGCTCAGTCCTTTATCAGATATGTATTTTGCAAAGATTTTCTTCCAATCTGTGGCTTGTATTTTCATTCTCCCAACAGTGTCTTTCACAGAGCAGAAGTTTTTATTTTTAATAAAGTACACCTAATCAATATTTTCTTTCATGTATTGTGCTTCTGGTGTTGCATCTAGAAAGTCATCACCAAACCTAAGGTCACCTAGACTTTCTCCCATAGTATCTTCTATTAGTTTTATAGTTTTTAGCTTTAAATTTAGGTTTATGATTCATTTTAAATTAATTATTTTTGAAATGTTTAAGATCTGTGTATAGAATCTTTTTTGCATATGAATATCCAGTTGTTCCAGCACCATTTGTTGAGGATTGCTTTTTCTTCCTGGAATTATCATTGCTCCTTTGTCACAGAGCAGTTGACTGTGTGGATCTACACACAAATTTAAGCCAACAGCTGTTGCAGTTCTATGTTTATAATAATGTTTAAATTTTGAATCCAACTATTAATATGAATTTTAAGCCACTTCTCTGTCTCTTTTGATTTGAATGTGGAGGGTGTCATTTACTTCAGAAGGTATGTAAAAGAGATGTGCAACTTAGAAAAATCAAAATAAATTTTAGCATAAATATTCAACACAGAATGGAAACAGAATTTTACTCATGTAGCTAAATATGGAGCCCCTATCTGACTATATTAGAATATATAATTGTTAACATTATTTGCCAAGTCAAAAATAAAGACATTTGGGAAATTTTTCCTTTAAGTGCATTATTTGTATTAAAATAAAGTGATTGATATGCATGGTGTGAAATTTATGTTAATTAGTATGAGGCTAATGATTGAAATTTTAATACTATTAAATGTTTTTTCAGAATATAAACATTTAACAAATCAATAAAGCATAATTATTGCAGTAAGAGAGTTCACTTCTAGATCTGACCATTATCACCTTTATAACCCCATCTTTTGAGTATAAACAAGAGCTAATAAAAATGAAAATAGAATGATAAGAGAGGGAACAATTTGACTGAGATCTTCTGACTTTATACTAGATCATACTGAATGGGAGATAAGCAATTTTTCTTAAGTTCTTTTATAATCATTTTTAAAAATATTTTATTTTCAATAAGATCTTGTTCTCATGAACTTATAATTCATAGTTTCATTATTATGATTGCAAAATGTTGCAACCAAAACTTGATGAGACATTTTGGAAGCCACCCTCATCCCCTTTTTCTGGTTAGAGCATAACAAGAGACGGTAGGTTGACATTTATTAGAAACTATGTGCATAGTTCCATTCTTTCCACCTTTTCTCCTTTCTTTGTAATTCTTAAAGCTTACCTGTGAAATTTTATTGTTAGTGAACTTAGAAATGCCATCATGTCTTTCTGGTTTAATGTCAAAAAATACACTGAATGCTAGAGCAAAGCTTGTCAGACTATTTGCCACCCACAAGGAAGGGGAGTAAAACTTTTCATCAAGGGTTTCAGGGTAACTTCACTTGTTCATTGTAGTTTACCCCATCCCCTTTCTGTAGTTGGCTCTGTCACGTGTCTCTGTTTCATGTCATAGTATACATTTATTCTCTGTAATTTACAGAGCCAAAATATATTAGTATTATTGGGAAGAAAACCAGGCTTCACTACAGATGAGGTGAGGCATTAGGTAAATGTTCTGTGCCTATTTCCTTATATTCTATGCCTATTTCCTTATGTTCTAATAACTGTGTAATAATAATGGACTGGCCCATGAGAAAATAGCTAACGTGTTTCTACTGCATGCAACTCTGCACTCCTGACCTCAGGGAAATGTGAGAAACTCATTTCAAGGGGTTAAGATTGCAGGAAAGGTGAAAGCAAAAACACAAATGGAGTAAACTCAGGCTCCAGTTTCACATACATTGAGATCTGCTGGATAATTGGATTTAAACCATTTTGTCGAAGAATGCTAATTTATATATATATATAATATAATATATATTTATATATGTGAATATGGATATATAAGGATTTCATAATTTTCATAATTTTAGAAGATCCTCTGTTCATTTTTCTCTGAGTAGTAACATGGAGGAAAGTGCTTGACATTAATATGAAAAGGTCTTAACCCTATAATGAAAAAATATTTTTGTGTATAGAAGGCCACTTAAGGTTGCTGCCTCTAGAGTGAAAATACTGTAGATAAACTTTGCCTATTGGAATTTATCCTTGGAGATTTTCAATATGGATATTTCCCATCCCTGTGTGCAACATCCTCTTTATGGGAGAATAGCTTTGTACTTTCTGCAGTTTGTTAGCTTCAGCAGTGGTCATGATGTAACTAGACACCTGTGCAATTACATTGCTTTTCCAAACTTTTTTAAACCTATTCATATAGCATAGGTGAGAAGAAAAATACTATTAAAGATAGTTTAACATGTTCTCATGTACCTCATCTATATTATACATTAGCTTTTGTTTTTGAACTGGAAGGCACGTTAGAAATTGTTAATGCCCTAGTTACATTGAATTACCATAGTAAGCATTGACTGTTGTTTTGGATTCTAGAAACTAGGACCAGTTTTAGTGCTTTACTCTTTGAGGTTAGTCACTCATTTAATCTAACCAGTAGTCACTCTCAACCAAAGCTGTGGTTTCTCCAGAGTGGAACTGTGACTTAACAGTCAGCTCTCAGTTTGCCCAGTAATATACATCACCAAAGCCAAATAAGCCATGTTGTTATTTTTTTAACTTTTATTTTAGGTTCAGGAGTACATGTGTAGGTTTGTTATATGGGTAAATGGCATGCCATGGAAGTATGGTGTACAAATTATTTCATCACTAAGGTAATAAGCATAGCACCCACAGATAAATAGTTTTTTGATCCTCACCCTCCTCCCGCTCTCCACACTCAAGTAGGCTCTGGGGTCTGTTGTTCCCTTCTTCATGTTCATGTGTACTCAAAGTTTAGCTCCCACTTATAGGTGAGAACAAGTGGCATTTGGTTTTTTCTTCCTGCATTAGTTCACTTAGGATAATGGCCTCTAGCTCCATTCATGGTCCTGCAAAGGACATGATCTTGTTGTTGTTGTTGTTGTTTTAATGGCTACATAGTATTTCATGGTGTATATATACTATATTTTCTTATCCAATCTACTATTAATGTTCATTTAAATTGATTCCATGTCATTGCTATTGTTAATACTGCTGCAATGAACATACATGTGCATATGTTTTTATGGTAGAAAAACTTATATTCCTTTAAGTATGTACCCAATCATGGGATTGCAGGGTTGAATGGTACTTTCATTTTAACTACTTTCCATAATGGCTGAACTAACTTACATTCCAACCAGGAGTGTATAAGACTTCATTTATCTCTGCAACCTTACCTTACCGGCATCTGTTATTTTTATTTATTTATTTATTTTTTTGAGACGGAGTCTTGCTCTGTCTCCCAGGCTGGATTGCAGTGGCACTATCTTGGCTCACTGCAACCTCCACTCCCAGGTTCAAGCAATTCTCCTGCCTCAGCCTCCCAAGTAGCTGTGATTACAGGTGCCTGCCACCATGCCTGGCTAATTTTTTGTATTTTTAGTAGAGATGGGGTTTCACTATGTTGGCCAGGGTGGTCTCAAACTCCTGACCTTGTGATCCACCTGCCTTGGCCTCCCAAAGTGCAGGGATTACAGGCAAGAGCCACCACACTTGGCCAGCATCTATTATTTATAGACACTTTAATAATAGCCATTCTGACTGCTGTGAGATGGTATCTCACTATGGTTTTGATTTGCATTTCTCTAATGATTAGTGATGTTGGAATTTTTTCATATGCTTGTTGGCCATGTGTATGTCTTCTTTTGGGAATTTTCTGTTCATGTTATTTGCCCACTTTTTAATGGCATTGTTTGGTTTTTGCTTGTTAATTTATTTAAGTTTCTTATAGATTCTGGATATTAGACCTTTATGGGATGCATAGTCTGCAATATTATCTCCTATACTTCAGATTGTCTAGTTAATCTGTTGATAGTTTCTGTTGCTGTGCAGAAGCTCTTTAGTTTAATTAGATCCTATTTCTGAATTTTTGTTTCTGTTGCAATCACTTTTGGCATTTTTCAACATGAAATCTTTGCCAGAATGCCTATGTTCAGAATGGCATTTCCTAGGTTATCTTTCATGATTTTCATAGTTAGAGTTTTTACATTTAAGTCTTTAATCCATCTTGAGTTGATTTTTATATATGATGTAGGGAAAGGGTCTAGTTTCAATCTTATGCATATGGCTAGCCAGTAATGCCAGCGCCATTTATTTAGTATGCAGTCCTTTGCCTATTGATTGTTTTTCTCAGCTTTGTTGAAGATCAGATGGTTGTAATTGTGCAAGTATATTCCTAGGCTCTTTACTGTGTTCCACCGGTCTATGTGTCTGTTTTTGTACCAGAACCATGCTGTTTTGGTTACTGTAGCTTTGCAGTATAGCTTGAAGTCAGATAGTGTGATGTCTTTGGCTTTGTTCTTTTTGCTTAGGATTGCTTTGACTATTCTTGCTTTTTTTTTTTTTTTGAGGGGGATTTCCATATAAATGTTAAATTTTTTTTCTAATTCTGTGAAGAATGACATTGGTGGTTTGATAGAGAATTGAATCTGTAAATTGCCATGTGTAGTATAGCCATTTTAACATTGAGTCTTCCTATCCACGAGCATGGAATGTTCTTCCATTTGTTTGTGTCATCTCTGATTTCTTTGAGCAACTTTTTATCATTCTCATTGTAGAGATCTTTACCTTCCTAGTTAGCTGTACGCCTAGGTATTTCTGTTTTGTTCCTGTTGTGAATGAAATCACCTTCTTGAATTGGCTCTCAGCTTAGACATTGTTGATATATAGAAAAGCTACTAATTTTTGTACATTGATTTTGTATCCTGATACTTTGCTGAAGTTGTTTACCAGATCCAGGAGCTTTTGAGTATAGACTCTGGGATTTTCTACATAAAAATCATATTGTCTGCAAACAGAGATAGTTTGTCTTTCCCTCTTTTTATTTGGATGCCTTTAATTTTTTTCTCTTGCCTGATGACTCTGGCTAGCACTTCCAGCACTATGTTGAATGGCAGTGGTGAGAGAGGGAATCTTTGTCTTGTTCTGGTCCTCAAAAGTAATGCTTCTGGCTTTTGCCAATTTATTATGACATTGGCTGTGGGTTTTTCATAGATGGTTCTTATTATGTTCAGGTTTGTTCCTTTAACACCTAGTTTCTTGAGGGATTTTTAACATGAAGAAATATTAAATCTTATTGAAAGCCTTTCCTGCATCTATTGAGATGATCATGTGGTTCTTGTTTTTAGTTTTGTTTATGTGATGAATCACATTTATTGGTTTGTGTATATTGAACCAACCTTGCATCCCAGGGATAAAGCCTACTTGGTGGTAGATTAGTTTTTTGATATGCTGCTGAATTTGGTTTAATAGTATTTTTTTGAGTATTTTTGCATCTATGTTTATCAAGGATATTTGTCTGAAGTTTGCTTTTTGTGTTGTGTTTCTGGCAGGTTTTGGTATCAGAATGACACTAGTCTCATAGAGTGAGTTAGGTAGGAGTCCCTCCTCAACAATTTTTTGGAATAGTTTCAGTAGAAATGGTACTAGCTCTTCTTTACATATCTGGTAGAATTCAGCTGTGAATCTGTATTGTCCTGGGTTTTTTTCTGTTTGTTAGGGTTTTATTATTGATTAAATTTCAAACTCATTGTTGGTCTGTTCAGGGATTCAATTTGTTCCTGGTTCAATCTTTGGAAGTTGTATGTTTCCAGGGATTTATCCAATTTTTTTCTGGGTTTTCTAGCTTGTGTGCATAGAGGTGTTCATGCTAGTCTCTGAGGGTTTTTTGTATTTCTGTGGAGTTGGTGATAATGACTTCTTTGACATTTCTCATAGTGTTTATTTGCATCTTCTTTTTTTTTCTTTATAAGTCTAGTTAGTGGTCTATGAGTCTAATTTATTCTTTCAAATAACAAAGTCCTTGATATGGTTTGGCTCTGTGTACTCACCCAAATCTCACCTTGAATTGTAATAATCCCCATGTGTTGTGAGAAGGAACTGGTGGGAGGTAACTGAATTATGGGGGCAGTTTCCCCCATACTGTTCTCGTATGTGAGTGAGTCCTCATGAGATCTGACGGTTTTATAAGCATCTTGCCTTTCCCCTGCTAGCATTCATTGTTTCTCCTGCCACCCTTTAAAGAGGTACCTTCCACCATGATTGTAAGTTTCATGAGGGCTCCCAAGCCATGTGGAACTGTGAGTCAATTGAACTTCTTTTCTTTATAAATTATCCAGTCTTGGGTATTTATTTATAACAGCATGAGAACAAACTAATACAGTCCTTAATTTATTGATCTTTTGTATATTTTTCTTTTCATCTCATCTTTCACTTCAGCTATGATTTGGATTATTTCTTTCTTTCTTTTTTGTTTTTGCTAGTTTTTGGGTTAATTTATTCTTGTTTCTCTAGTCCCTCTAGATGCTAAGTTGTTGATTTGAAATCTCTTTAAGTTTTTGATGTGGGCCTTTAGCACTACAAATTTCCCTCTTAACAATTGTTTAAATGTGTCTTAGAGATTTTCCTATGTTGTATCTTTGTTCTCATTAATTCCAAAGAATTTCTTGATTTTTCCCTTAATCTCATTGTTTACCTAAAAGTCATTCCAAGACAGCTTGTTTAATTTTAATATAGTTTTATGGCTTTATGTTATTTTCTCAGTATTTTTTTGTATTTTTATTGCACTGTTGTCTGAGAGTGTGGTTGGTATGATTGCAGTTTTTTATTTGCTAAGAATTGTTTTATGGCCAACCATGATGTTGATTTTAGAGTATGTATCACTTGTAGATGAGAAGAATGCATATTATGTTGTCGTTGGGTGGAGTGTTCTGTAGATGGTATTAGGTCTATTTGATCAAGTGTTAAGTTCAGATCCTGAATGTTTTTGTTAGATTTCTGCCTGAATGATTTGCCCAATACTGTCAGTGGGGTGCTGAGGTCTCACAGCATTATTGTGTGGTTATCTGGGTCTCTTTGGATCTAGGTCTTTGGATCTCGGTCTCTAAGAACTTGTTTCATGAATATGGGTGCTGCTTTGTTGAGGGCATATATATTTAAGGTAGTTAGGTCTTGTGGAGTTGAACACTTTACCATTATTTAATGTCCTTCTTTGTCTTTTTTTGATTGTTGTTTTTTTAAAGTCTGTTTTTCTTTTCTGAAATTAGAATAACAACCCCTGCTTTTTTTCTGTTTTCCCTTTGCTTAGTAGATTTTTCTCTATCCCTTTACTTTGAGCCTATTGCTGGCAATGCATGTGATATTGATCTCCTGAAAACAGCATACAGTTGAGTATCGTTTCTTTAACTTACTTTAACTGTGGCTTTTAAGTGGAGAGATTATCCCCTTTATGTTTATGGCTAATATTGATATGTGCAAATTTGATCCTGTCATTGTGTTGTTAGCTGGTTGTCAAGTAGACTTGATTATGTAGTTGCTTTATAGCGTCAATGGTATATGTACTTAACTGTTTCCTTGTGGTGGCCCGTAGTGGTCTTTCATTGTCATGTTTAGCACCCCCTTAAGAATCTCTTGAAAGATAAATCTGGTGATAACACATTCCCTTAGCATTTGCATGTGTGAAAAAGATTTTATTTCTCATTTTCTTATGAAGTTAGTTTGGCTGAATATGAATTTCTTGGTTGGAAATTCTTTTCTTTTAGGGTGTTGTATATAGGCCACCAATCTCTTCTGGCTTGTAGAATTTCTGCTGAATTGTCCACTGTTAGCCTAATAAGGTTTCCTTTGTAGGTGACCTACCCTTTCTCTGTAGCAGCATTTAACATTTTTTCTTTCATTTTGACCTTAGGGAATCTGAAGATTATGTGTCTTTGGGATGGTCATCTTTTATAATATTTTGCAGGGCTTCTCCACATTTCCTGAATTTGAATGTTGGCCTGTCTAGCAAGGTTGGGGAAATTTTCATGGATGATATCCTCAAATATGCTTTCCAGGCTGCTTGTTTTCTCTTCCTCTCTTTCAGGATGATAAAGATGATGCCAATAAGTCATAAATTTAGTCTCTACATAATTCCATATCTCTCAGAGTGTTCATGTAATCTGCTTTTTCTTTTTTCTTTGTTTTTGTCTGATTGAGTAATTTCCTGTCTTCAAGCACTTAGATTTTTTCCTCAGCTTTGTTTATTCTACTGTTATACATGTGATTGTATTAAAAATTCTTGAACTGAGATTTTCATCTCTATCAGATTAGTTTGGTTGGTTCTTTCTTAAAATGATCCTTATGTCTTTCAGTTCCTGTATTATTTTCTTGTGTTCTTTAGAATCCCTGAATTGGGTTTCAACTTTCTCTGAATCTCAATGATCTTTATTCCTATCTATTCTGAATTTTATTTCTGTCATTTCACCCATTTCAGCCTGATTAAAAACAATTGCTGGGGAGCTAATGTAGTTCCTTGGAGATAATAATACACTCTGGTCTTTGAGTTGCCAGAGTTCTTGTATTGATTTTTTATCATATGTGTGGGCTGATGTTCCTTCGGTCTTTGAAGTTGTCGTCCTTTGGATGGGTGTTTTTTGTTTGTTTGTTTTTTCTGGTTTGTTTTGTTTGCTTTTTTTTCTTTGATGGACTTGGGGGTTTGATTGTGGTATACCATGGGTTAAGTCAACTGGCTTAATTTCTGGAAGATTTTGGGAGGCCAAGTCTCAGCTCAGCACTCCTGGGTTGTGTGCTCTAACTCTGCAGACTGGTATTGAGCCCCCAGCTTTGTTTTCTGATCCCTTGAGGTTAGAAACCTGCTGTACTGGAGGTGCTAAGTTGTTCTCAGTCTGCTGGCCACAAAACTCCAATGCATGGTGCTGTGCAAAGTGATTTTTCAGGGTGGTGGCTGTGGGATTTATGCTCACTCACACATGCCAGTAGCCACAGCAGTGCAGACATGTCAGCTGGGGTGGGGTATCCGCAGGAGCAGGGCTACATGTGTTTGCTTCACTGGTGGTGGTTGTGGCATAGGAGGGATCCCCATGTCATTCTTGATTCTGGCTTTGCAAGTTTGGAAAAAGGGTATTTTTAATTTTCTTTGATTCTTCAAATATTGTAGCATATATACAATTAGAGTTATCAGAGTTTTAACATGTAAAAGATACATGCTGTTTATGTTCAGAAGACAGAGAGGCTGGCATTTATCCTAGGACTAAAATAAGAAAGTTGGAAGGGACCATAGGGATCTCCTGGCCTTGGAACTGACCTCTGATTGTTCTGAGCTCATACTGTCTTTGAAACCTAAACATATTCTTCTTCTGAACATTTTAAGAGTTAGAGAGTTTTGATTTTTGTCTACAAAATAAACATTGGGTTAGTCATACTTGGAAATTATAGCTCAAACTTTAGGACTTAGACCAGGTTTAGTGGAATTTGCATTATTGCATAATTGGCCAAAATATTTTGCTTGGGTGAATACATGTCTGAATGAATAATAATGGCATCAATGGAAATGTGGAATCAGTTAACATTTTTTTTTTTTTTTTTTTTTTTTGCTTTTCAGGTAACTTTTCAGACATGAATTGGAATAAGATAAGGCCAACTTGCTCAACTACATTCCTTACTAAAACATAATAACTAAAAGCTACAGTGTGCATTTCATGTTTCACATGTTCTGTTGCAGTGCCAAGACTAGGTTTAAGCAATTCAGCTGCACAGTTACCAACCACTTCTTCTTGGAAGATTTACCTACAATCTAACTGATATACTTAACAAAATTATATTTTTAATATTGATTGTACAATTTTTTACTCCTTAATTGTATCTGACAGCTTCTTATACTTTAAACTTGATCAACAGTAAATTGTGAAGAGAGTAACTATACACCACATGGCTTGACAATATCCAAACATCATTCTTGTTCTACAAAAGTTACAAATGGTGAGTTGCAAACCAATGTCTTAATAACATTTTATTTTAAAACATGTGTGTTTACCTTCATGTGTTTCAAGAAAGTAGCATGATCTTGAAGAATGAATAATGATTTTGGAGCAGGTGCACTAGAGTTTGTCCTGTGCCTACTAGCTCTGTAACTTAGACAATATGCTTAATCTCTCTGAATATCATTTTCCTTATTATGAAAAGGTATATTTAAGAATATCAACCTTTAAGAAATGCTGTTAAGTTTTAATTAAATTGATATAAAAGAGGCAGTATAGAACATGGTGAAACTAGCCCTTCAGTAGATGTTACTTTTCTCTCACATATTTTTTATTTACTAGAAACATAAACATTTCAAGTATATTCTAAGTCATTGACTTTAAAATTGACTGTGTAATGCCAACAAGCCTTCAAAGTATGCCTAAAACTTATTTCTCTAACCCCTATTTCTAACAAAGCCTGCAAAATTACAATATAGTATACTTTAAATCCGTGATCAACTCTATTTGAGCATGATTAATGTCACATATTATTCAATTTCCTGAAAATATGACACCCTGTATAATTTATACTATAACCTTCCCTACATAAGGCTCTCAATTTCATAATAGGGACTAGCATAGATGAGAATATTTGTTTTCTGAAGCAAACAAAGCTTGCTTTTCTATGTGAGCTAAAGTTTCTCCTTTCTGATTGAGAACAGGGAACACATGTTATAGTTACCAGTAGAACCGGTATAGTTCGACAGATTTTACATATGGCTAAAATTACTTATGCTAAATAGCTGAAATAAATACAAAATGCCCCAGGAAGGGAATGTGAAGATTAAATACCATCAAGGATTAGAAAGATCACTACAAATCTTAGCCTTAGTTAGGTAGACGCAAAGTAGGGTTCCTAGAGGGCATAGAGTACTAACTGAAATGAATAACATCATGCCATTCTGTAACCTGAAGAGAACTAAAAATCAAACCCCAATAAAATTCTATGTGGGTAAGTCTCCCTATTGTCTCTAGGGCCAAATAATTCAAAGATAATTATGTTGTACCTGTGCCAATAATAAGGAGAGCAAAGAGTTAAGACTTGGGACCCTAGAGAAGTAAATCACTTAGCAGAATGTCAAATTAGGAAGTTATAGGGTAGTGATGCTATGGAGAGACAGTTGTAACATACCACAATGAAATGGAGCAGCCAAAAGCATTTTAACAGACTTTTCCAACTTTCACATATATTATCACATTGAATGTTCACTATAATTCTGCAAAGATGGCATAGAAGCTAGAAAGATTTAATGACTTCTCCAAGGTCCTACATCTAGGATCTCTGACTACATAACCCATACTCTTTTCACAAGTATTACATCTCTTCTGATGAATAAACATGAAGTTCTGGGGTTAATTATTTAAGGTGAAAGGAGTCAAGATGCTTAGAGAGCAGACTTATAGAGTGAGGAAATTATAGATACAGGCCAATGCTGTGTGTCCCAAACAAAGCAGACAAAATTTCAGGGAAATTATTTAACTAGAGTTGAGAACATGACTAGTCTGAGAAAAAGTAGTTGGGCAGAATTGGTTAGCTGTCACTAATATGCATTCTCCCCTTGTTTATTTAATAATAGAACTTTCACCTTTTAGCTGAGCATAAGACTGAAAACTGCATTTCCTAGTATCCCCTCTAGTCTGGTATAGCATGACTAAGTTCTAACAATGGGTGTTGAGCAAAGGTAATGTGTGAGACTTCTCAGTTATGCCACTAAAAAGAGGATCAAGCCCTTTCTTTCCTTCCTCCTCACCTAGCTATCTAATATGTTAACATGATGGCAGTAGCTGGAGCAGACATATAAGATATGAGCACTATATAGCACTTTAATGTTGACAATGGCAGATTAAGAAGATAGAAGGAACCTAGGTCTCTGAACACCATGTAGTCAACATTGACTCAGGGCTACTTTCTTTAGACTGTTATTTGAGAAATACATTTTTATATTTTTTAAACCACTGTTACTTTGGTCCTTATTGCAGAAGAAAAATCCATATCCTCATTTTAGAAGTTTTGACCTGATATTAAGAGAAATGTAGTCACAGAGGGAAAATAATTTACATTTTTTCCGGGATCTAGGGAATAAATATGAGTATGTGTCACATTGGAATGAAGACTAAAGTAGCAGAATGACATAAAGGAAGGTTAGAAATAAAAAGAGGGGAATATAAAAGCAGTAGCTGATCTAATGTGGAAACAGAATCGAGAGCAACAGAAAACTAGAGGCAGCAAGAGACCTGTGTCTCAAAGGCTGCCCTCAACATATTTGGTATTTAATCACATGGTATAACCAGTAACTATAAGTGAGTTTGTTTCCTTAACAGAATATTCCTGTGCAGTTTAGTTAATTAACTTCCAAGGATAATAAGAAAGTTTCAATTCAAGTATCCAATTCCATTGAGAAATAATGGTTGCACAGGTTTTATGTTAAGAATAATTCTGAGGCCACACCTGGGCGTAGAAGTGGAGAGTGGTAGAAAATATGTTACGTATTTGGCATCTTTCAGTTATAGTCCATACGGACAACAGCATCGTGATGGAGAAGGGGAATGAAACTAGGAAATAACATTTTTGAAGTTATCATTAGATAAGTTATCCTGAGAGTTATGGTGAATATGATTTCTAGAATGGTTCTACTGCTGAATAGAGTCAGAAAGCAATAGAAGAACATAAATGAATGAGATTCAAAATGTATCTATAGAGCCAAAGGTAGGGGCAATAATCAGAGTTAGAAGAGACAGTTGGGGATGAAGTGGTTCTGAACATTGCATGCCTCTCATTAACATATTCTTGACCTTTAATTTATGCTTGAATGTTGCATTCTAGGCAGCTTTCCAAAAGTATTTTTCATGAGAGAACAATTTCTGGATAAAAGCTTTCGTGAAACAATTTAACTTGCCCAACTTTTTTTTCTCTTAAGGCAATATTAAGAGGTTAATAACGTTAACTGTAGTAGTGGATAACTTCCTGATTTTTATAAGGTTTCCAATACTTTTTAAGCAGTTATTTAAGTTGCAAATTCTTAGACTTCTGCCAAAGAAGACTTACCATTTTCTGCTATAAGAGGCAGCAACGGTATTTTTTAAAAAATGCTTTCATATACTTGTATCATTATTTTGAACCTGGAATAATCTTATTCTAAATGAACTTATACTTTTTTACCTAAAGAAAAACAATGAAAAATTGTTTTAATTTTAAAAAGAAAAATGATTTATAAAATATAAAGGATGCATGCAAATAAGCCTTGAAGGGAATATCTTCCAATATTAATAGTGATTTTTTTTGAAAATAAAACTATGGGTGTTTTATTCTTCTTCCAACTTTTTGTTTTTGTAATTATCTTGTATGAGTATGTATTACTTTAAATTGAAGAACCATCATAATACTTTAATGTAAAAGAAAATAAAATAGTCCTATAATGCTAATAGTACTTTGAAAAGAACTCTGGGAAAAATCAGATATGTAGCAATCTAGACTACTGGAAAATCCTAAGAAATGGCTAAGCACTTGCTATATGGTTGTTCTATTAGTCCGTTCTCATTATGCTAATAAAGACATGTCCCAGACTGGATAATTTATAAAGAAAAGAGATTTGGGGTGGGACCAAGAGGGCTGACTAGAAGCAGTGGTGATTGGAGGCACCCATCGAAAAGAATCATAATAGCATGTGAATCCTGCACTGGCAAGCGAGGTATCCAGGTTCTTTCATCAGAACTGATTAGGTGGCTGGTGTGACCCATGGAGAGGAAGAAAGAGCAGTGTGGTGCAGTGGCCTACCTGAGAGCCACACAGGGCAGGGGAGCCCCCACCCCCCAGCCAAGGGAGGTGGTGAGTGAGCATGCTATCCAGCTGGGAAAACCATACTTTTTCCACTGAACTGTGCAAACCACAGATCAGAAGATGTCACTGGGTGAACCCATGCCACTGGGGCTTAGGGTTCCAACCCCAGAGCTGTGCAGATTCTCAACAGCCTCTCAGCTAGGATCTGCTTAAGCCTGCCATATTCCTGGGAAGAGGGGTGGTCAGCACCACAGCTATGGCTGCCTGCTGTCTCAGCTTTTCGAGTTCCTTGGGAAAGAGGCAACAGCCAGCACTGGGACTGATAGCTGCCTAACACGCTAAGCTCCCTGGGCGAGGGAAGGGTGGTAGCCATCTCTGTAGCTTTTCCACTGCTGGAGCCAGGGAGGCTGGATGGCTTGGTCCCAAAAGGTGTCCCCCACAGTCCAACACCCCAGTTGTGGTAGACTGTGGCCAAAGCACCTCTTCAGGCCTGACCCTGACCCATCCTTCCTCACTTGATGGGGCCTCCCTGCAGGAACTCCAACAACTTCAGCCAGGGGCTCAGGGACAGAACTCTGATCTCCCTGGGCCTGAGCCCCTAGGGGGAGTGGTGGCTGCAATCACTGTGGACCGGCAGACTTAGCCTTTCCTCCTAGTAGTTCTGAGGAATCCAGGCAGCCCAGACGAGTGGGTTTCCCCTCAGTGAAGCACACCTCCTGGACCAAGGTACAGTCAAAGTGCTTCATTCCCTGTGCCGCCCAACTGGGTGAGACCCTTTAACAGGGGTTGTCAGACACCCTATACAGGAACGATCTTACTGGCATCAGGTTGGTCCCCCTTGAGGTTAGAGATCTCAGAGGAAGGAACAAGTAACCATCTTTGCTGTTCTCCAGGCTCCTAAGTGACATCTCCAGGTGCAGGGGCAAACCAGATGAATAGGGCCTGAAGTGAACCCCCAGCAAACCACAGCAGCCCTACAACCCTGCAGAAGAGGGACCTGACCATTGAAAGAAAACCAAACAAACAGAAAGCAACAACAGCATCAACAATAAAAAAAAAAGTTTCCACAAAAACCCCACCCAAGGGTCAGCATCCTCAAAGATCAAAAGTAGACAAACTCATGAAAATGAGAAAGAGTCAAAGAAAAACACTGAAAACCCAAAAGCCCAGAGTGCCTCTTCTCCAAATGTTTGCAACACGCTCCAGCAAGGGTACAGAAATGGACTGAGGATGAGATGGAGAAACTGATGGAAGTAGGCTTCAGAAGATGGGTAATAACAAACTCCGCTGAGCTAAAGAAGCATGTTCTAATCCAATGCAAAGAAGCTAAACACCTTGATAAAAGGTTAGAGGAGCTGCTAACTAGAATAACCAGTTTAGAGAGGAACATAAATGACCTGATGGAGCTAAAAAACACAGCATGAGAACTTTGTGAAGCATACACAAGTATCAATAGCCGAACTGACCAAGTGGAAGAAAGGATATCAGAGTTTGAAGACCACATTGCTGAAATAAGGCATGCAGACAAGATTAGAGAGAAAAGAATGAAAAGGAATGAACAAAGAGTTCGAGAAATGTGGGACTATGTAAAAAGACCGAACCTATGATTGATTGGAGTACCTGAAGGAGACGGGGCAATGTAAACAAGCTGGAAAACACACTTTAGGGTATTATTCAGGAGAACTTCTCCAACCTAGCAAGAAAAGCCAACATTCAAATTCAGGAAATACAGAAAACACCACTGAGATACTCCACAAGAAGATCAACCCCAAAACACGTAATCGTCAGATTCTCCATGGACAAAATGAAGGAAAAAATGTTAAGGGCAGCCAGAGAGAAAGGCCAGGTCACCTACAAGGGGAAGCTCATCAGACTAACAGTGGACTTCTCAGAAATCCTAGAAGCCAGAAGAGATTGGGGGCCTATATTCAACATTCTTAAAGAAAAGAATTTTCAACGCAGAATTTTATATCCAGCCAAACTAAGCCTCATAAGCAAAGGAGAAATAAAATCCTTTCCAGACAAGCAAAGGCTGAGAGATTTTGTCACCACTAGGCCTGCCTTGCAAGAGCTCCTGAAAGAAGCACTAAATATGGAAAGGAAAATCTGGTACCAGCCACTGCAAAAACACACCAAAATATAAAGACCAAGGACACTATGAAGAAACTGCATTAACTAGTGTGCAAAATAACTAGATAGCATCATGATCACAGGACCAAATTCACACATAACAATACTAATCTTAAATGTAAATAGGCTAAATGCCCCCAGTTGAAAGACACAGACTGGCAAATTGGATAAAGAGTCAAGACCCATCCATGTGCTGTATTCAGGAGACACATCTCACATGCAGATGCATACAGGCTCAAAATAAAGGGATGGAGGAAAGTTTAAAAAAAAAAAAGCAGAGGTTGCAATCCTAGTCTGACAAAAGAGACTTCACACCAACAAAGATCAAAAAAGACAAAGAAGGACATTACATAATGGTAAAGAGATCAATTCATCAAGAAGAGCAATTGGGTGCATATATCTATATATGCATGCAATACAGGAGCACCAAGATTCATAAAACAAGTTCTTAGAGACCTACAGAAGACTTATCCTTCCACACAATAATAGTGGGAGACTTTAACACCCCACTGTCAATATTAGACAGATCAACAAGACAGAAAATTAACAAGAATATTCAGAACTTGAACTCAGCTCTGAATCAAGTGGACCTAATAGACATCTACAGAACTCTCCACCCCAAATCAACAGAATATACATTCTTCTTAGTGCCACATGGCACTTATTCTAAAATTGCCCACATAATTGGAAGTAAAACACTCCTCAGCAAATCCAAAAGAACTGAAATCATAACAGTCTCTCAGACCACAGTGCAAACAATTTAGAACTCAGGATTAAGAAACTCACTCAAAATCACACAATTACATGGAAATGGAACAACCTGCTCCTGAATGACTCCTGGGTAAATAATGAAATTAAGGCAGAAGTTTCTTTGAAACCAAGGAGAACAAAGAGACAACATACCAGAATCTCTGGGACACAGTTAAACAGTGTTAAGAGAGAAATTTATGGCACTAACTGCCTGCATCAGAAATCTAGAAAGATCTCAAATTAACCCCCTAACATCACAACTAAAGGAGCTAGAGAGGCAAGAACAAACTAATCCAAAAGCTAGCAGAAAACATGAAATAACTAAGATCAGAGCAGAATTGAAGGAGATACAGACACAAAAAGCCTTCCAAAAAAAATCAGTGAATCCAGGAGCTGGCTTTTTGGAAAAATTAAGAAAACAGATAGACTGCTAGCTAGACTAATAAACAAGGAAAGAGAGAAGAGTCAAATAGACACAATAAAAAATGATAAAGGGGATATCATCACTGACCCCACAGAAATACAAAGTACCATCAGAGAATACTATAAACACCTCTATGCAAAGAAACTAGAGACTGTAGAAGAAATGCATAGATTTTCTGGACACATAGACCCTCCCAAGACTAAACCAGGAAGAAACTGAATCCTTGAGTAGACCAATAGCAATTTCTGAAATTCAGGCAGTAATTGCTAGCCTACTAACCCAAAAAAGCTCAGGACCATGATTCACAGCTGAATCCTATCAAGGTACAAAGAGGAACCAGTACCATTCCTTCTGAAACTATTTAAAACAGTTGAAAGGAGGGACTCCTCCCTAACTCATTTTATGAAGCCAGCATCATCCTGATACCAAAACCTGGCAGAGACATAACAAAAAAAGAAAACTTCAGGCCAATATCCCTTATGAACATAAATGCTAAAATCCTCAATAAACTACTGGCAAACTGAATCCAGCAGTATATCAAAAAACATATCCACCATGATCAAGTCAGCTTCATCCCTAGGATGCAAGGCTGGTTCAACATATGCAAATCAATTAACGTCATGCATCACATAAACAGAACCAATGACAAAAACCACATGATTATCTCAATAGATTCAGAAAAGGCCTTTGATAAAATTCAACATCCTTTCATGTTAAATACGCTCAATAAAGTAGGTATTGATAGAACATATCTCAAAATAATAAGAACTATTTATAACAAACCCACAGCCAGTATCATATTGAATTTGCAAAAGCTGGAAGAATTCCCTTTGAAAACAGGTACAATACAAGGATGCCCACTCTCACCACTCCTATTCAACATAGTATTGGAAGTTCTGGTCAGGGCAATCAGGCAAGAGAAAGAAATAAAGTGTATTCAAATGGGAAGAGAGGAAGTCAAATTGTCTCTGTTTGCAGATGACAAGATTCTATATTTATAAAACCCCATCATCTCAGCCCAAAAACTCCTTATGCTGATAAACAACTTCAGCAAAGTCTCAGGATGCAAAGTCAATGTATAAAAATCACAAGCATTCCTATATACCAACAACAGACAAGCAGAGAGCCAAATCATGAATGAACTCCCATTCATAATTGCTACAAAGAGAATAAAATACCTAGGAATACAGATAGAAAGGGATGTGAAGAACCTCTTCTAGAAGAACTACAAACCACTGCTCAAGGAAATAAGAGAGGACACAAACAAATGGAAAAACGTTCCATACTCATGAATAGGAAGAATCAATATTGAGAAAATGGCCACAGTGCCCAAAGTAATTTATAGATTCAATGCTATTCCCATCAAACCATCATTGACGTTCTTCACAGAATTAGAAAAAAAAATAATTTTAATTTCATATGGAACCAAAAAGGAGCCTGTATAGCCAACACAATCATAAGCAAAAAAAAAGCTGGAGGTATCATGCTACCTGACTTCAAACTATACTACAAGGCTACAGTAACCAAAACTGCATGGTACTTGTACAAAAACAGACATATAGACCAATGGAACAAAACAGAGACCTCAGAAATAACACCACACAACTACAACCATCTGATTTTTGACAATCTGACAAAAACAAGCAATGGGGAAAGAATTTCCTATTCAATAAATGGTGCTGGAAAAACTGGCTAGCCATAGGCAGAAAACTGAAACCAGACCCCTTCCTTACACCTTATACAAAAAATAACACAAGATGGATTAAAGACTTAAATGTAAAACCTCAAACCATAAAAATCCTAGAAGAAAACCTAGGCAATACCATTGAGAACAAAGGCATGGGCAAAGACTTCAGGACAAAAATGCCACAAGCAAGAGCAACAAAAGCCAAAATTGAAAATGGGATCTAATTAAACTGAAGAGCTTCTGCATAGCAAAAGAAACTATTATAAGAGTGAACCGGTATCCTACAGAATGGGAGAAAATTTTTGCAATCTATCCATCTGACAAAGGTCTAATATCCAGAATTTACAAGGAACTGAAACAAATTTACAAGAAAAAATAACCCCATCAGAAAGTGGGTGAAGGATATGAACAGACACTTATCAAAAGAAGACATTTGTGCCACCAACAAACATATAAAAAAAAATCTCGACAAAACTGATTATTAGAGAAACACAAATCAAAACCACAATGAGATACCATCTCATGCCAGTCAGAATGGCAATTATTGAAAAGTCAAGAAACAATAGATGCTGGCGAGGCTGTAGAGAAATAGAAACGCTTTCACACTGTTGGTGGGAATGTAAATTAGTTCAACCATTATGGAAGACAGTGTGGCAATTCCTCAAGGATCTAGACCCAGAAATACCTTTTAACCCAGCCATCCTATTACTGGGTATATACCCAAAGGAATATAAGTCATTCTACTGTAAAGACACATGCACACATATGTTTATTGCAGCACTATTTACAATAGCAAAGACATGGAACCAACCCAAATGCCCATCAATGATAGACTGGATAAAGAAAATGTGGTACATATACACCATGAAATATTATGCAGCCATAAAAACAAATGAGATCATTTCCTTTGCAGGGACATGGATGAAGCTGAAAGCCATCATCCTCAGCAAACTAACACAGGAACAGAAAACCAAACATCACATGTTCTTGCTCATAAGGGAGAGTTGAACAACGAGAACACATGGACACTGGCAGGGGAACATCACATACCAGGGCCTGTCAGGGGATGGGGGGTGAGGGGAGGGAACATAGAAGACTAGTAAATACATGCAGCAAACCACCATGGCACACATATACCTATGTGACCAGCCTGCACATTCCACACGTGTTTCTGAGAACTTAAAGTAAAATTTAAAAAAAGAAAAGAGGTTTAATTGCCTCACAGTTTTGCATGTCTTGGGAGGCCTCAGGAAACTTACGATCATGAGAGAAGCCAACCTGATTCAGACTCTGGAAATGTCTCTTGGTGGTCAGAAGAGAATGTAGCCTAGTGAAATGGATTAGTGAAATACACTGGGGTGGTTTTGATAGACAGGAACCAAAGATATGAAGGACCTCATAGACACAGGTTAAGAAGCTCTAAAAATATGAGTAAACCAGATGGCTTTTAAATTAAGGAGTTTCTTGGTCAGGTCACTGTGAAAATCTCTCTGACAGTTCTGTGAAACAATGAATTGGAAACAAGAACCAATCCAAGTAGGGGAAAATAAGAACTTTAAGTAGGGCAGAAGATAACAGAACTTGAACTCAAGCAGATGGGAGTGGGATATACGTGTGAATGTGATTTCAGCAGTACAATCAACAAAGCTTGGAAGAGTAAGGGGAAAGAAGTTGTGAGGAAATATAACCAGAAGACAAAAGGAGGATGATCTGATGATAATAAACTGGGGTTGTAATTTAGCAAGGCGTTTTGGTTGAGATTATTCTTAGCATCTCTGTGTCATTGGCTCTCCTCCTCTGAGAATAGGCAGGACTCCTCTTGAATGTGGATTTTATGACTTGCTTCAGGAGAGAAGGGCAAGGTGAAGGACAAAGTGACATTCCCAGTTCTGCTGTTTTTTCAAATGCCAGGTGCCATATTTTGGGGTTGCCTGTCCTGAATACAATCAGAAGTGTGATATGTTTGAGTGAGTGTGAGTACTGGGATAAGAGAGTCTAAGACAGACTGGATGATCTAAGATCATGGTGGTAAGGGAAAACAAGAAGTAGATTTGGGGAAATACAAAATATTTGAATATACTGATTTTGAAATTGGCAGAAAAAAATATATTACCAGTATCCAGCATAATTGACACAAAGTGGGTACTACATGTCCAGATCAAACAAACAGAATTTCTAAAGAAAATAAAATATGTGACTAAATAATACAATGAATAAATATGAATGACTAAATTTCTAAAAGTGGACTTATTCAGCTTTTAAGACTGTCTGAAATACTCAGTGTGTGAAAATCGTATATTATACAAGATGGAGAAGTACTTCCAGGATATTATACAGCTGCAAATTTTACCCTACAGGCATAAAAGAGTTGGTGATTACTCACAAACACCAGTGTTATATTCAGGTGAGAACTAGCAATTGTGTCTAGTGAAAAGAAACACAATTAAGGTGCTGAAAATGATGAAGTAGCAGAAAATGTGTCAAGATCCAATGAACAGGTGAGCATAACACAGTCTGCAGGGAAAATGATTGAGGTGAAATGAACCTACTGATCGATCTGTTTTTTTTATTTTTTTATTTTTTTGAGACAGAGTCTCGCTCTGTCGCCCAGGCTGGAGTGCAGTGGCGCGATCTCGGCTCCCTTGCAAGCTCTGCCTCCTGGGTTCACGCCATTCTCCTGCCTCAGCCTCCCCAGTAGCTGGGACTACAGGCGCCCGCCACCGTGCCCAGATAATTTCTTTTTTATTGTTTATTTTTAGTGGAGACAGGGTTTCACCGTGTTAGCCAGGATGGTCTCGATCTCCTGACTTCGTGATCCGCCTGCCTTGGCCTCCCAAAGTTCTGGGATTACAGGTGTGAGCCACTGTGCCAGGCCTGTATTTTTTTAATATTCAGGTTTGGCTCAGTCCATTTCATTGTTGACTGTTTACTCACCACAAATCACAGTAGTGAATTCATTCTCACCAATGATCCCAGAAACATAGCTGCAGAATTCTCATCATTACTCCATCTTGTTGTGGATACTCTGAAACTCTATTCCCATTGCCCTCTTCATGCCACACATGCAGCGAAGTATTATCAGTTCTACTCCTTCCTGTGTCCCACGCTTAAACTTTCTTAGTCATTTTATTAATAGGGAGTCTTCCTTCCTGAAGTCATATATAAAATGTTCCCAGTTTTCAGGCACTGGACACTAGGCAGTTTGCCTCTTCTACCAAACATATTCAACATCCCTTCCTTCCTGTAAGTTAGTTATGAATTGCATGAGATTTGGACTTTCTATACATGTCAGAAAAGTATTCATTTTGTTTCCGGATTTCTGCCTTCAAATAATACATCTGCCAGTAGATAAATCTAGTAGTAAACAGTAGGTGAAAATAACGTGAATGTGTATGCTTTGATGTGTGGAAATGGATATGAATATCTTATATGTGTGGTCAGGATATTGTCTTCTCTAGCAAAAAAGGGTAAGGCTTTGATCCAATATGAGAACAATATCAAGTGACAAGGAAGAAAGAGTCCAAATAGTAAACTAAAAACACTTGGTTGGTTGTGGAAGCGAGGTGTAGCATTGGTTAAAGGGAGCAAAAATTCACCGATAGTCTGTGATGATCAAATACCAGTAGGATATCCTCTATTCTGTTTTTATATCTTTACCAGGTGACGAGTTCATATAAATAAGGTAATATATTTAGTGGTGGAACCAGTATTCTCCAGTGATTTCAGTAAATAAATATGCTGCCTTAGTTTTGCATTTTCAATTACCTATATCATGTAAAATATATCCAAAGAATTAAAGTGATCAAACCACTAAAAGCTCATTACTTTTTATTTTTATGACCAGATTCAAGTGCTATAGCATATTGACAAAAACATACACCCACCTGGGGCCAGGTGTCTAAATTTTCATGATAATGAAAGATGGTTTCAAAAAGGAACTCACCATGTGAAAACGTACTTAATCTTGTCTACAATTATTATGTTGTGTTAATAGAAAGTTTAGTGTTAATGTGACAGACGATGTTAGAAAAAAAATCAATCTTGATTTGAAAGCTTCATAATTAATCAGGTGGACAGGAAGAGAGCATTATTGTACCTATCACCCATTATTAGGAGGAATTTACAACGCACATCCCAGACTGGTTTTCTCATTTAATTCCTGAGGGTCATGCAAGTGTTTGTTTCCATAATGATTCAATTAACCAATGTTAATTAACCAACATTGTTGCCAATTTATTACTAATATAAAATGAAACTATGTTATTTAGCAATACCAAGGCTCAGAAATAAAGCTTTATCAGTTCTTCAAGTCATTAACAGCTGCAAAAATGTTTAATTGGTATAAAGTTTAATTTATTTTAAAGTAATAATGAGAAATACTACACATTTTTAAAGGATTAGTGTGATACAGGGAGAAATAGAAAAGAGCTTATTGGCCAGGTGCGGTGGCTCATGCCTGTAATCCCAGCACTTTGGGAGGCCAAAGGGGGCGGATGTATTGAGGTCAGGAGTTCTAGACCAGGCTGGCCAACATGGTGAAACCCCGTCTCTACTAGAAATACAAAAAAATTAGCTGGGCATGGTGGCATATGTCTGTCATCCCAGCTACTCGGGAGGCTGAGGCAAGGGAATTGTTTGAACCAGGGTAGTGGAGGTTGCAGTGAGCCGAGATCGTGTCATTACACTCCAGCCCCAACGACAGAGCAAGACTCCATCTCAAAAAAAAAAAAAAAGGAAAGAGCTTATTATATGGAAATCTAGAGTTTACTTTACATCATACATAACATTGCCCTGACTTCGCCCCACTATTACAGACATTTTAGGATCCCATTAATAATATATGCACAGGAGATTTTGTGAAAGAGGGTAACTTGAGTAAATGCATCCAATCCTTCTTTCTTAAATGCTTTTCCTGCACGACTGACTTAAATAATCAAAGGAAAGGAACCTATTTGTGGGAATCATTGGAGGAAGTGGGGGTGTAGCAGAGGATTATATAGAAGGGTCATTCTGGCCAAGGCGGCATATTGACAAAAGACCTCCCCAAATTTAGACTTTTTTTTTTTTTGAGATGGAGTCTCACTCTGTCGCCCAGGCTGGAGTGCAGTGACGCCATCTCGGCTCACTGCAAGCTCCGCCTCCCGGGTTCACGCCATTCTCTTGCCTCAGCCTCCTGAGTAGCTGGGACTATAGTCGCCCGCCACCACGCCCGGCTAATTTTTTGTATTTTTAGTAGAGACGGGGTTTCACCGTGTTAGCCAGGATGGTCTCGATCTCCTGACCTCGTGATCTGACCGCCTCGGCCTCCCAAAGTGCTGGGATTACAGGCGTGAGCCACCGCGCCCAGCCAAATTTAGACTTTTTATATTGTCTTCAAATATTGCATACATATAGTCATTGTATTTTAAATGCATTAATTTGTTTAATGTACACATTTGAAGCACTGTCATGCTTGTGATGACTTGCAAAATAACATGAAAGTTGGAGGGAACTCTATATCAAGTCGAGTACTTAGAGAAGAGTGCCATCCCTGTGCCACAAACTTGGAAGATTTTTGCTAAGTATGGAACAATGAAAACAAGACTAAATCAAAGAGATTGAGCAACCATTTCATAACAGGCTTACCTGAGATAGAAAAATCTCTTAAGCAAAACTGTAGTGGATATTTCTTATTTCCATAGCTTCCTAGCATTCAAATCCTCTACCAATGTGGGAGAAATTCCTCATTATGTGTTCTGTTGGTTGGGTAATTGCCTCCAGCTACAGAAGCTAAAGCAGGGAGCTTCTACCTTTCTTTAGTCCCTGGCAGCCAAGCAGCATCTAGGGACGTGAGCTAGGCTCATTTAGATGTAGTCACCCAAGACTGAAGATTAAAGGAGTTTTACAAAGAAGTAAGGAGAAGCCATTAAAGAAGTGCTGGCATCAGGGTTTTCAAAAGCAGTGTTTCTGGTGGTGGCGGTGGTGGTGGTATAGGGACCTAGCTAGACTATTCTTCCTGCACTATTTTGGCTGCTTAACTTCCCTTGGTTCCTATTCATTTCCTGAACTTCCTTCTTCCATCTTCCCATCCATTCTGCAAGCTGCTTGAAACCCTTTAAACACATCTCTTTTTTTCAAGTTAGCTAGTCTTTGTTCCTGTTAATGCAACTGTAAGAACCTGAACTGACTGAACAAATAAAAAAATTTTTTTTTCAGACGGAGTCTCGCTCTGTCGCCCAGGCTGGTGTGCAGTGACACAGTCTCGGCTCACTGCAACCTCTGCCTCCCGGGTTCAAGCAATTCTCCTGCCTCAGCCTCCCGAGTAGCTGGGACTACAGGCACTTGCCACCACGCCCAGCGAATTGTTTTGTATTAGAGACAGGGTTTCACCGTGTTAACCTGGATGGTCTCTATCTCCTGACCTCGTGATCCGCCCACCTCGGCCTCCCAAAGTGCTGGGATTACAGGGGTGAGCCACCGCGCCCAGCTGAACAAAGAAATTTTTAACAGTGAAAGTGAGGCAAACGTGAAGATCAAGAGAGACTGGGTGCTGCTCTGCTGTGGATCAATATCACTGAAACTCAGCACTTGAAATCAGCTACACTAAGAATCGTAAGAGTAAAGATAATCAAATAAACAAAGCCTGGAGATGGCAGGGCTCCTCTCAGGCAAGGAGCAGAAAAGGTACCAAAAGTAGACACTGATATATTTTGGATGCTTGTTCTCTCCAAATCTCATGTTGAAATGTGATCCCCAATGTTGGAGGTGGGGCCTAGTGGGAAGTGTTTGGCTCATGGGGGTGAATCCCTCATGAATGGCTTGTTGCCCTCCCCATGGTAATGAGTCTACAAGAGAGCTTGTTTAAAAGTGCATGGCATGTCCTCCCTTCTGTCTTGCTTCCTCTCTCACCATGTCACATGTATGCTCCCACTTCACCTTCCACCATGAGTAAAAACTTACTGAGGCCTCATCAGAAGCTGAGCAGATGTTGATGCCATGCTTGTACAGACTGTAAAACAATAAGCCAAATAAACCTCTCTTATTTATAAATTACCCAGTCTAGGGTATCCCTTTATAGCAACACAAAACAGACAAACATAGACCCCATGTCACAGAGAAAGCCAGATATAGAATGCTGGCTTTTGGTGCAACAGCACAAAGATGTTTCATTGCAATTTTATGGCAGAAAAAAAAGCAGTCACAATACCCCTAAATATGGAGGTTCTTTAAATAAGTTACATTACATTGTTAATGTAGAATACTACCCTTCCGTTAGAAATCATGTTGAAGCTTACTGAATACGGAAGATGTTTCTGATATACCTGAAGGCCAAAAATAGAAAGAGAAGGGATATTATACAGTATCAATCCAAACAGATACACTTGGGAAGGCAGGTGGACAGTTCTACTTCTATCATAGAGTTGCCTCTTAACTATATGAATGTGAATAAATAATTCAATCTATATAAGCTTAACTTTCCTTAACTATAAATGAATGTAAGTATAGTACCTACTTCCAAGGGTTGTTGTGATCCTTAAATATATGAAAGCACCGAGCATAGTCATTATTTTTACTTCTACATATTCAGAAAATTTAACCATTACCATTGTTATCTTACGTTGGTGGTATTTGGGATAACTTTTGTTCTTTCCTTTGTGCTTTATGTTTTCTTCATTAAGAATATATAGCTGTGTGATTAGGTAAGACACAAAAAAGAAGTTACTATTTAAAAAAATGAGAAAGGAGAAGAATTTAGAGAATTTATTTGAACCCATTGAAAATGATTAAAAGAGTAGAAAATGTTAGAGGTGAATATTTAGAAGAGAAAGCTGAAAAATAGCAAAAATAGAAACTAAATGGTATTTAATAGAGATAGGTGCCTGTCTGTTCTCTAAGTTAATGTGATGAAAAGAGGAAATGGATGTAATTATACCTAATTAAAATCCTTCCTGTGATGATGGAGGAAATTACAAAATAAGAAGTGGTTAAAAAGGTGAGCCTTAGAATCACAGGGCTATCCTGCAATTTTTGGTCCTGCCGCTAAGTAATTGTATGACCTTGATTAAAGTTATTTTATTTCACTAAGCCTTGATTTCCTTGTTTATTAATTGCAGATGAGCTAATACATATAAAGATAGTGCAGCCTCTGGCACAATGTATTCTCTCAGTAAGTGTGACCTTCAGTTAATAAACATCCTGTGCACCGAATGAAAAAGGATTCGGAGTCTGTCAACAAAGGTTTAGTCTCAGTTCTGCCATATATACTCAGGGCAAGCCACTACCCTTCTGTGAGCTGGGGTTCATTATCTGTAAAATAGAAAAAAGTACTGTTTGCCCTATCTCCTTTCCAGTGCTTGTATGTAGATCAAGTGATATAAATAGTGTGAACATTCTTTGGAAAATATAAAGCCATTTATAATATAAGTATTATTTACATGAATTACCCATGTCATATTAGTAATGTACCAGGACTTCTGTTCACACTCGAGGTTGTTATCAAATAATACAGCATCCCTTTCTAAGTCATAGAACATGACTTTATTGAGTGAAGTGTTTAAACAATGTGGCTCATCTTAAGAAGGCTTCTCAATTACTTAGAATATTTTTATATTTAAATGTGTTATTTTTGTTTAAAATTCCCTGATGAAAATTGTTTAACATGACTTAAGAAAAGTGATGTCAAATATGTGTTTAGTGTATGTATGAATGAATGAATGATAGAGTGAAGACATCAGCTTTCTATTGTTTTACCATTGAGCAATGCTATATTGATTTCAGGTATTTTAGAGCCTGGTCTATCAACCTGAAAAAAAAAACAAAACTGTTAAGCAATTAACTGGTAGCAGAGACAGAGAGTTTGAATAATTCAGGTGATTTGGGAACCTTAAACTACCCAAATTAGGACAGCTTGTCTCTAATTCATTTAATACATATTTAGTTCTTCATTTCATTTTTTCTGAAGGAATCTTTATTGTTGTAAGATAAATTATTTCCTCGAATTGCATCTAGAAAATCATTCTTAAGGTTATCAGACAGCTAGAAGAAAAATACTCTCCAGCATAATTTTCTGTTCATAATGAATAAGTAAGCTGGAAAAAAATTCCTATTCTATGATAACCAAATTTACTTAGCAAAGTGACCTGGAAAACAGAAACCATCTATTTTCAGTTACTCTGGAGGGACCACAAGTCCACGAGAACATTCTTAGCATGTGCTTGGTTTCCAATAATCAGGAATTGTACAAAAATGGAAACGTTCTGTTATTTCAGGAAAATATCTTGGTCAGCTGAATAGTGTTGTAAAATGTAGTTAGTAGTGAATAATTACTGAAGCAAGATTTAATCATTCTTTTTTGAAAATAAGTAAAAATAGAAAATCGAGGTTAAGGAACAGATCACATAGGTGAAGTGAACTGTAGGAGTATCTAGAATTTAACACAGCTCCAAATTTAATCAATTCATTTTACTTGCAGTAAATATTTTCCCAACTCATTTTTCTCCCTTGACTATATTGAGACCAAAATGCTATAACTTACATGCATAAAATTTCTGGTGATGTGGGTCTCCAATTTCTGGATATCTGAAGATTAATGCTGTCACATTTGAATGTTTAATCAGTACCTTTTCAAATTTTGACAAATACTTCTATGGTTTGGGGCAATTCTATGACTTCAAATTTTGAGTACTTTTTCTATACATAGCATAGAGTTTAAGTGTTAGTTTATTTTAAAATTTGCATTTCCTGTGCAGTCTGTAACTTCATGCTTTTAGAATTCAGTCCAGGACAACTACTACATTTGTACTGGAGGTCTCTTCCTTAATCTTGATTGCCCTATTCAGTTGTTTGTGTTCCTCAAAGGAACTAGTTGGCTTTTATCTCTGAGATACAGGCAGAAGCTGAAAGCAGTGACTTTAGAAACAATGATTTTGGGAAAAAAAAAAAAAGGAACTTCCTGGGGTAAAGAAACTCAGGATATTTCAACATACAGAGAGTTTTTTGACAATGGCTCAAATTGTCATGACACAATGATTAGGAAACATTGCTAAGATATTAATTAGTCTTTCAATATATTCATGGTAGAACTTGCTTGTCTAACTCTGCTTAGTAAAAATAGGTAAATTGCTTCAGGGCTTTTCTTTTGATGGGATGAATGGTAATATTCATGTGAATGTCTGTTCCTTAGATTTTACAGTTTTATAGCCAAGGATAATAAACAGCAAGAGTTAGGACCTCAATGGCATTCACATGTCCAAAACATTTAGCAGACACTCGCTAGAACCTGGGGATTCAGGATGAGCAGCGCCACTGGGATTACTACCACTAGACTATACACTACAAGGATTTGTTTATTGTAATCTATCCAACAGCTTTCCTTGAATATTTAGCAGCACGATCACTTCCCAGGACAGGTTGCCATTCACAACATTGATTAGTGGTGCAACTGGTTTTCCACCGACCTATTTCTCTGCCATGCTTTTTTGATAGAACAGCCACCATTCTGACAATAATGATGAGACCCAAAATAGAAAGAGGAAAAAGAATTTCAAAATTGAAGTTTGTTAAAGGTTCTCTCTTATTTTCACAACTGCATTATTTGAAATTCTCACCTTCAACCATCTTAATGTTGTTCTTTGTGGCAAATAAGCTGCTTTGTTTTTGAGCCTCTTCACAGTACCCACGAAAGAAGACACATGTAAAGATAGAACTGAGTCTGAGAGGCACTTTCTATTACTGAAGCAAACACAATTTGAAATTACTTGCGATTCCATCAAAGAAAATATTTAGTTAATGCAGTCTAGATGCTTGGAAAGCATACCTATTTCCTTTCTTTCCTACATGGTGTTAGAAATTGGTGACCATTTTTATTAGACATCATTTAAAATATCACCAACAAATTATTTTCCAATATTCCAGACATGTTTGAATTTTAACATTTTGTGGAGTTTCATGACTCAACACAATCAAGTTTAAGACTCTATTGCAATCCATTTATGCAATTAAATTCTGAACTTTGTTTATGCTGAACTTTTCTTTCAAAATTTGTGACCATTTGGTAGCACGTTTTAAGACTGTTTTATTACTACTGTAATATTAACAATGCTACAAGATATCCATGCTAAGATAGTATCATAGCAGCAGACTGAAAAATGTCCTAGAAACCAGATCTACGTGATAAGATTGATAATTCAATTAAAATTTTTTGGTATATTTCAAATAAAGTATCTGCCCTGGGACAAGTCACTCAAAGGAAATGCAAAAACTAACTAAATACCAGCACTATTAATGACTAAAGAAATAGAATAATAACATTGACACAATAAGACACAATAACCTGTAACTAAGAGGGATAGTGTGAAGGCTGAATGAAATAACATTTTTATGCAAATAAAGGGAATAAAGACTAGTTTGCTTCTCTCAATTTTGTTTTTCCTATACCCTTCTGCAAAGAATGTCCTTCTTCCTTGGATTCTAATGTTTTGGGATGAGGGTGGGGAAAGAAAGAAAATTAGTTTGAGTATGATACATTTAAAAAATAAATTATTTATTGTAATGTCATGTATTTGTTAAAGACAAAATTGTTTCAATGAAATGACAACCTTAAAAACCGAATAATAATAGATGAATTCTAGTTGAGTGCTAGCTAATTTCTTACCTGAATAACCTTCTTTTATTGTTATACAAACATGCTGAGATAAGCACTATTACCATAGTCCATTGTACAAAGGTGAATAATGAGCCTCAGAGATTATGTAATTTGACATGATCATAAAACCTGGATTTGAATCCAGTTCTCTCCATGTACAGCATATACTCATAACTCCCATGGAGACAGCCTCTCAACAAAAAGAAAATGTGTTTATTTAGTAAGAAAAATGAGGTTGTAATTTTGCTGAAATTGATTGCTCAAAGAGCAATCAAAGACAAAGTAGTAAAATCCCTCAGACAGATTTGTTGATGAAAACCAGGAATATTTTAGCCCTGAAAAGAGAAGAGTTGTGTGCAAGAGGTAATAGCTAGCTTTAGATGTGTGTTAGTCTCTCAAAAGAAAAAAAAATTATTTTGGGTATTTGCTTTAGTAGGATCCTTCAGACCTACTATAATCAAAGGATTAAAGTTACAGTAAGGTAAATGTTAGCTGAATGCAGCAAAACAAAACAAAACCTTCCAACAAACAAAGCTGCCCAAAGATGTCAAAGTTCAAGGAGAGACAGGAAGACACTATTAGAGATGTTATAACTAATTTAGGTAACCTTTTCTTCCAGTTGAAGGTGTATCTAAAAGCCCCTCCAACCTTTGGAAATTATGATCTCCTGTTATATTTACAGAATCCTGAACTTTATGTCATTGGTTCCTTAGACAAAAAGTTACCAATAAAACAAATTACTGTAACAATACCAGATCAGATGAGATTGGGCGTGTTCAGGTGGTATGGCACTGTCAGCTTTAAAAAAATGTGTCATTTGTGATGATTCTTCCCCCTCATTCTAAGTAAATATCCACTTTTTATCCCTAAAAAGATCATCAAAATTTGGAAAGTAATTTATACCATAATTTCATAACAGTTTATATAGAGTACAGTTTGTGGTATATCCTAACCTATGAAGGTATTTTAAGGGTTCCCCTCATCACAAACTTCTACCATTATATGGTTGTTCAAGTATGAATCAGAGACACACATTTAGTAAGGAATGTTACTTGTAGTGGAAAGTGTAAATGTTTACAACTCATTTCTTTCTGGTATATACATTCTTAATTTTTCCCTCCAATTTTTCTTTTCTTTCTTCTATGTCATTTGGTGCAGTAGGATAGGCCCAGGATTGTCTTCTGCCTAGAAATCCCAACCTGCCCCCTTTTCATAGCCTAACAGGGCTAGCGATAATGTATCATAGAAAAGAAACAGGGAATGGGAGGCTTATTCCTGTTGTACTTGAAGCTTTTCTCACTAAAACTCTTTATACCTACTTTTCCAAAGTATCTTCAGCCATTAGAATGCCAACATCGGGGAATGCCAAGATTATGCTCTATTGCTTGTTTAAACTAAAATTGGAGTGGAAAAAAAATGGATCCTCTAGTTTAGTTAATAACAATGTATCAATGTCAGTAGTTTGGATGAATGTACCATGATTACATAAGATGTTAAAAATCGAAGAAACTGAGTATGGGATATATGGGACTCTTTGTACTATCTTTACAACTTTCCTGTATGTCTAAAATTATTCCAAAATAAAAACTTTATTTAAATAATGGATCTTTTTAAAACTCACCTATAATCTAGCTCAATTTATCAGTATAGACGATCATGTAGGAATTTGAGATGTAAATCTCAGTTAGAACTACTGCACATTTTCCTGTACTTGCTTAAAAAACAAGGAGCTGATATTAGATGGGGAATTCTGGGTAGTTAAATAATTCCTTATTGTATGCATCTCTTTTTCCCTTGGGTACCCATGTTGGACAAAGGAGGTTGGGACAGAAGGAACACAAGTGAGGAATAAAGATGGTGATGCACTTATTTTTACATCTGCATCCCCCTAAAACCAACATGTCAAGAGTGCTTAATCTGACTGACTTCATGCTGGTTGGGAAAGAAATTAAAAATTCTAGAATGCACTGAGCACTCAAAGTGTTAATCAGCAACTTGGACCTTCTAGCCTTGGTCATCAATTACACTGAGTATCTCAGCTGACCCAGAAAATTTTTGATTTAATACAAAATGGGCAGCTTTAGAAAACTTACATTTGTACATACTCAAGTTTATATAGTAAGTTATTCTCATTATCACTTTCTGTGAATGAGTTTGGCTGCTGTTCTTGAAGTATACCAGCATTACAATGGAAGCAAAATATTCTGCTATTAGGCACATATAAAAGACTCAAATACTAAAAACATATCTTTTGTTAAAAGGAAACAACAAACCTATTCAGGCTAGAGATGTACTCCACAAATGAGGTCAAGATAATCCCCATATTGCCAAAGTATTTTCAAGGATGACAGCTTCCCCCTAGCTCTCCTGAAGATGTGTAAGTTATCTCACAGATAAATGCCTCTCAAAATGCTAAACTCAAGTCTATAAAGAGGAATTAAGAGAACTTGATTAAAATGAAAAGAAAAAGGTAGGAAAGTGGAGGTTGCTTTAGTTGGATAAAATCAGTAGAGAGCTTGCCTTGTTGGCCAGCAGAGAGGACCAAGAGAGGTGTGTCACTGGGAGACAAGCTATAGAGCTATATTCTGTTGTGTTGCTTGGAAGGAATCCCAGGAAGATAAAAAGATTAAAGAGACTGGGCTCTGAAACTGAATATAGTGTTTGTCTCTGCTTTCTAGGAGAAGCCCTGGGAGAATGCAGTCCACAGGGGTCTTTACAGTGTTCCATAATCAACTATTTCTTGAACAAGGTAATTTTTACTTACTTATGACTGCTCCTATGACTGATAACTTGCTTACAGAGTAAAGGGAGGGTGAGCAGACACAGAGGCTGCACTGCACTGATACTGTAGATGGTTTGTGTAGATGTAGAAAGAAAACAAAATTGAGATTATTCAATTTACCAATAAAGAATTGTTAGACATTTTGAGGTTGGTTCCAAGAAGGGAGAATGGAAGTAGGATAGTCTTAAAATTCTTATCTAAATATATGATGGGATTTCTTACAAAGTTACCTTTTATATAAGTGAAAGAAATAAAAGGATATTTGCAAAGCTAGGCATTTGGACAGTGGCAGAATGAATCAAGCAAAGAACATTCAACAAATTCTGTTGCTGTAAAGAAAATTTATCAAAATCTATATGTGACATATAAAAACCTGTGTTTACTCAGGGATGCCCTGCCTGAGCAAGTACTTAAGCAAATATCAAGCCCTTTGCCTTGGAAATCCCATTACTAGATATTCACTCTGCCGAAATATTTGCACATACACACAGAAGATGAATGTATAAAGATGATCACTGCTACACTGCAGTAGCAAAACGATAGGAACCACTTCAATGTTCATCAAGAAAGAAATGTTTAAATACATTATAGGCAACTGCACTATGGTATAGATCTAGCTGTTTAAACAAATAAAGTTCTAACAAGGAAAAATTGCTATTACATTGTGTAATGATGAAAGCAATTGACAGTAAAATGTGTATTATGGTGTCATTTATGTAATAAATGCATACTAAATCATATATTTGAATATGTATGTAATATCAGGTAATAGCTGTTGAGTATGTTTAATGGGAAGATTAGCACATAACATAGTGGTTAAGAGTGTAAACTCTGGAGCCAGACTACCTGGGCTTCATAAGCCAATCCTGACTTTTACTAGCAGTGCCACCTTGGGCAAGTCCCTTAAATCCTTTGGGCTTCAGTTTCTTCATCTGGAAAACGAATATAATTGTTGGGATGGTTAAAGAGATTAACACATAAAAAATGCTTGGCAAATAGTAAGGACTGAATAAATGTTAGCTATTTTTTTTTAATGGGAAGGGCATTGTTTTAAGTGCCTTATATGCTTTTATCTTCATAGCTACTCCATAAAGTAGATATTAGTATTATCCTCATTTTGCAGAGGAGGACATTGAAAGAGAAAGGTGAACCAACTTGCCCAAAGCCACCTAGCTGCTAAACTTTGGAGATTGTATTTGAACCTAAGTATCTGCTTCCAATAGCTGTGCTCCTAATCACCACTCCATATTGCTTCTCTTTATATGCACACTCACACACATATGCATGTGCACACATGGACACACAAATGCCTAGAAAAATATCTGTTTGGTGTTTAGTTTTGTGTGGGCAGTGGAGTGTTGTCGAAAGGAGACAATTATTTTTTATTCAATATGCTCTCGTAGTGTTGTGAAGTCTCTTCAACTTTTCCTTGTACAAACTTAAATAATGAATAAATAATAAAGCACCAAAGCATCATAGTCAATAAACATAATATATTCAATATAGTTGACTTTAAATAGTTGATAAAAATTTAACAACATCTGTTGATCAAATGATACCATCAAAACAGTTAAATGGCAAAGCATAGAATGATACAAGATATTTGCAATACATAGAACTGACAGACTAGTACCTAGAAAACATGAAGAACTCAAAATCAATTGAAATGAGATAGAAAAATAGGAAATCAGCAAAATATTTGAAATGAAAAATATTTGAAATGAAACTTTACAAAGAGAAAACACAAATGGCGAATAAATGTATGAAAATGCTTTTTAAAATATGCATGGCAATGAAGATTAAAAGCACAATAAGTACACTGAGAACATCAGTGACTAAAGTTCTATGTTTTGTTTTTTAAAAGTCTTTGTTAGCAAGCACAGGAGTTACTGTCTTTCAAAGTTGTGTTTTAGAAAGTAAAGTGTTAGTGCTTTAAAACTGGGGATGCATGCAGCTGCTCTGTAGGCCCAGTGAGTCATTACATATTTAATGATTGCACACCAATGATCTCTGGGGTATTTCAAACCTACCTATCTGTATGAGGGAGCATTGAGCAGGTTAGCCAGTTGTCCTCAAACGAAGGTGTGAGCCCCAAATATCTGAGACAGGTCTCAGTTAGCTTAGAAAGTTTATTTAGCCAAGATTGAGGATGCACACCCATTACACAGTCTCAGGAGGTCCTGATGACATGTGCCTAAGGTGGTCAGAGCACAGTTTGGTTTTACACGTTTTAGGGAGACATGAGACATCAATCAATCAACATATGTAAGATGAACATTGGTTTGGTCTGGAAAGGTGGGATGACTGGAAGCAGGGAGGGGGCTTCCAGGTCATATGTAGATAAAAGACAAATGGTTGCATTCTTTAGTTTCTGATTAGCCTCTCCAAAGGAGGCAATCAGATATGCATTCATCTCAGTGAGCACAGGGGTGACTTTGAATAGACTGGGAGGCCGGTTTGCCCTAAGCAGTTCCCAGCTTGACTTTTCTCTTTAGCTTAGCGATTTTGGGGCCCTAGGAGTTATTTTCCTTTCACAAAGGCAATGGATATTTATTTATTTAATAAATTTATTTATTTCCTATAGATTCAGTTAAAAGCTTTCACTCATTGACCATAAGTTTTGATTGAGGATCCTTAAAATGTATTGAATTACATTTTTTATGTGAACACCAGTGAATCATAATTCAGGTAAATGTAGACAGAATTGTTCATCATTTATTGGGTAAAAAGTAGATCATCACTACTCCAAGGCAAAAATTTATATCCCATTTGAAGTATACTAAGATCCAGATAGTTTTGGTCGGCTTTTGACTTCTGTTTCCCCATTAAATTGCACTTCAAAATCTTCTCTTTCCCATTGACGGAATGTGTGAGAAGAGTCTTCCTTCATGCTTGCATAACCTTTGCCGTGAAAGCACTCTACCAGCTTTTATTATATTACTTCATCTATTTCTGACGTTTGCCATGTCTTTCTCTGTAGTATGAGCGTAGCTTATAGCTAATGTCACTGAAATCCCATGCGTACAGAATGTCTGATAATAAAAAGGAAATTCTGATATTTCATAACTCCCTGACACAATGACTGGCAGAAAGCTAAAGTTAGGAGAAATGCAGGATGCTAAAACCTTTTCAGCCTAAATATTTTAGTGTAAAGACCCACAGGTGAATATCAGGAGACATTAGTTCTATCCCAGCTCCCACTCTTACTAGCTGTGGTGTCTTAGACAGCTCACTAAAATTCTCTAATCTTTCATTCCTTAATCAGTAAAACAGCAATAGTATCAAAAACCTTTATGTTGACCTAGAGTTTCCAATATAAGAAATCACAGATTGGACTGGAATGGATTAGAAATCATAGAAATAACTAGATATATTTAAAGTTATTTTAAAATTTAATGTTATTAAGGTTTGTTGAGATAAATATTTTGGCTGGCTGAGACTGGGACTATTGGGAACTGCATTGTAAAAATTCTGTAGAACTAAAAGAGATAACTGCAGAACTTTCTGAGGAGAAACATGCAGTCTACTCCATACAACAAGATACTAAGTTTGATTCTCTGGGATCTTGAGTCTACTGCAACCAGAAAGCTTTGTGGCCTTGGGCAACTCACTCACCTTCTAAATGAAAGACTCATTCTAGATGAGTATTATGCTCCCTTCCAGAGTTACCCAAAATCTCAAATATTTTAATTTTAATTTAAAAGTGTTATAATATTGCCTCCAATTGGCACACAGTCTTTTTGGTGAACTCATGTGGTATTAGTCCATTCTTGCATTGTTACAAAGAAATACCTGAGACTAGGTAATTTATAAAGAAAAGAGGTTTAATTGGCTCACAGTTCTGCAGGCTGTACAGAAAGCCTAGCTCTGGCATCAGCTGCTGGGGAGGCCTCAGGAAATTTACAATCATGGCAGAAGGCAAAGTGGGAGCAGGTACTTCACATAGTGAAAGCAGGAGCAAGAGAGAGAGAGAGAGTGGGGAGTACTTGCCATACACATTTAAATGACCAAATCTCACAAGAACTCAATATCATGTCGACAGCACCAAGCCATGAGGTATCTAGGCCCATAATCCAAACACCTCCCACCAGGCCCCACCTCCAGCATTGGGAATTAAAATTCAACATGAGATTTTGTTAGGGACATATCACATGTGTATTTTTTAAGGAGAATGTGACTAGTAATAGTTATGACTTAAAGATCTGTGTAAGAATTTCACATATCCATTAAAACTTAAAGCAGCAAACAGATGATGTATTAGAATCACTATATTGTTTTAGAAGCCATCATTCAGATAAAACAGCTTAATACATACAAATATTTATGTCATGCTAGGGAGAGATGTAGAAGGTAAGTAGAATGGTTTATTTGGATACCTTATTTTAAATTAATAAGCCTAGGGGTGAAATAAAGGGCCGAGGGATTAAGAATTAGAAAAGTTATTTTTTGTCCATAGGCTACCAGCTTGAATGTATCCAAAATGAATGGTGACTCAGGGCGATTACCATCTGTTAGCTGCTTTGTGATCTATGAACAATAAGTTAGCAGTCTTATTCCAAACCCAGATGGTTGAAAGTCCATCTTGTAGATAATGCTGATATGGTTGGCAAAAGATGACATCCTTTCTGAAGGAAGTAATCTCAAAGATCAAATGTCTACATATCAATTTTTTGGTTTCCTTCTCTAAGACTTTCCCACAGACCCAGGAAAAATACTACGAGAAGATCTAATTCAGTGCTTCTCATGGTTAAGGCTCATAAGCAAAGGCTTGTTGTGTCTCTAGAAGTGTTCATCATCAATATTTTTCTGAGTAAAGCAACATTTCTAAAGGATACCAAAAGTGAATGAAGTAGAAGTCAAGAGAAATGGCTGTAACAGAAAAAGCATGTTTATAATGGAAGGATTTAACTAGTGGACTATATCCTACTCATATCTTGACACCTGCAAAGAGATAAACCTTTCTATAAGCAACAAATTATTCCTTAAATTTTGCATAAGACTATTCCTTTTTCTAAATTGTGTTATATTTTAAATGACCCAGACATTTTGAGTGTTTAAATTAAATCTAGGTTGATTCATTTTATAAAGGTAATAACTTTGAGAGGTGAATAGTTAACTCAGTTTTTCTGTTTCATTAATTCATATTTTTAGGCATAGTTTTTATAAAGTGAGGCACATAAGCAATCACGATTGAAATATTAAAAATGTTTTATGTGTATCACATCTGTTTTTGTTTTAAGTAAATTTCTATCTCCTCTGAGCCCGGTTATTTTCCAATCACTTTAAAGGTCCTCTGCAAACTTTTCAAAGTGATGATTAAAGGGGCAGAAAGCAGAACCAAAAAAAAGGGGGGCGGGGGAAATAAGAGGAGCAATATTTTTTGGTAAAAATTTTTAAAAGGTTTCTCATGTCAACCACCAATTGTCTTCTCATTTTTCAGATTAACAGAAAGACAATTAAAAAATGATTAAGAAGATTTCCAGTTAGTTAACAGTATTCTCAAAAAAGATCAGGGCAAGAAGAAAAACCAAAAAAAAAACTTTATTCTTTCACTTGTTCATTTGATAAAGAAATCTGAAGCACAAAGATTAATCATATGATGAAGAAGAAAATCCATATACCATATATATTTAAACTTTAATATTGAAATAATACTTTAATATTGAAATTCTTACCTAATTCTGAATATTGGTTTATATTGAACTATAGGACAAAAATATAACATAAAGGTAAACTGCGTTATGGTAGTTAATTTACAGAATATTTCTTTACAGAGTAGTTCTGTTTATCATATTAAAGTTTGCTTAAGATGCTTTAATCTTTTTAAATAAAATTTTATTCAAAGTCATTTTTTCTTTTATTTCTTTGTTTTCTTCAACTTTTATTTTAAGTTCTGGGGTACATGTGCAGGATGTGCAGATTTGTTACATAAGTAAATGTGTGCCATGGTAGTTTGCTGCACAGATCAACCTGTCACCCAGATATTAAGCCCAGCATCAATTAGCTATACTTCCTGAGGTTCTCCCTCCCCCCACCGCCCCCCAACATGCCCCAGTATGTGTTGTTTTCCCCCATGTGTCCATGTATTCTCATTGTTCAGCTCCCACTTATAAGGGAGAACGTGCAGTGTTTGGTTTGCTGTTCCTCCATTGGTTTGCTAAGGATAGCGGCTTTTAGCACCATCCATGTCCCTGCAAAGGACATTATCTCATTCCTTTGGATGGCTGCATATTATTCCATGGTGTATATGTACCACATTTTCTTTATCCAGTTTATCATTGATGGATATTAGGGTTGATTTCATGTCTTTGCTATTGTAAATAGTGCTGCAATAAACATATGTGTGCATGTGTCTTTACAGTAGAATGACTTATATTCCTTTGGGTATATACCCAGTAATAGGATGGCTGGGTTAAATGGTATGTCTGCTTCTAGATCTTTGAGGAATTGCCACACTGTCTTCCACAATGGTTGGACTAATTTACACTCCCACCAACGGTGTAAAAGTGTTCCTTTTTCTCCACAACCTCCCCAGCATTTGTTGTTTCTTGACTTTTTAATAATTGCCATTCTCACTGGTGTGAGATGGTATCTCATTGTGGTTTTGATTTGCATTTCTCTAATGATCAGTGATGGTGAGCTTTTTTTCTTATGTTTCTGGGCCACATAAATGACTTCTTTTGAGAAGTCTCTGTTCATGTCCTTTACCAACTTTTTAATGGGGTTGTTTCTTTTTTTCTTGTAAATTTGTTCAAGTTCCTCGTAAACTCTGGATATTAGACCTTTGTCAGACAGATAGATTGCAAAAATTTTCTCCCATTCTTTAGGTTGTCTGTTCACTTTGATGATAGTTTCTTTTGCTGTGCAGAAGCTTTTTAGTTTAAGTAGATCCCACTCATCAGTTTTTGCTTCTGTTGCTATTGCTTTTGGCATTTTCATCATGAAATCTTTGCCCATGCTTACATCCTAAATGGTATTGCCTAGATTTGCTTCTAGGGTTTTTATAGTTTTGGTTTTACATTTAAGTCTTTAACCCATCTTGAGTTAATTTTTGTATTAGGTGTAAGGAAGGGGTCCAGTTTCAATTTTCTGCATATGGCTTGCCAGTTCTCCCAACCCCATTCATTAAATAGGGACTCATTTTCCCATTGCTAATTTTTTTCAGGTTTGTCAAAGATCACATGGTTGTAGGTGTGCATTCTTATTTCTGAATTCTCTTTTCCATTCCATTTGTCTATGTGTCTGTTTTTGTACCAGTACCATGTTGTTTTCATTACTGTAGCTTTGTAGTATAATTTGAAGTCAGGTAGCATGATGCCTCCAGCTTTGTTCTTTTTGCTTAGGATAGTCTTGGCTATTTGGGCTCTCTTTTGGTTCCATATGAATTCTAAAATAGTTTCTTCTAACTCTGTTAAGAATGTCAATGGTAGCTCAATGGGAATAGCATTGAATCTATACATTAGTTTTGGCAGTATGACCATTTTCATGATATTGATTCTTTCTATCCATGAGCACGGAATGTTTTTCCATTTGTTTGTTTCCTCTTTGAATTACTTCAGCAATGGTTTGTAGTTCTCCTGTAAATAGGTTCTTCACTTTATTTGTTAGCTGTATTCCCAGGTATTTTATTTTCTTTGTAGCAATAGTGAATGAGAGTTCATTCATAATTTGGCTTTCTGCTTGCTAATTTTTGATGTATAGTAATGCTAGCGATTTTTGCACATTGATTTTATATCACTGAAATTGTTTAGCAGCTTAAGAAGCTTTTGAGATGAGGTGATGGGGTTTTCTAGATATAAGATCATGTTATCTACAAATAAAAATAATTTGACTTCCTCTCTTCCTATTTGAATATACTTTATTTCTTTCTCTTGCCTGATCATCCTGGCCAGAACTTCCAATACTATGTTTAATAGGAGTGGTGAGAGAGGGCATCCTTGTCTTTTGCCTGTTTTTCAGAGGAATGCTTCCAGCTTTTGCCCATTCAATGTGGTATTGGCTGTGAGTATGTCCTATATGGCTCTTATTATTTTGAGGTATATTCCTTCAAAACCTAGTTTATTGAGGTTTTTAACATGAAGGGATGTTGAATTTTATCTAATGCCTTTTCTGCATCTACTGAGATAAGCATGTGGTTTTTGTCTTTAGTTTTGTATATGTGATGAATTACATTTACTGATTTGCATATGTTGAACCAACCGTGCATCCCGGGGATGAAGCCAACTTGATTGTGGTAGACAACCTTTTTGATGTGCTGCTGGATTTGGTTTGTCCATATTTTATTGAGGATTCAGCCTCGATGTTCATCAGGGATATTGACCTGAAGTTTTCTTTTTTTGTTGTGTCTCTGCCAGGTTTTGGTATCAGGATGATGCTGTCCTCATGAAATGAGTTATGGAGCAGTCCCTCCTTTTCAGTTGTTTGGAATACTTTCAGTAGCAATGGTACCTATGACGCTTTATTCTTGAATTTTCAGAGACATGCGTGATAAACATTAAGTGATTGCCTAAAGTTTTTTTACAAATAGTATTAATGGGGCAGTATATAATATAATTTGGTTTTCACTGAAGGTTTTTTATACTGTAATTTCCATTTTAAAAGTAAGCATATAGCTTTTGAAAGAAGAAAACATAAAAGATTTACACTTCTAAACTGCATCAAAAAAATATGATGGACCTACATGAAGGGAAGAAAAAATCTCTATAAGGGAACATTAATGGAGTGCTAGAATATATAAAGAGACACACTATTCTTGGATGAGAAGACTCAATACCCTATCGTTAATTATCTCCAGGTTGATTTTAATATTTAAAATACTCAAATCTAATCTGACTTTTTAGAATAACAAAGTTATTCCTTTTAAACATTGGTTTTTAAGAAACGTATAAATAAATTTATATTTATGAGATGGGATTGTAATATAAAATTTATGCTTCTTTAGAATAGCAGTCTTCTTTCTGGGGGCTTTTAGCTTACCACTTCAAGTTCCCTACTTGCCTCTGTCTACCTCAATTATATCCTCCAAAAATCATGGTAAATACCTAATACTTTGCATAATTCTATATTTTTATACTTATATAATCACATACAAATACAGCACATATGGACAGGTTTGGATATTGTTTTACAAAAAATTCTACTATATACATTCTCTGCATCTTTACTTTTTCATTAAACTGTATGTTATAAAAGCAAACAGGTATATCTGCAAACAAGTATCTCTTTCAGCAAACAGGTATATCTGCAATTTATTATTTTTAATGGTTTCCTAAGATTCCATGGTGTTCAATGACCACAAATGTATTTAAACATGCCCTTTCTGGTAGGTGTTTAATTTGTTCTCAGGTTCAGTGCACTACAGATAATACTCTAATAAATGTTCTGCAACAAATATACTTACTGTCTCTTTTATGTCTAAGGAGTAGAATCTCTGAAAGGGATTATTTTGTGTAAGTTTATTTGCATTTTAATATTAATAAATGCCAACAGATTGCCTTTCCAAACATTTGTAACAAATAATATCTCTTCTTTCAACCTTTGATGGTATCATTTTGCCCACATCCACACTAATAATAAGTATTTTATTGCATTTTATTTTATTATCTTTTGGATAGGAGGAAATTCAATCTCTTTGAAACTTAAACTTGCATTTCCCTGACCGCAAGTGTGTTTCTACAACATTTTTGTACATTTATTGACCATTTGGATTTGATATTCTGTCAACTGGTTATTCATATAATTTGCCTATTTTTCTATTTTTTTCTTTCTTCTCAATTTATACAGTGTTTGAAGTATAGCTATTTTTCAGTTGTATTACAAATATAGATTTTTATTAAAATTTAATATTTCTTTTCTGACTTCATTTTTAATATAAATATTTTCAGTCATCTATTGTTTACCGTATCTTTTTTTTGTATCTTCTGGGTTTCCTCTTGGTTTTTATAGTTTTAGGTTTTACATTTAAGTATTTAATCCATCTTGAGTTGCTTTTTGTATATGGTGTAAGGAAGGGATCCAGCTTCAATCTTCTGTATGTGGCTAGCCAGTTATCACAGCACCATTTATTGAATAGAGAGTCTTTTCCTTATTGCTTGTTTTTGTCAGCTATCTCAAAAATCAGGTGGTTGTAGATGTGTGGCCTTATTTCTGAGCTCTTTATTCTGTTCCATTAGTCTATTGCCTGTTTTTGTACCAGTACCATACTGTTATTGGTTTTGGTTACTGTAGCCTTGTAGTATAGTTTGAAGTCAAGTATCATGACGCCTCCAGCCTTGTTCTTTTTGCTTAGGATTGCCTTGGCTATTCGGGTTCATTTTTGGTTTCGTATGAATTTTAAAATAGTTTTTTTTTTCTATTTCTGTGAAGAATGTTTTTGGTAGTTTGATGGGAACAGCATTGAATCTGTAATTTGCTTTGGGCAATATAGCCATTTTAATAATATTAATTCTTCATACCCATAGCATATTTTCCATTTATTTGTGTCTTCTCTGATTTCTTTGAGCACTGTTTTGTAATTCTGATTGTAGAGATCTTTCACCTCCCTGGTTAGCTGTATTCCTAGGCATTTTATTCTTTTTGTGGCAATTGTGAATGTAATTGCCTTTCTGATTTTGCTTTCAGCTTTGCTGTTTCTGGTATATAGGAACGCTTGTGATTTTTGTAAACGGAATTTATATCCTGAGACTTTGCTGAAGTTGTTTTATCAGCTGAAGGAGCTTTTGGGCTAAGATTATGGGGCTTTCTAGATATACAATCATGTTGTTTGAAAGCAGGAAGTTTGGTTTCTGCTCTTCTTACTTGTATGCTATTTATTTCTTTCTCTTACCTGAATGTTGTTTCTAGAACTTCCAATACTATGTTGAATAGAAGTGGTGAGAGAGGTCATCCTTGTCTTGCACTGGTTTCCAAGGGGAATGCTTTCAGCTTTTGCCTATTCAGTATAATGTTGGCTGTGGGTTTGTCATATAAGGCTCTTGTTATTTTGAGGTATGTTCCATCAATACCTAGTTTATTGAGAGTTTTGAACATGAAGAGGTGTTGAATTTTATTGAAAGCCTTTTCTGCATCTATTGAGATAATCATGTGGTTTTTGTCTTTAATTCTGTTTATGTGATGAATCACATTTATTGATTCGTGTATGCTGAACCAGCCTTGTATCCTGGGATGAAGCCTACTTGATCATGGTGGATTTGCTTTTTATGTGCTGCTGGATTTGGTTTTCCAGTATTTTGTTGATTTTTGCATCGATGTTCATCAAGGATATTGACCTAATGTTTTCTTTTGTGTGTGTGTGTGTGTGTCTCTGCCAGGGTTTGGTATCAGGATGATGTTGTCCTGATAAAATGAGTTAGGGAGGATTCTCCTCTCCTCAGAATTTTGGAATAGTTTCAGAAGGGATGGCACCAGCTCTTCTTTGTACATCTGATAGAATACATCTGTGACTCTTTCTGTTCCTGAGCTTTTTTTTTGGTTGATAGGCTATTTATTACTGCCTCAATTTCAGAACTTGTTATTGGTCTTTTCAGGGAACAATTTCTTCCTGGCTCAGTCTTGGGACGATGTATGTGTCCAGGAATTAATCTTTTCTAGGCTTTCAAGTTTGTGTGTGTGGGGGCAGTCATAGTAGTTTCTGATTTTTTTTTTATTTCTGTGGGGTCAGTAATAACATTCCCTTCATTATTTCTAATTGTGTTTATTTGGATTTTCTCTCTTTTCTTCTTTATTAGTGTAGCTAGTAGCCTATCTATTTTATTAGTGTTTTCAAAAAATCAACTTCTAGATTCAGTTTGATATGTGTGTATTTGAATGGTTTTCCATGTCTTGATTTTCTTCATATCAGCTCTGTTTTTTATGCTTTCTCATCTTCTGTTGGGTTTGGTGTTGATTTGTTCTTGCTTGTCTGATTCTTTCAGTTGTGAGGTTAGGTTATTAATTCAAGATCTTTGTAACTTTTTGATGTAGGCATTTAGTGCTATGAATTTCCTTCTTAACACTGCCTTAGCTGTGTCCCAGAGATTCTGGTATGTTGTATCTTTGTTCTTATTACTTTCAAAGAACTTGATTTCTGCCTTCATTTCATTATTTAGCCAAAAGTCATTCAAGAGCATGTTGTTTAATTTCCATGTAATTGCATGATTTTGAGCAATTTTCTTTTTCTTGACTTCTATTTTTATTGTGCTGTGGATCAAGAGTGTGTTTTTTATCATTTCAGTTCTTTTGCATTTGCTGAAGAGTGTTATACTTTTAATTATATGATCAATTCTTTACTAAGTGCCATGTAGTGATGAGAAGAATGTATATTCTGTTTTTGGGGTGTAGAGAGTTCTGTAAAGGTCTATCAGATCCACTTGGTCCAATGTTGAGTTTTGGTTCTGAATATCTTTGTTAATCTTATGCCTCAATTATCTGTCTAATACTGTCAGTGTAGGGTTGAATTCTCCCACTATTCTTGTGTGGGAGTCTATGTCTCTTTATAAGTCTCTAAGAATTTGCTTTACGAATCTTGATGTTCCCGTGTTGGGTGCATATATATTTAGAATTGTTAGGTATTCTCATTGAATTGAATCCTTTATCATTATGTAATGCTCTTGGTCTTTTTTTATCTCTGTTGGCTTGAAATCTGTTTTGTCTGAAATTAGAATTGCAACCCCCTTTTTTTTCTGTTTTTCATTTGCTTGGTAGGTTTTCCTCCATCCCTTTATTTTGAGCCTATGAGTGTCATTATGTGAGAGATGGGTCTGTTGAAAATAGCATACCACTTGATTTTGCTTTTTTATCCAGCTTGCCACTCTGTGCCTTTTAAGTGGAGCACTTAGCCTATTTAAATTTAAGGTCAATTTTACATGTGTGTATTTGATCCTGTCATTGTGTTGTTAGCTGGTTGTTATGTTGAGTTTTCTGTGTGGTTGCTTTACACTGACACTGGTATGTGGGCTTAAGTGTTTTTTGTTTTGTTTTGTTTTTTTTTAATTAGCTGATAGTGGTCTTCTCTTTCTATATTTAGTGCTGCTTTCAAGATCTCTTGTAAGGCAGGTCTGGTGGTAATGAATTCCCTCAACATTTGCTTATCTGAAAAGGATCTTATTTCTCCTTTAATTAGGAATTTTAGTTTGGCTGGATGTACAATTCTTGGTTGAAGGTTTTTTAATTTAAGAATGTTGAATATAGGCCCCCAATATCTTCTGGCTTGTAGGGTTTCAGCTGAGAGGTCCACTGTTTGCCTGATGGGGTACCCTTTGTAGGTGACCTGCCCTTTCTCTCTAGTTGCCTTTAACGTTCTTTCTTTCCTTTTGACCTTGGAAAATCTGAAGTTTATGTTTCTTGGGGATGATCTTCTTGTGTAGAATCTTGCAGAATTTCTCTTTGTTTTCTGAATTTGACTGTTGGCCTCACTAGCAAGTTTGGGGATGTTTTCATGGATGATATCCTGAAATATGTTTTCCAAGTTGTTTGCTTTCTCCCCTTCCCTTTGAGGGATATCAATGATTAGTAGATTTGGCCTTTTTACTTAATCACATATTTCCCAGAGTTTTTGTTTATTTTTATAATTCTTTTTTCTTTATTTTTTTGTAACTGTCTTATTTCAGAGACCCAGTCTTCAACTTCTGAGATTCTTTATTCAGCTTAATTTATTCAGCTGTTAATACTTGTGAATGCATTGGGAAATTCTTGTGTTGTGTTATTCAGCACTGTCAAACCAGATAGGTTTTCCTTTTATATTGGGTATTTCATCCTTCAGCTCTTGTATTGCTTTATTTTGATTCTTATTTTCCTGGGGTTAGGTTTTGCTATCCTCCTAAATCTCAATGATCTTTATTCCTGTTTATATTCTGAATTCTGTTTCTGTCATTTCAGCCAGTTCAGCCTGATTAAGAACTTTTGTTGGAGAACTGGTGTGATCTTTGGAGGACATACAACACTTTGGCCATTTGAATTAACAGAGTTCTTGTGTTGGATCTTTCTCATCTCTGCATGTGGGTATTCCTTTATTGCCATGTAGATTGAGTACAGTCAATAAGCGTCTTTTCTGGATATTTTCACTGGGCTGAAGCATTGTTCAGGGTCTTTGTTTGAAGCTGATTTATTGTCTCTGGTTTCAGAGGGGGGTAGGTTAGTGAGGTACTTTTGGTGTTGAAGCTTTGGGATGTGATCCAGCAGGTGGCACTTAGGCTTATTGGTCAATTGGTAGACTCTTGCTTGGCTGTTTGGCTCCCAGTTTTTCCTCGCAGTTACACCCATGTTCCCTCTCAATGCTCTAAACTTATGTGTACCTCTCCTTCTTGAGTGCTGGCTATAGATTGTGACTTGCCACTTCTGGGCTGCCCACTTCAGCTCTGGGGAAATCTCAGTGTTTATGTTCCTTCCTTGACTTGGAGGCAGCAGAGGAAGAGATCCTAGCAGTGGTTGTGGCTGAGGATCATTTGCTTGTCTCCTGCGGCTCCACCCCATAAAGATGCAGGTCAGCAATTGCTCAGTGCAGTCATCCCAGGATGAAGGGCCTGTGCTGTTGATCCAAGCCAAGGGTTTACTGTCTGGTGATGAGAAGCTGGGGGTGTGTGAGACCCATGAGAGACAGACTGGCTTTCTCTCATTGAGTCGACTGCAGCTTCTTGGAGGTGTGGATAAGGCACTTAGGGTCTTTGTTCCTTCATTAGTATAAGGGTGGTAAGGGCAGTTCCACTGCAGAAGGAGTGGCAGAGAAGCTTTCAGTTGCCCCTGGAGGCTCTGTCCAGGTAGTTGCCAAGTTGCTACTGGCTCAACAGCTCTGGCAGGGCGTGGCTGCAGGTCCAGACCTGAAGGACCTGTCTGATGAGGAGATATGGGAATGGGTACTCATGTAAGAGTCTGGCCAGTTTTCTGTAGGGATGCTGCATTATTCTTGGGACCCACTCTGGTCCCTGGATTGTTGAATTTTCCAGTACCTTGGAGGGATCACCAACGAAGGCTGTGAGACAGGAAAGATGACAGTCTGTCTCTCCCTCTGGGAGCTTTGTCCCAGGGAGGTGCAGGCCTGTGGCCAGCCCAAAAGCACCTGTAGGAAGTGGCTGGAGACTATGGTTGGGAAGTCTCACCCAGTAAAGAGGAATAGGATTGAGAACCTGCTAAAAAAAAAAAAAAAAAAAAAAGTCTAGTCACATTTTTGTAGCGCAGCTGTGCTGTGCTTGGGGTCTGCTTTAGCCCCTGTTCACCTCACACACTCTGAATCCCAAAGGCTGAAACAGCTAAGTCACCCAAACAGTAAAGATGGTCACCTACCCCTCCATTTGGGAGCTCCATCCTAGGGAAAATTCATATCTCTGTTGGCTGGAGAACATGGGTGGGGATGGCTGGAGGCCCCCGTTGGGAGGTCTTCCTTAGTGAGGAGGAATGGGATTAAGCACCTGCTTAAAGCTTAATCCCATTCTGACCATTTTTTGGTAGAGCAGATTGCTGTGCTCAGGGATCCCTTTCACCTCTTCAGTCAACTTGAAATCTCCAAAGCCCGAAGGCTGGAAAGGCTGAGGTGCCAAAGCAGCAAAGATGGAGACCCACCCCAGCCCCCACGAGCTCCTTCTTAGAAAGAGGCAATGCCACTACCCATGGCTGGCTGCAGTTCCAAGCCAGTGGATCTTATTTTATTAGGTCCCATGGAAGTGGGGCCTGCAGGCTGTCGCTGCTCAGCTTCCTGGATTCAGCCTGTTTTCTAGGGGTATGTACAGGGGTCTAACCTCTCACTTTGCCGAAGCTGCAGCAACTTTTGCTGGATAGCTCAAATATCTGTGACTCCAGAGTCTCCATGCATGCCTGAGTGGCTGCTCTGCCAAGACTCCACGTAGCTCTGTCTGTCAGACTGAAGGCCCTGGTGGAGTGGGTTTACAAGGAGATCTCCTGACCTGCAGGTTGCAATGATCCAGGGGAGAAGCATGGTTTCCCAGGGTTGCACATTCACTCACTGCTTCCCTGGGCAGGGGAGGTTACCTTGGCTCCATGTTGCCCCCAGGTAGGCCGTTGTTCTGTCTTGCTTTTCTTCATTCTCCATGGGTCAAGTTGTTTTCTTGATTAGTCCCAAAGATAGTACCTGGATATTTCTGTTGAAGGTGTTGTATTTACTCATACCTTCCATTCCTCTCCATGAGAGCCACACATTAGCTGTTTCTAGTTGGCTATCTTGGCCACTCCCTCCCCTAAGTATCTTTTCATGTACTTGTTGGAAATTTGCAAACATTTTCTCCCATTCTATGAGTTGCAGTTTAATTTTCTTGAGGGTATCCTTTGATGCACAAACTTTTTGAAAATGTGATGTAGCCAACATATCTATTTTTTCTTTTGGTGCTTGTGTTTTTAATACCTTCAAAACCACTAACAGACCTAAGGAAATAAAGGTTTACTTCTAAATTTTCTTCAAAAAGTTTTATAATTTTAGCTCTTACATTTACATCTTTGACCCACTGTGAGTTAAGTTTTTGTGTATACTGTGAGGTAGGAGTCCTCCTTCTTTATATTGCATGTGGATACCCAGTTGCCACAGCACCATTTGTTGAAAACACTGTTATTTTTCCATTAAATGATCTTGACACCCTTGTTGAAAATTAATTGGTCACAGATATATGGGTTTATTTCTGAACTATCGATTCTATCCCTTTGTCTATATGTCTATTCTTATGCCAGCACCACGCTGTCTTGATTACTGTCGGTTTGCAGTAAATTATGAAATTGAGAAGTGTGAGTACTCAAACCTTGTTATTTTTTCAAGATTGTTCAGGCTGTTCTCTACTTCTTGCATTTCTAACAACGTTATTCTATATTTAATCCAGAAACCACTGAACTTATTATATTATATTGCAGTTAAGTAATATAGAGCAGATCAGAAAGCTCAAAAGCAAATTTGTACATGACTGACTTTAGTATATGTTAAAGTTAGCATTTCAAATTAGTGCACAAAGGAATTGTTATTCATTGGGAAATTTGACGAGCCATTTTAAAATTTCAAGTCAGTACATACTTCACTTTTTTATTTTTCAAAACAAATTTCATATAAATTAAACATTAAATGTAAAAATTAACCCATACAGGAAGAAAATATAGGATAACATGTTTATAATTTTGTAGTAAAGAAGGTTTACAAGAGACAAAATTCAGAATCAATGAGCAAAAATAATTATTCGAATGCATTATAATTAAAATCTTTGTTACAAAAATAAATGAGCAATTAAAAAAATCATAAACTTAGAAAAAATTGCAACATCTAGGGATATAAGACTGATGGCTTAAATATATAAATTTTTATACAAATATATTAATTTTTACAAATTAACAAAAAATTTATATTTTTATAAATTAATAAAAACATAATAATTAAAATAGAACACCTTAATATAATAATGTGTTAAATATATATATACACCTGATATGGTTTGGATCTGTGTCCCCACCCAAATCTCATGACGAATTGTAATCCCCAGTGTTGGAGATAGATCCTGGTGGGAGGTGATTGGATCATTAGGGGTGGATTTCCCCCTTTGGTGCTGTTCTCATAGAGTTCTCATGAGATCTGGTAGTTGAAATGTGTGGCACCTTCCCTGTCTCTCTCTTCCTCCTCCTCCAGCCATGTGAAGTTCTGGTTCCCCCTTATCCTGCTGCCATGATTTTAAGTTTCCTGAGGCTTTTCCCGAAGCTGAGCAGATGCCAGAATTATTCTTCCTTTACAGCCTGTGGAACAGTGAAGCAATTAAACTTCTTTTCTTTATAAACTACCCAATCTCAAGTATTTCTTTGTAGCAATGTGAGAATGGAATAACACAGAAAATTAGTACCAAGGAGTGGGGCATTGCTATAAAAACACCTGAAAATGTGGAAGCAGCTTTGGAACTAGGTAATGGGCAGAGGTTGGAAGAGAGTAGAGGGCTCAGAAGAAGACAGTAAGTTGAGGGAAAGTTTGGAACTTCCTAGAGACTTGTTAAATTGTTGTGACTAAAATGTTGATAGTGATATGGACACTGAAGTCCAGCCTGAAAGGGTCTCAGATGGAAATGAGAAACTTACTGGGAACTAGAGCAAAGGTCACTTTTGTTATGTGTTATCAAAGTGGTTAGAGGCCCCTGCCCTAGGGATCTGTGGAACTTTGAACTTGAGAGTGATTATTTAGGGGGTATCTGGTGGAAAAAATTTCTAAGCAGTAAAGTGTTCAAGATGTCACCTGGCTGCTTCTAACAACCTATGCCCATATGCTTGAGCAAATAAATGACCTAAACCTGAAACATATTTTAAAAAGAAGCAGAGGGTAAAAGTTTGAAACATTTACGCCTGGACATTTGGTAGAAAAGAAAATCCTATTTTCTGGGAAGGAATTCAAGTAGGCTGCAGAAATATGCACAACTAAAAGGAAGGCAATGCTAATAGCCAAGACAATAGAAAAAAAGGCCTTGAAGGCATTTCAGGGATCTCTTCAGCAGCGTTTTCCATCACAGGCTTGGAGGCCTAGAAGAGAGAATGGTTTTGTGAACCAGACTCAGGGGCCTGTTATCCTGCACAGCGTTGGGATACTGGCCCCTGCATCCCAGATATCCAGCTCCAGCCATGGCTAAAGGGGCCCACGTACAGCTTGAGCCACTGCTTTAGCAGGTACAAGCTATAAGCCTTAATGGTTTCCACATGGCATTAAGCCTGTGGGTGTGCAGAGTGCAAGAGATGAGGCTTGGGAGCCTCAATCTAGATTTCAGAGGGTATATAAAAAAGCCTGGATATCCAGGCAGAAGCCTGCTGCAGGGGCAGAACCCTCATGGGGAACCTCTACTAGGGAAGTGCAGAACAAAAATGTGGGGTTGAAGCCCCCACACAGAGTCCCCACTGTGGCACTAACTAGTGAAACTATAAGAAGAGGGCCACCATCCAGAATGATATATCCACTGGAAGCTTGCATCCTATACCTGGAAAATGCCAGCCCATGAGAGCAGCTGCAGGGGCTGACTCATGCAAAGCTACAGGGGAGGGGTTACCCAAGACTTTGAAAGCCCACCCATTGCATGAATGTGCCCTGGATGTGAGATATGAAGTCAAAGGAGACTATTTTGGAGTTTTAAGATTTAATGGCTACCCTGCTGGGTTTTGGACTTTCATGGGACCTGCAGCCCCTTCCTTTTGGCCAATTTCTCCCTTTTGGAAAAGGAGTATTTACCCAATGCCAGTGCCTTTATTGTATCTTGGGAGTAACTAATTTGTTTTTGATTTTATGGGCTTATAAGTGGAAGGGACTTGCCTTGTCTCAGGTGAGACTTCGGACTTTTGAATTAATGGTGGATTGAGTTAAGAGACTGTTTTGGAGACTGTAGGAAAGACATGATTGTATTTTGTAATGTGGGAGGGATATGAGATTTGGAAGGACCCAGGGGCCAAATGACATGGTTTGGATCCATATTCCCACCCAAATTCGTGATGATTGTGATCCCCAATGTTGGAGGAAGGGCCTGGTGGGAGGTGACTGGATCATGGGGACGGATTTCCCCCCTTTGGTCCTGTTCTCATGATGAAGTTCTCATGAGATCTGTTGTTTAAATGTGTGTGGCATCTCTGCCCTTTTTCTCTTCCTCTTGCTCTGGCCATGTGAAGTGTTGGCTCCCCCTTCTCCTGCTGCCATGATTGTAAATTTCCTGAGGCCTTTCTAGAAGCTGAGCAGATGCCAGAATCATGCTTCTTGTACAGCCTCAGGAACCATGAGCCAATTAAATCTTTTTCTTTTTAAACTGCCCAGTCTCAAGTATTTCGTTATAGCAATACAGGAATAAACTAATACACAGGCAATTCATAAAACCAGAAGTACAAATGTTTAGCAAACTTATTTTCAAAATATTTAACCTTACTAATACTCAAATAAACATACAATAATGAAAAAAATGAGATTATTTTTGACCAATCATTTTGGTAAAGACAAACAGAATAAATTATAATAATACATTTTTACACAAAATGTAAATCGATGTAACCCTTTCTGTAGGCCAGTTTGTCAAAATGTATTCACATTTAAAAATATGTAATTCTAGTAGATTATCATTCTGTCTTGTAATATGAGCCTTTCACAGAAATAAGCACTACCACAATTTCAAGAATATTAGAGGTTTTAAAATCTTTTATATTCATATAATGCTGGAGAGACATCATCATGGTAGAGTGAAAAGAAGGCTTTGGCATTCAGTCAAGTATAACCTAGAATACTGGCTCTACTAGTTCTGAGCTGAGTGATGTCAAATTACACTGATGATTAATTTTTTTAGCCGTGAGACAAAAAATATAAATATCTACCTTGCATTATAAACAGAATTTAGTTAAGTAATGACTATAGCTCACTATACTGGATTGAACAGTGACCCCTCCAAGTTAAAAATTTATGTCCACCCACAACCTGTGCATATGACCTTATTAGAAAATGGGCTTTTGCAGATGCGGTAAAGTTAAAATGAAATCATACTGGATTAGGGTGGGCCCTAAATTCAATATGACTAATGTCTTTATAAGAAAATAGAAGTATGTCCACAAATACCAAGACACACAGGCCATACAAGACATGCAGAGATGGGAGTGATGCATCTCAAAGCCAAGAAACAAGGATTGTCAGCAACAATCAGAAGGTAGAAGAGACAATGAAGGATTCTTTCCTGGAACACTTGAAGGGACCGTGGCTTTGCCAACATTTCAGTTTTAGACTTTTGGCCTCCAGCACTATGAGCAAATAAATTTCTGTTGTTTTAAGCCACCAAGTTTGTGATGCTTCGTTAAGGCGACCCTAGGAAAAGAATACATATATCTAGTGCAATGCTTTACAAACTAGGAACTCATAAAAGGGAAATTATTGTGATTTATTAGTGGCAAGCTTCTTTCTCATACACTATTTTACTTTATGGTTTATGCTATCTGTTATGTAGGTTGCTTATTTCCAGTTTTTTTAAAAAGCAGCTTTAGAATGAAAGAGGTTAAATATTTTTTCACAGGTCACAAAATTAAAAAGTAATGGACATTTATTTCTTTTTTACTTGATTAAAAATATTCTATTTTTTAAGTATCACTTGACATTCTTGCTTTAAATTCTACCTCAAAAACTGAAAATTAGATGAAATTGTCTGCACTGTTTTTTTTTTACCATGCATATCTTTATTCATATATCTCTGTATACATATGTCATTGTTTTAATAAATAGAGTCTTAGAAGTTAAATTATTGGGTCAGATAATGTACATTTTTGGGTATTTTGTTTTTTGTTTTAATTTTACTATGTCTAATTTTTCTATGTCCCTTGAACCATATAATATATATTTTAACAGCTTATTGATGAATAATTGATATAAAGAATTTGATAAATTTTGACTTATGAATACATTCATTAAACCCTCCCCACCACCCCCCCATCACCACCACACAAACCCACAGAACATATCCATCAAGCCTATGATGACAGAAAACAGATCAATGATTGCCTGGGGATTGAAGAGGTTGAACCACCTATAGAGTAACCTTGGAATCACCTTGTGCTTTTAGATCTCTTTGTGATATATATGAAGAACATAGAAAATTCCAGACATTTAGAGAATTTTCATTGACTAGGATGAAAGAGCCTGGTAAACAAGGCCTATAAAAGGTAATATTTCAGGTAACTGGACCTGAGATCAAAGCTACCACAAGATAGTAAGGCCAATCATGTGTGTACTGATGTGCTTTATGTGAGCAAATCTCTTTTCCATTAGAAGAAAATAAGCTAGGCTAAGAGTTCAAATTTATATCACTACTTTACATAGTAAAGAGAAAAGACATAGTAATAGCTTGGAAAGTTGTGTTGGGTTACTATTTCAATTTCATAAGAAACTACATCTTTAAAAAGTCCATGAAAGAGAAAATTTGAACCAGACATTCAAAATTCATAAAATGTCTACTTAAAAGTCACCTGTATCTTCCACATTATAAATCATTTTCTGTAACCAATAAACACATTGCTAATCTTCATGACTCATTCTGTCAACAGCCACAGATTTCCACTAAAGGAAGAAGGCAACTACTAGAAGGTGACCCTTGACTCTTTTGCTATCCATAACTTTATGCTACCTGACTGGCCTAGAAAGGGGAACAGTGTTTTTCCATCAGTCAACACCCAATTTGAAGTGTCATTACCTTCATGAATACTTCTCCAATGATGCCAGCCTATATTGATCTCTCTCTTCTCTGATACCCTTTTGAGTTTGTCCTTAGTGCACTTTCTTTCCTTACATTATTGTGTAATTACTATGTGCCAGACATTGTGCAAAACACAAAACACACACTATCTTATTTATTATTCACAGAAAGCTATGAAGTAGGGATTTGAGTAGATACCTTGCCTCAGGATGGAAGTCTAAATCCTCGTGGACTTTACATTGTGTTAGTTATCTAGGGATCCTAAGTACTATTACCAGTGTCTAGAAAAAGACAAATAAGCTTAATCTCTTCCAGGGTTTTTCAGAAGCAAAAACAATTATATACTCTTAATAGTCTCCACAGCACTTTGCACTGTTCTAGGTCCCAAACAGGTGTTCCACAAATACTTGTTGAATGATGAATGTTTAGTTGATACATAAGCATACTGTAGTGGAAGAAATATTCTACTCGAAATCAAGAGACATAAGTCACACAGCTGTATGATCTTGAGAAAATCTCTTGAAGCTTCATTTTTTTTTTCTATAACATGGCAAGAACAGATGAGAAGATCTCTGGCATTCCTTCTAGCTCTGACACTAATATAAACTAAAAGGTCCAAAGAAATGTTATTTGGAAAGCAAAATGTTGCCTATCACAATTGAAGCAAGCTGGATAAATATTTTAGAGCATTTTGCATTATTACATCATAGGATACTGTACCTGCCATAGCTTCAGAGAAGCCTCAGTAACAGACATGAATGAAGTTTTATTTTTATGTAAAGATAATGCATAGATTTGATTTTTTAAAGGCAATGCTGAAATAGCCTCCTGATAAGTCTTCTTGTCTCCCCTCCTATCATTTCTTCACAATGTAACCAAAGTGGTTTTTCTACAGTTCCAAATAAATCACTAGCCTGAATAAAACACTTCTTGGCATTTCTGTGGCATTTGGAAAAAGCTCAAATCTTTAAAGTGGTCTGTAAGGCCTCGCTGGATCTGACACCCTCCTGAAGTTCTAACCTCAACTTTCACCTCCCTGATTCAAAATCTTTATTCTAGTCTTCCAGCCATACTCAACTATTTTAGACACCCAAATGAGTGACAAGTATACTCAACTGCTGGCCTTTGAACATACCACTCTTTTTTCCAGGTGAAGGTGATCATTCATCAAGTAAAAAAACTGAAGATATATTACAGGTGAAAAAGCAATTGAGTGTCCATAGCAGCATTATTCACGAGTGGGAACAACACAAATATCTGTCAATGAATGAATAGATAAACAAAAAGTGATATGTTCATACAATAGAATATTATTTAGCCAAAAAAAAGGAATGCAGTACTAATAAATGCTACAACATGGATGGACCTTGATAACATTATGCTCAGTGAAAGAAGCCAGACACAAAAGGCCACATATTGTATTATTGCATTTATATGAAATGTCCTGAATGGGTACATCTAAAGACATAGAAAGAAGAGTAGCCATCGCTAGGGATGGAGGAAGGGAGAGTGAAGAGCGAATGCTAATAGATATGATTCTTTTGGGGGTAATGAAAGTGTTCTAAATTGGCTCTTACTGATGGCTGCACAAATCTGTGAATATTAAAAAACATTAAATTGTACACTTTATATGGGTGATTGTATGCAATTGAATTATATTTAAATAAAGCTGCAAAAATTCAGTTGAAGATGCTTTGAAAGTAATTATACAAATGGCAGAGAGGGAAATTCATACAATACAAATAAACAACTGAATTTGGGCTGGGATGTTGGCACCTCAGTTTGGAGGCTGCCTGAGTTTGGGTAAATCATTTCTCAGCCTTTAACTGTAAAACTAGGGATAATAAAACCAGAACTAGTTAGTGGGAAGATTAAATGAGATAGTATAGGTAAAAATGTTTTGTAAGTTTCAAAATTCTATTCAAATGTAAGATATGGTAAGGTAACTATAAATGTGTAATTATCATTATAATACACAGTAGGTATGTAAATTCCAGTATTTGACACCCTTATTTTTATTCCTAGTCTCACAGACCCCCTTGATACCAATCGGAAAAATCAACTTTAGATAAATAACAACACTCTTAATTATTTCCAATTAACTTTGGATAATATAAAATTATTTCATTTTATTTGGCCGACAAGTGAGTTTTGTTCATGAATCTCTGAGCACTACATTTTGATCTAATGATAATACTCTAAGAAGGCAATTTTGTTAGGAAAATCCATAAACAATAAATCTATAGAAAATATTTGCAAGCCAAGCATTATGACATTAAGGAGGTAAGGATGAAAGAGAGGAAGAAGGATACATCTTCCTTTTTAAATCGTTGCTAAGAATCTTGGAGTGGGGAAAGAGAAGCAAACATCTGTAGTGGTGAATTTTTTCTCCTTAAACCTAAAAGACAGCCAAAAAGCAATCTGTTGTTTCAAAAAAAAGCTAGTAAACGAGGAGGAAAGTACACTTGGGGGAACATCTGGTCTGAGAAACCACTTGAAAAGTAAACGTAGGGAAACATTTGCACAACACACAGCAGCTAGCATGCTACTGAAAAGAAGGCAGAATAATGCAGAAAAGATCTATATGCATAAAAGTATGCAACAGGGAAATTCACATAAAAATATAACACATTGAATGATTGTTTTTTATAGGTAATTATTAAATATATTTTAATATTAGGCTATAAGGGTCACCGTCACTAAAACACAGTGACCGCAAAGAGCAACTGTTGCTGGAGCATAAGTCAACCTCCCACCTCACTTGTAATGTGCTCACTCCAAGTAGAGCAGAATTAAAACAGAGAATATGATCTCTACTTTGGAGGAACTCTTAGCAAACTTAAAGAGACACAGTCGATATCTATTAAAAACCATAGTAACATATACAACCCCATGGAAATAAATGTAAATATAAGGCTGATCACACAAAAAGATAATTTTAAAAATTACAAAAATAAACACAACCTTGACTGAGTGAGGCTAGTCAAGAAAGGTCAAGGAAGGGTGGGGGAAGGGGGAAATGAAGATAGGCTGAGTGCTGATACAAATATACAATTTGATAGAAAAATAAGATCTAATGTTCTGTAGATCAGTAAGATGAGTATAGTTTATAATAATCTATGATATATTTCAAAATAGCTAAAGAGAATAATTCAAATGTCTTTGGCATAAAAAAGAAGACAGATATTTAAAGTGATGGATACCCCAATTACAATAATTTGATTTTTACAGATTATATAAAAGTATTAAAGTATTGCACGCTTCCCAAAAATATGTGTATCTGTTATATATCAGTAAATAAAATAATTTTTTTTAAAAAAAGGAGTATAAAGAAAGGCCAGAGGCCTCACATTAGCTGCCCTTGAGCCAAATCCAATCAAGAGTTCTGTTTGGGCGAGAGAAAAAATAAAAGATATTCAAATAGAAAGAGAGGAAGTAAAATTGTCTCTGTTTGCAGATGACATGATTTTATATTTAGAAAAGCTCATCATCTCAACCCCAAACTCCTTAAACTGATAAGCAACTTCAGCAAAGTCTCAGGATACAAAATCAATGTGCAAAAATCTCAAGCATTCCTTAACACCAACAATAGACAAGCAGAGAGCTGAATCATGAATGAACTCCCATTCACAATTGCTACAAAGAGAATAACATACCTAGGAATCCAACTTACAAGGGATGTGAAGGACCTCTTCAAGGAGAGCTACAAACCACTGCTCAAGGAAATAAGAGAGGACACAAATGAATGGAAAAACATTCCATCTTCATAGATAGGAAGAATCGATATCATGAAAATGGCTGTCCTGCAAAATGTAATTTATAGATTCAATGCTATTCCCATCAAACTACCATTGACATTCTTCACAGAATTTGAAAAAAAACTATTTTAAATTTAATGTAGAATCAAAGAAGATGCCATATAACCAAGACAACTCTAAGCAAAAAGAACAAAGCTGGAGGCATCATGCTACCTGACTTCAAACTATATTACAAGGCTACAGTAACCAAAACAGCATGGCACTGGTACCAAAACAGACATACAGACCAATGGAGCAGAACAGGGACCTCAGAAATAACACTACACATCTACAACCATCTGATCTTTGATAAACCAGACAAAAACAAGCAATGGAGAAAGGATCCCCTATTCAGTACATGGTTCTGGGAAAACTGGTTAGTCATATGCAGAAAACTGAAACTGGACCCCTTCCTTACACCTTATACAAAAATTAACTCAAGATGGATTAAAGACTTAAATGTAAAACCCAAAACCATAAAAACCCTAGAAAGAAACCTAGGCAATACCATTCAGGACATAGTCATGGGCAAGGACTTCATGACAAAAATGCCAAAAGCAATTGCAACGAAAGCCAAAATTGACAAATGGGATCTAATTAAAGAGCTTCTGCACAGCAAAAGAAACTATCATCAGGGTGAACAGGCAATCTACAGAATGGGAGAAAAATTTTGCAATATACCCATCTGACAAAGGCCTAATATCCAGAATTTACAAGAAACTTAAACACATTTACAAGAACAAAACAACTCCATCAAAAAGTGAGCAAAGGGTACGAACAGACACTTCTCAAAATAAGACATTTACATGGCCAACAGACCTATAAAAGAAAGCTCAACATTGCTGATCATCAGAGAAATGCAAATCAAAACCACAATGAGATACCATCACATGCCAATCAGAATGGCAATTATTAAAATGCCAGGAAACAATAGATGCTGGTGAGGCTGTGCAGAAATAGGAATGCTTTTACACTGTTGGTGGGAATATAAATTAGCTCAGCCATTGTGGAAGACAGTGTGGCGATTCCTCAAGGATCTAGACCCAGAAATACCATTTGACCCAGCAATCTTATTACTGGGTATATACCCAAAGGAATATAAATCATTTCACTATAAAGATACATGCACACGTATATTTATTGCAGCACTATTTATAATAGCAAAGACATGGAACCAACCCAAATGCCCATCAATGACAGAGTGAATAAAGAAAATGTGGTACATATACACCATGGAATACTATGCAGCCATAAAAAGGAATGAGACCATGGATGAAGCTGGAAGTCATCATCCTCGGCATACTAACACAGGAACAGAAAACCAAACACCGTATATTCTCACTCATAAGTGGGAGTTGAACAATGAGAGCACATGGACACAGAGAGGAGAGCAACATATACCAGGGCCTGTTGGGGGGTGGGGGTGAGAGGAGGGAACGTAGAGGACAGGTTAATAGGTGCAGCAGACCACCATGGCACATGTATACCTATGTAACAAACTTACCCGTTCTGCAAGTGTATCTCACTTTTTTTAAGAAGAAACAAAGGAAAAATTAAAAAAAAAATAAACAATTTCTGTTCAGTTTGGTTTGTAAACACACAATTCACATTAAACATTTGAATATTGGGAGTCCCATAAGAACTGGGATATCTGATTTCTCCTGAAAAATCAGATGATCAAACAAAATTAGACCTACATTGTCCCATGGCAAAAACTGGCTTGACTTGAGTCACAGCTGCCTGCTTTAGAGACAGCCTGGGATCTCTGTCTCACAGTCCCCCCTACTCCAAGTGAATCACTAATGAATGGGTTGAGAAGGTCAGAGTAAAGACAAACCAGAGCAGAAGCTCTCAGGTCTTAGAGTATGTAAGAAACATTTGAGGTGCTGATAATAAATATCATTTCCTGGAATGTACTCCAGAACTACAGTCTCTGAGGCTAGGAATCTGAAATATGCTTTTTTAAAAAATAGCATCTTAAATATTTCTGAGGTATGCACAAGTTTGGGAACTGCTGGTCTGGTTCACCTCCACTCAAATTCAATTTACTTACTGGTGAAAGACTAATCTTAACTCTGATATGTTGCTTTCTGCTCAAGAACCTTCAATAATTTCCTTTTATCTACTGAATAAAGTTCAAACTAGTCTGTCTGGCATACAAAGCCCACTATAATATACTCCAAGCTACTTTTTCATTGTTTTCTAGCCACATGAATCTTTCACTCTTTTCAAATAAAACTGCTCCTTTCTCACAAATGCTTCACACTTGTCTACCTCTAGGCCTTGGCAGAGGCTTATCTTTATATGTGAGAATATCGTTTTTCTATCTGCTATTAATTGATAGAGGGATAGATACCTGACTTAAGTCAGGTCAGTCAGAATTTTCCCCCAGTTTTTCTCCCAAGGAGATTGTAAAACTCAAGAGCTCGTGGCATTCGTGTGTTCAAACATGGGAGACCAAAAAAAAAAAAAAAAAAAACGGAGAAAGAACTGAAGTGGGCCTCAGTCATCTGCATTTTTACAAGCAACTAAATGGGTAATTCTAATGCAAAGGGCACATTTTCAGAAACACTGGAGTTAAAAAAAAAAAAAAAAAAAAAAAAAACCACTGATATGGAATCCGGAGACTCATTCTAAACTTGAGTCCATCATTAACTTACTAGATGATCTGGCCTCAATCAGCTCATAGAAGTAAAATGTAAAACAGGATACTAGAGACTGAGAAGGGGTGGGTAGGAGGATAGGGAGAGATTTGTTAAAGAATACAAAATTACAGTTAGATAGGAGGACAAACTTCTAGTGTTCTATAGCACTGTAGGATGACTATAGTTAACAGTAATATATAGTTTCAAATAGCTAGAAGGAGGATATTGAATTTTCCCAACACAAAGAAATGGTAAACGTTTGAGATGATGGATATGCTAATTACCTTGATCTGATCAGTTTACATTATATGTGTTGCAGCATAACAACATACCCCATGAATATGTACAATTATTATGTCGATTAAAAAATTCTGAAGCTTGCATTTCTCCATCTGTAAAATATGAGTGATACAATAAGCATAGTTACCAAAAAATGAAACGATTGGTAAATGCATGCTTCCTTCTTGTTGAACCTCAGTTTGTAATTTTTCTCAAAGTCTATTCTTAACCTGTACTGTGTGATGTTGTACAGAAGACTGTGTACATAAGATTGTGCTTAAGTAGAAAAAGTATTCTATTCAAGAATATAATGTATACTAAGGATTATATGGTACACTTGTTAAACTACCAAAAGATCCAAGAATAATTCCCCGCATTACAAAATGTTTTTATATACATGCATGAATACATATAAACATATATATGAATATATATATATTTGTAAACTCTGATATATATATGAGATATATATGAGATAAATATATATCTGAGTTTACAAAATGCCAAAACAATTAGTTAATTTTGATGATTCAATGAAGAGAAAGATCTGTTATATAAACTTTTGATACATTATAAAACAAATCAATTTACCTATCTATCTGCAATTTATTTTTGACAGCTTGTAGACATTTTTCCATTTAGAATAGAATAAAGCATTTTAGCTACGTATCCCATTGCATTATGGCCTCAAGAAGAGTCTGAGCAAGCTGAGTGTTGGGTGGGAAAAAAATGTGTGCTGGTTTCTCTAACAAGGTATTAACTTTCCAGTAAAATGCAAATATTTTCCAAAGTTTCTCTCTCTTTTACTTTCTTATTGATAAGCACTACATATAACATGTTGCATCAAATACTAGAATAAATTTATCAAATATTTTCAAGTAGGTAATTATTTGAAATCCTCTACAATGTAAGGAAACACACACACACACACACACACACACACACATACACACACACACAGACACACAAAACTACCTAGGTATCACCACTCCTATCACCCCTTTCTCTTCTGTGGGGTTCGTAACTATTTTGAATATATACAAAAGGATAGAAAAGAGAGACATTAAGAATGAAACCTGAGCAACCTAAGCTAGCCATATACAGGATACATAAACAGAGAGACTTTTATAAGGTAGATTTAGTGACAAATAATTTAGTGACTTTTTGTAAGGTAGATTTAGTGACAAGTGATTAATTGAAGGAAGGGAGTGTCAAAAGTAAGTTTCCATTCAGTGTCAAAACAAGTTGTGTCCTGTTATTTGAAAAGTGCCAAAAATATTGATTAACCTGAAACATTGAATAAAAGTTGATTGCTTCAAGCAAATAGTTTTGAAAGTCTCTCCAGTGCAGCTGGACTAACTTTGGAAAACAAATTTGGCATAACTGAAAGTTTGCAAATTCTTTAAGTAAACATGCCATTATTTGGCAGGATTATTACCTTCAAAGTTTTTGTTTTGATCCAGGCAATCAGATCCCTTCATTTTGAGGTTTTAAACATGCTTCTTATTATGTGAAAACATATAAAGTTGTAAAATTAAATAGCTATATCTTAAAAGTAAATATTTTAGATCTACTAACTGAACATGTTATTAGTAAATGTATAATTATTTTCTCATAGTGATCTCAACAAGAATTAGTAAATTTATAATTTTTTCCTCATAGTGATTTCAACATGACGAAATGTCTTTGTTCCGGGGTGGATGTGGACACACTAAACTTTTCAATGCAGATTAGAATTTTTTTAACAGCCAAATAGCCTTTATAATTAAGTTTCTACTGGCTGAGGTAATTATATACCATTGTATTAATGAATACTAGTTAGAATTCAGCTCAGAATACCCTGACATACTTAATATATTTAAATTACTGCATTATAGCCTGTCTCAAGAATAGTTTTCACACAAATAGATTTGATTCTTTTTTCAAGTGTGGGGGAAATCACACAAGTACTATGTACACACAAAATACTTTTCTTCATTAGAATATAAAGAGTATTCAGATTATTTTAAATTTTATTATAAAATCCTTTAAAAAGCCAGTCTTACAGAAGAGCAAATATTACTGTTACAATAAAAACTTACTCTATCTTTCTCTTTTTTGTTAACAGCTTTATTGAGATATCATTCACGTACAATTCAACCACTTAAAGTGTATAATTCAATTTTTTAGAATATTCTAAGTTTTGCAACCACCACTACATTAGTTATAAAACATTTTTATAACCCCTTAAAAATCTTTGTGCAAATTTCACCATTAACCCTCAGGTACCTAAGTCAGAAGTTCACACAAATACTTGTATATGGATGTTCATGACAGCATTACTCATAATAGCCAAAAGATGAAAACAACCCAAATTACCATCAACTGATGAGTGGATAAGCAAAACGTGGGACATTCTTACAATGGGAGTATTATTTGCTATGTACCTAAGAGTGGAATTTATGAATCATCTGGAAAATGTATGTTTAACTTCTGAGAAGTCACCAGTCTGTTTCCATAGCAGCTGCCCTACTTTATATTCCCACCAGCAGTTTATGATTATTCCAATTTCTCTACATCCATGTGAACACTTGATATAGTTGGGATATTTGTCCCTGCCCAAATCTCATGTTGAAATGGAACCCCCAATGTTGGAGGTGTGGCCTTGTGTGAGGTATTTGGATAGTGGAGGTGGATTCCTCATGAATGGCTTGTGCCATCCCCTTGATGATAAGTGAGCTCTTGCTCTGAGTTCACATGAAATCTGGTCTTTCAAAACTGTGTGGCACCTCCCTCCCACTCTTTCACACTCTTTGCTCCTGCTTTCATCCTGTGACATGCCTGCTACCCCTTTGCCTTCTGTCATGATTGTAAGCTTCCTGAGGCTACCCCAAAAGCCAAACAAATGTTGCCATTATGCTCCTAGTAAAGCCTGTAGAACTATGAGCCAATTAAACCTCTTTTCTTTATTAAATTTCTTTATTAAACTACCCAGTGTCAGTTATTCCTTTATAGCAAATCAAGAATGACCTAATACAGAAAATTGGTACCAGCAGTGGGTTATGGCTATAAGATACTTGTAAATGTAAAAGTAGCTTTGGAATTGGATAACAGGCAGAGGTTGGAAGAGTTTGGAGGGCTCAGAAGAAGACAGGAAGATGAGGGAAAGTTTGGAATTTCTTAGAGACTAGTTAAATGGTTGAGACCAAAATGCTAGAGACTAATGGACAGTGAAGCCCAGGCTGACAAGGTCTTAGATGAAAACATGGAATTTTTGGGGAACTGGAGCAAACGTCATGCATCCTATGCCTTAACAAGCAGCTTGACTGCATTCTGTGAATTTCCTAGGAATCTGTGGAAGTTTGAGTTGGCGGAAGAAATTTCTAAGCAGCAAAGCATTCAAGATGTGACTTGTTTGTTTCTACACTCAGATGTGGAAGCAAAGAAATGACTTAAAGTAGGCATATATAGTTAAACAGGAAATAGAGCATAAACGTTTGGAAAATTTGCAATCTGGCCATGTGGCAGAGGAAAAAAAAGGTTTTTCCAGAAGAGAAATTCAAGTATGCTGTGAAATAACCACTTGCTAGAGGAATTTGCATAACTAAAAAGGAGCCAAGTGTTAATATCCAAAAAAAAAAAATTGGGAAAAGTCCTTGAAGGAAGTTCAGAGACCTTTATGGCAGCCACTTTATGGCAGCACTACAGGCCAGAGGACCAGGAAGAATAAATGGTTTTGTAGGCCAAGCCCTGTGCTCTGTTGCCCTGTGTAGCCTCAGGACAATGCTCCCCACATCCTGGCCACTCCAGCACCAGCCTCAGCTAAAGGGACACAGGTACAGCTTGGGTGCCATTCTGGAGGGCACAAGCCATAAGCTTTGGTGGCTTCCATGTGGTATTAAGCCTACAGGTGCACAAATGCAAGAGTGGTGGATTCTTGGCAGCCTTCGCCTAGATTTCAGAGAATGTATGGAAATGCCTGGGTGTCCAGGCAGAAGCCTACTGCAGAGGTAGAAAACTCAAAGAGAAGCTCTACTAGGGCAATGACAAGGGGACATGTGGGGTTGGAACCCCCACACAGAGTCACCAGTGAGGCACTGCTTAGTAGAACTGTGAAAAGGGGGTCACAATCCTCCAGACCACAGAATGGTAGATCCACTGGCAGCTTGAACCCTGTGCCTGCCAAAGCTGTAGGCACTTGACAGTCTGTGAGAGCAGCCACGGAGGCTGTATTCTTCAAAGCTACAGGAGAAAAGCTGCCCAAGGCCTTGGGAGCCCACCCCTTGCACCAGTGTGACCTGGATGTGAGACATGATGTCAAAGGAGATTATTTTGGAGCTTTGACATGTAATGACTGCCCTGGTGGGTGTTAGACATGTGTGGGGCCGGTAGTCCCTTTCTTTTCACCAATTTCTCCCTTTGGAATGGAAATATTTACCCAATGCTGGTATCCCCATTGTATTTTGGAAGTAAATAACTTGTTTGATTTCACAGGTTATAGGTGGAAGGGACTTGCCTTGTCTCAGATAAGACTTTGTACTTTTGAGTTAATGGGGTAATGAATTAAGACTTTGGGAGATTATTGAGAGGGCGTGATTGCATTTTGCAATGTGAAAAGAACATGAGATTTGGGAGGGCCAGGGGTGCCGTGATATACTTTGGATATTTGCCCTCACACAAATCTCATGTTGAATTGTAATCCCCAGTGTTAGAGGTAGGGCCTAGTGGGAGGTGTTTTGATCATGGAAGCAGATCCTTCACGAATGGTTTGGGCCACCCCCTTGGTGATAAGTGAGTTCTCACTCTGAGTTCACACAAGACCTGGTCATTTAAAAATGCGTGGCACCTCTCCTCAACTCTCTCTCTCTTGCTCCTTCTTTCGCCATGTAACGTACCTGCTCCCCCTTCACCTTCCACGATGATTGCAAACTTCTTAACAGAAGCTGAGCAGATGTCATCAGTATACTTCCTGTAAAACCCAAAGAATTGTAAGCCAATTAAACCTCTTTTCTTTGTAAATTACTCAGTCTCAGGCATTTATAGCAATGCGAGAACAGCCTAATACAGCAGTTTTTATTTTCTGTTTTTTTCTTTTTAAATTATAGACATACTAGTGAGGATAATGTTGGTATCTCATTGTGCATTTGATTTGCTTTTTCCTACTGATTCATGGTGTTCAGCATCTTGCCATGTGTTTATTGGCCATTTTCATATATTCCCTGGATAAAAGACTTCATTTTTAAATTTCTTGCCCATTTTGTAATTGGGTTGTTTGTTTTTATATTGTAGATTTATAAGAGTCATTTGAATATTCTGGATTTAAATCTTTTATCAAAAATGATTTGCAAATATTTTCTCCATTATGTGGACTATCTTTCTATCTTTTTACTTTCTTGATTTTGTTTTTTGAGGCAGTTTTAAATTTTGATGAAGTCCAATATATCTATTTTTTGTTGTTGTTGTTGCTTGTACTTTAGATGCCATATCTAAGAAATCATTGCCTATTTCAAGATCATGAATATTTACATGTATGCCTTTTTCTAAGAGTTTTATAGTTTTAGCTTTTATACTTAAGTACTTTGAAATGTTAGTGGTCTTTGCAGTTATTCCTATTGTGCTGAGGTGGGAGTGATGAAGGACAAAGTGACTCATCGTTCAAATGTCACAGACTCTTGCTGTTCTTACAAAGTTTTAGTAGATTTTCTTGAATAAATGTTTCTTCGCTTGCTGTAAGCCCTTAGGTCAATTTACAGAGACTTTAACGTATATAGATATGGATAGATATAGGTAGATATAGATGGACATATCTATTTATGTACATATAATCTCTCTCTATCTGTATCAATATATCTATACCTATATGCATATTATTTTTTATTAATTATGATTCTTTCACCGGGGGTTGGGGCCATGGAGCTCCTCATGCTGCCATTCCATAAGAGGAACCTCTTTGTCTTTTAAAAAACAGAAATTTATTAATTTTGTAATGATAATCCTTGTTTGTTAGTATGAAATGTTTGCCTGCTTCATTGGGACAATTATTACTTATCTTGGTTTGTCTATAGTTATGTTACCTTTAAAATTTATATTTCTTATATGACGATATTGTTATACTTCTTAACGTGACAGGAACAGACCTATGTTTAAACCTGCACAGAAGAGTGGACTTAACAGATATTGATTATTTGCTCAACTTTTCTCCACTGCTTGAGAAAACATTATATGTTGTATTTCTTTGATGAGTAGTTTCTCCAGCACTCTGAAAAACATAATATTTGCCAGGCCTACCAAACATAAATTGACCCAGTTGCTAAAGGAATCTAGAAGTTGAGCTAGTCACTAAAGCTGTGTCAAATAGATTTTTGTCCTTGGACCTTTTTTCTACAGCTGAGAATGAGAGAGAGAGAGTTTTCTTTCAATTATGAACCATAAAATATGATATAAACCTAAAGCTGCCTTTGGTCATATCTCTATCTATATAGAGAAAGCTTCCATATGGTAAAAGAGAATGAGGCCAATCCACAGAAAAAGTAGACACTAAGTGAAGAGAAAGGAAAAGGAAGTGGAAATAGAGAGCAAATTAATAATATTGTTTGAGACTCTGAATATTCTTGCAGAGACCAGATCTAAACCTGACTTTCCTATATATATGAACCCATAAATATCCTTTCTGCTTAAGCTTGTTTGAGTTGGCTTTCTCTCATGTGCAACTGAGTTTTGACTAATATACGTATATGTACATTATAACTACAAATATATAAAATATCACATATATGTATCTTTCTGTACATATCAATAAAAATGTTCATACTAGTCCTTTTAATAAATCATAAATGTTAAAAACATCAGAAAACTGGCAAATTTCTGGTCAGGCACGGTGGCTCACGCCTGTAATCCCAACACTTTGGGAGGCCGAGGTGGGCGGATCACAAGGTCAGGAGATCGAGACCATCCTGGCTAACACGGTGAAACCCCATCTCTACTAAAAATATAAAAAATTAGCCGGGCGTGGTGGTGGGCAACTGTAGTCCCAGCTACTCAGGAGGCTGAGGCAGGAGAATGACGTGAACCCGGGAGGCAGAGCTTGCAGTGAGCAGAGATCGTGCCACTGCACTCCAGCCTGGGTGACAGAGCAAGACTCCGTCTCAAAAAATAAATAAATAAATAAATAAATAAATAAATAAATAACTGGCAAATTTCTGAAATCTATATATTTTAATTAGGTTATATTCAAAATCTCATTCTGTAGAGCAAATCATTCAGATTTTCTTTTTAAACATAATAGAATCAAATAGTAAGTAGTATTTCTTGAGGGCCCTTTGTACCAGCAGTGCCTTATACTGAAAATAAAATCCTATCACAATGCCTTAAAAAAAGACTGTGCCTTATTTGTGTTATATAATAAAATGTTCAGTATTACGCAGTTTAGGGATGATAATGCACACAATGCTGCCAGTGACCTAGAATTTTTCCACTTTTATCTTCTGCCATTCTCAATGGGTTGCCTTTTGCCCTTGTATTTGTGGTCACAAGGTAACTATTGTGTCTCCAGGCTTCACATCAATTTTTCAGTCAAGAAAAGAGAAGAGCAAAGAGGCAAAAGGAAAAAAGTGAATAAGTGATGGAAAATGTAGAGTGCGCATTTAGACATAAGGGTTTAGGGCCCAAGTTTGGACTTGGAAGTCACTGGTATACAAATAGTAATAAATCCATGGGTCTGGATGAGATGAACTATGGAAGGAGTGAAGAGTGAAAAGATAAGGGGGCAGAAAAGAATTCCAGATAATATCACCAATTATAATTCAGGATCCAGATCGCCAATAAACATATGAAAAGATGCTCAATATTATTACTCATTAGTAAAATGCAGTTTAAAACACAATGACATAGCACACATATGCATATACACACATCTCACACGCATTCAAATAGGTAAAATTCAAATGAATAAAAATACCATGTGTTGGCAAAAAGGTGGAGCAACTTGAACACTCATACATTGCTAGTAGAAGTGTAAAGTGGTAAAAAAAAAAACTGTGTTAGAAAACTGAAAAAAAATTAAAATTCATCAACTGTGTTTAATCCATTGAGTTTCTAATTGTATTAAACAGGAAAATGCTGATTACCTTCTGAGGATCACAGAGAAATTATTCAATATTTTGAAAATTAAGTAGTTAAATAGAATAAATCATATATTCGTACTGCTTTTCTTATATAAACTTTGCCAATTGATAACCAAAAAGTAGATGAAGGGAAGTGTCTCCTTACAACATTCTCCCAGTGAATAAATGAACGGAAAATAATTGAATTAATATATCAATTTGTTTAACCTAGCAATGAATTAATTGATCTATGCTTTGAATACCAATGCTTGCTAACATAAGAAGAGAGACAGAAAAGGAGAGCGAGAGATACAGGCATTACCATTCTCCTGATAAAAAAACACAATACCACTTCTATTCTCACTAAAGTGTTTGAATCTGCCGATTAAACTCCAGATCTAGCTACCAATTTTCAGAAAGCATAGAGGACCGAAGAATGTTTTGAACTACACCATAATAATGCAATCAACAAAATCTAGACCGTGGGAAAGTCTACAATTCTCATAGCTTGGGTTCTTCAGCAAGTAAATAATAAGGAGAGGAAGGGAAGTATAAGGAAATATATTAATTGTAAGACAGATACAATATATCATATTTTCTCATTTATTGCCTATTTTTAAAATTGGCAAAACTAAACTATAATGCACACTCGATTGATAAAACCATCAAGAAAAGCAAGCAAATAATTTATATAAAAGAATAGTGGTCAGTTGTAGATGGAGTGGGGACTGTGATTACAATAGGCCATATAAAGGGAGGTCTTGGGTAATTGAACAACTTCTATTTCTGGAGCTCGTTGGTAAAAAGAATGATTGTTTTATAGTACACATTTGTTTAATATGTTTTTCTTTATTTTATTTTAAATAAGAAAATGAAAATAAAGAAAATAATTTTAAAAAATTAAAATTTTAAAAACAGAAGTGAAATAAAGTCATTTATTAAAAAGCCAAAAACAAAGACTTTCACCAGCAATTCCACACTAAAAGAAAAATTAAAGATAACTCTTTAGGTAGAATAAAAATGATCTCATATAGAAAATGAAAATTCAGGAGGAAATTCATAACACTGAGAAAAGTAAATATGTGAATAAGTATAAATAAATATTTACTCTTGCATCAATAAGTACATGTTATAAGAAACTTAAAATATATATTAAAATAGTATATTGAGGGGATGGAATAAATCGATTTAAATATTCTAAGTTCATATAAGTATCATAGAAGTGGTACAAATATTAATACTTATTAAACCGTGATGATTAATGGCTATGGGTTGTGATCTTCAGGGTAATTATTAGAAGAATAGTAAAATAACATTGACTATAAAGTTTCTACAAAGAAAAATAAAATAACAGAAATACTTGATTAGTCATAAAAAGGAGGAAAAAAGAAGGTGAAAAGAAGAAACCTAGAACAAATTTTCTAAGCAGAAAGCAAATAATTAGATAGTAATATAAATCCAAAAATATAGAAGTTACATTAAATGAAAATGGACAAAATACTCTGAGTAGAATATTAAGTTATAATAATTGATAAAAAGATAAGACCCAATTGTACGTTACTTAAAAAATGCAAAACTTAAATTTAATGACAGAGCACGTTTAAAGGAAAATGAAATCCATATACCACGTGAACACTAATTGAAAGTTAAGAAAGATAAGAACAGAAATCAGTGAATTAGAAAGCAATGATAAAATAGATAACATCATTAACATGTTTTGTTCTTTAAAACATTAATATAGATAATAAATCTCTAGAAAGACTGGTTAAAAAAAGGGAGAATAAGGAACATCATAACATACTATAGACATTCAAGATTATGATAGATTATTAGAGTGACTTTATACAGATCCTTTAACAATTTGCATGAAATAGAATATCTTTCAAAAAATATGAGCCGTCAAAGCTGACAGAAGATATTGAATATCCTTATACACTGAATCCTTTTGAAAGAAGTGAATCTGCTGTTAATTTTTTTCATACAGACACATATGCATGTACATGCACATACACACACACACATACACACACACACACCCCTTTAGGCTCAGGTGAATTTATTAATAAATTCTTACAAATATTTAACAAAGAAATAGCACCAATTTTTTTCAAACTCTTCTAGAAAATAGAAGAATAGTTCCTCACTTTATTTTTAAAGAACAGCATAACATCAATTCCATAATCTGAGTATGGCAGCAAAGTAAATGTAATCCATGTCTCTCTCATTTCCATAGTTGCAAAAAGTAGGAAAATATTAGCAAATTGAAATCATACAGTATAAGAAAAATACATTACATCCAACTGAAGTTTATTTTAGTTATTCAAAAACGGCTTAGTATTAGAAAATCAGTTACACCAACAGAAAATAAAAGACCTTTGGAAATTCATAGAATCATTCTGTTTGATGAAGACAAAGCATTTGAAAAAAATCAGCATCTCTTCATGGTAAATCTCTAAGCAAATTAAGGCTAGAAAGAATTTTTTTAAATCAGATAAACGACATGTGTTGGTTGTCTACTGCAGCCATAAAAATGTCCACAATTTTAGCAGCTTAAAACAACACAAATTATTTCACAGTTTCTGTGTTCAGATGTCTGGGTGGACTTGGCTGAAATTAAGACATTGGCAAGGCCTCGTTCCTTACTGGGAGCTTGGAAAAGGATCAGATTTCAAGCTCACTCAGGGTTTTAGAAAAATACAATTCGTTGTGATTGTAAGACTGAGATTCCTATTTCCTTGCTGGCTTTTACCTGGGGGTGTCCTTAGCTTCTAGAGGCTGCTATCTAGTTCTTATAAATGGTCCTAGTACAATGGTACATTGAATCCTTCTCATTCTTGCAATCTCTCTGAGTTTCTTTTCTTCTGCATTTTTCCCTACCTCCTCTCACATTTCATCTCTTTAACTCTAGTCAGAGAAAGTGCTCTGCTACTAAGGGCTCATGTGATTAGATTGGGTCCACCCAGATAATCTAGGTAATCTCCCTATTCTAAGACCTGTAGTCTTAATTACATCCCTATTTCCATATAATCTAATATATTAATGGGTTCCAGAGATTAGGACATGAACATCTTCTTGAAATATCATTCTGTCTACCACAGGGTGTAGTGAATTCTCATAATTTTATATTGCCTCAACATCCATTTTGAATATGAATTGGACTTTCTCATACCAGAAGGAGGGCTTAGTCACCCTTGACACAGTTTCCAGTTCTCTCTCTGCTCTGTTCCTCCATGTGGTCTATCTAGATATTTACCTTATACGACCATCATCTGGTGACCACCTCTGTGTGGACAGCAAGATACAACCTACTTGACTTGCCCCACTGACCCCATGCCTCAAATGGACTGCACAGATACACCCAGTGACCTCTTAGTCACAGCATGGATCCATGGAACTTGTGCCTGCTTGCTCTAAACTTACAAATTAGAACTCCCTGCAGGAAATCTACTTGGGTAATGCTCTAAATTGCAGTAAATGTTGGCCCACAGGTCCATCTCTCTCTCTCTCCTTCTCTGTCTTGCATCCCACCTGCCGGTTGAGCATACATGTTCCAGAAGTCTCTTCCCTTCCTGTTGGCCCTGTGAGGTGTGCTGCCTTCTTCCCTCTGGGATCTGTAAGTAATACAATGCTTTTTTTATTTCATGTACTTTGTTGAGTTGTCTCCTCTGTTTCTCATTTTAGTGACACACCCGAACTTAACTTTTTCTTGGTCAGGGCTCTCCGTCTCTCTTGGTAGGAATAAACTAGAAACAAATCAGACAGGAGCCACAGGAGCATTTTGTAAGTATAAACAAGTTTCCTGTGAGAGGAGCACCTGGTGATGGGTCAGACACTTAGACATTATGCCATTCACCAGGATAAAGAAGTATGCTATGAAAGACACACTGTAAATACCCATGAACAAATCTCTTCGAAATCCATCAGGACAGGGCTAGAATTTAGACCCACTCTTCAGAGAGAGGCCTCAAGACCAAATTAGAAGAAAAATATGATGTAGGGCATCTACAAAACCCCTGCAGTACATATTATACTCAATCAGAAAATTTTGGAAACTTTTTTACTGAACTTTGGAATGTGATAAAGAAGCTTGTTATCACCACTTTTATTTGGGACTTTATTAGCAAAGCCAGTCTGTCCAAGAAGAAAAGAAAATAAATAAAACATATAAGGTTTGGAAAGGAAATAATAAAACTCTCATTACTTGTAGATGGCATGATTATGTATCTAGAAAATCCAAAGGAGTCTATGTAGCAACATCATACAAGTCAAAATATATTTTCATGAAATATACCATCCAACATTGCTTGTGGAAATATAAAATGATGCAGCTGCTGTGGAAAGTACTATGGCAGTTTCTCAAAAAGTTAACTATAGAATTGCCATATTTTCCGGTAATTCCACTCTTAGGTATACACCCACAATAATTGAAGACAGGGACTTAAACAGATACGTTTACACCATTATTCGTAGCAACACAATAGCTAAAAGGTAGAAACAACCCAAATGCCCATCAAAAGATTACCTGATAAACAGAATGAGTTCTATACATATAATGCAATATTGTTCAACCATAAAGAGGAATGAAACTCTGATACCGGCTACAATATAGATGAACCTTGAAGACATTATGCTAAGGACAATAAGCCAGACACAAAAGGACAAATGTTGTATGAATCTACTCATATGAGGTACCTAGAATAGTAAAAGTCATAGAGAAAGAAAGTAGAAAGGTGGCTACCAGGGGCTGGAGAGAGAGTCCCATGGAGAGTTACTGTTTAATAGGTACAGAGTTTTAGTTTTTGAAGGCAAAAGAGTTCTGGAGATTAATTTCACAACAGTGTAAATATACTTAACACTACTGAACTGTACCCTTTAAAAATGGTTAAGATGGTAAATTTTATTCTAAGTATATTTTTTCACAATTAAAATTTAAGAAATCTAAAAAAATCTAAATTGTACTTTAAAACTATGTCAAATGAAAGATTTGCAAGACATCTATATTGACAAATGAAAGAATATAATTAAGAGAAACTAGAAATAGAGGGATATGTGATAATGGATTAGAAAATTCTACACTGTAAATGTGTCAATTTTTCCAAATTATTCTACAAATTTAATGCCGTCACAATAAAAATATTAGCAGGGTTTTTGAGATAATTTTTCAGTTGATTATGAAACTCAAATGAAAATGCAAAAGATCAAGAGCAGACAAGGGTATATTGAGTAAGAAAACAAAGCTTGAGGACATAAACTACCAGTTATTGAGATATATTATAAAACAATGGGAACTGAGGCAGTATGATACTGTCACAAGCATAAAGAAATGAACTAATGGATCAGATGAAAGAACAAAGAAACAGACCCATACATATACAGTCGCCTGACTGACAAAGGTGATACTGTAATACAATGGAGAAAGAAGGGTCTTTTCAGTAAATTGTACTTGGTGAATTGGATATCCATATGGAAAGTATTTATTTAGGACAACACTACTGGTTATCAAAAGGTAATCCACAGAATCTTTGGGGTTCCTGAGATCCTTTGAGGAGATCCTTGACGTAAGAACTATTTTCATAACAATATTAACACACTCTTTACCTTTTATACCATGTTGACATTTAAAATGATGGTGCAAAAAGAAAGGATAGGTAAAACTGGCTATACCTTCGCACCAGTCAAGTCAGTGGCAGCAAACTTTACCAGTGGTCATTGTATTATTTAACACCCTGTATTCACAGTAAAAACAAAAGCCAGTTTTATCTAAGAATGGCTTTGATGAAGCACTCAAACTTATTACTTTTACTAAATATCAATTTTTAGTACCTATTTTTTAATATTTTGTGTGACCAAATGGGAAATACATATAAAGGACCTCTGCTGTGTACTAAAGCCTAATAATAGTTGTCTCAAAGAAAAACACATGTGTGACTGAGTTGCCAGCTGAACTAACCATTTTTTTTACATGGTACAACATATTTATCTTAAAGGATAATTGTCAAACTGTGGTTATTAAGACTACTATTGGGTGAGCAAATTGCTGAAACTGAATGAAGTCAGCCTGTCAATTGAAAATAAAATTTGATCTTTCAAGTGAAATTTGGAATTTTGAAAAACTTTTATGTACCACTGTTAACCTGATATCTTTATAAAATTTGATCTTTCAAGTGAAATTTGGAATTTTGAAAAACTTTTATGTACCACTGTTAACCTGATATCTTTCAACTACTTAAACATTTTTGTGATGAGATCTGTGATGTTATTAACTAATGTGATTTTTGATACTATATAAATAAATGTGTCAACATTTGAAAGATCTGCATAAATCAATGAATAAATATTTTAAAAATTATCAGTATAAGATGGTACAAAAATCACTCATGGATAAAATATTCGTTCAATGTGCAACATATATCAATTACTTTTAAAGCAACGAAGTACAAAAAGTTCATTGCTAGTTCTTCAGATTCCTATTTTAACTAGTCTTTAAGAAACTACCACATGTCAAGTGTAATATTAAAGAATATCCACAATTATATCAGAAAATTAATAAAATACTTTTCTTCCTCCCCTTTCCAACTAAAATCTGTGTGTGACTAAATTTTCTTAGTAAACTTCAACCCAAACCACAAAGCATAACAGATTGGAGAAGCAGATATGAGAATTCAGATCATTTATTTCTTTTTAAATTTATTTTTTCAGAGACAGGGTCATGCTTTGTTGCCCATGATGGACATGAATTCCTGGGCTCAAGCAATCCTCCTGCCCCAGCCTCCAGAGTAGCTGGGACTATGGGCACACACCATGGAGCCTGGCTTGAGAATACAGCTATTTTCTATTAAGCCATATGTTGAAGAGTTTTTCAAAAATGTAAAAACAATGTTGCTCTCCTCAGTAAATAGGCCTTTTGTTTTATAAAATATAATTATTTTTCACAAAACATGCTGTATTAACATGTAATTTTATTATTATTTTAATAGAATAAATATTCTAAAATTTTCTTTTTTATTTTTTATTATGGTAACTATCAATAGATATAACCCACATAAACAAAAGCTCTTTGCAGTCTTCACTGGTTTTTAAGATTGTAGATAATTATTGAGACTGAAATATAAGAGAATCACTGCCATACAACAAAACCATTTCAATTGACTTAATATATAATAATGAATGATAAAAATTAAATTGGGAGGAAAATATAGAACATTTTCATGACATTAGAAGAAGCAAATATTTCTTAACATACAAAAAGTTACTAGCCTTAGAAGAAAAATATGGAACACTGGACTATATTAGAATTAGGAAATTCTCGTCATCAAAAGAAACCGTTAGAAATGTAAAAAGGTAACCCATTTACAGTATAGGAAGTGATATTCATAACGTATACATCCAACAAAGGACTCACCCAAAACACATGAAAAAAATGTTATAACTCAACGAGAAAAAAGACAGACAATAGAAAAATGGGCAAAAGCCTTGAGCAGATGTTTCACAAAATTACCCATCTGCTGGAGGTAGGTCTTTCACAGGCTCTTAAGACCTTTGGTTTTATCTCAGTAGCCACAACTTTTCAAAGCATAGTCCAAGGCCCACTTGCGTCAACATCACCTGATAGACTTGTGAAAAAGGAAGAATTATTTTTACCATTCTGTGGGGATGGTATCCAAATCACTGGGCACTCCACAGTTTTTGACATCTTTCATGTGATTGTTATACATTCTAATTGCTTTTGTTCATCTGGAGCCCTGGAACACTGTTGTTATTTTTGTTTTTAACATCATCATCATTTGGCGCTAAGGTTGTTTGTTTCCAATCATATCTAACAAAGTGCAGGGTGAAAATTCACAATATATTTTCTCTCGGAGAAAAATTGAAAGGAGTGATGATTACCACAAAATAAGTATCCAAAAGGCAACCTGGAAGTCACTGTTGATCATACAAAGACCATTTGTAAAGGTATGCTGATATGAAATCTGTGGTAGGTAAGGGTATGTGAGTGGTATAGGCCTGAAGTTTTTAAAGTGTAGTCTCTGGACCAGTCGCATATGAACAACCTCAGGTCTCCTGAAAAATGCAAATTCTCTGGCCCCGCATCACAATTATTGACTCAGAAATGCTGTGGGTAGGCCCCAAAATTTGTGTTTCAACAAGGTCTTCAGTTGATTCTGATGTATGCTCAAATTCGAGAATAACTTATAGAGGCCGTTATTTTGAGAAATTTAGCTATGAATGCAAGATACCTACACATATTTAAATACTGTTGAAAAAGAGTCTATACTAGAGACGTGGTTGAAAATATAATAATACAAAGGAATTTCCACTGGATAATGTTCTTGAGCAGACATGAGATGATGGAATCCAATCATAATTCAAAGTAGAGGGTTATTTATGAATTGTAATAAAAATGAAAGGTAAAAAGGATGGGTTCAGATAATAACAGCTAAAATTTATTGAATCCTTCTTATAGGCCAAATACTGTCCTAATATATTTACAAAGCTAAATTCTTTTATTGTTCTAACAGTTTTATGTAAGGCTAGTATTATCTCTATCTAGCTGATGAGAAGATAGAATTAAAGAGAGGTTAAATTACTTTCCTCAAATCACACAGCTAGTAAGTGACAATGCTAAGTTTCAGACATAGGAGATCTAGATTTAGAGCTTATGTTCTTAACCATTATGCTATGCTATATCTTAGATTCAGATAGGTTTTCAGGTGTGATATATGGAAGTTAAGAGTATTTCTATCCAATGGCTTCTATTTTCTCTGTGAAATAATGTGCTGAAAGTGAGTGAGGAGGACACATTAGATATTTGAAGTTAATGGAACTAATTTTAAAATAATCACTGTAAGACATGGGAGGGCAAACAGAAACAATTATACATTATAAAACGGCCAGAGTAGCTGGGGACTTATTTGAGGTTCATGATCATGAATTTAGAATCCTACCCAAATCCTGGTCATATTATTTCCTCTGACAGCAATCAGCTGTCTTTGTGTAGGCACAGAGATGGTAGACATTGTTTTACCCAGGGTTGGAATTTTGCCAGAAATTATGAAGAGAAGATGGAGAGTCAGGATGTTTCCTGGGTTGGCCCTAGGCATATGGAAATGATAGACAATGACCTGTAAGTTGGATATAGATGTAAGTTAAAATAAAATTACTTGTAATATCAAGAAAGTAAGAAAAGAAAAAAAAAATCCACATAATCTCACAGCTATTTTTAATTCTCTGTTCTCTGGCAAGTCTTAAGCCATATGTACGAATATTTTACATCATTTAAGCATACTGTGCCTTCAATTTTATGCTGTTTCTTCACTTAAAAACAGTTTTATTCATTTGCTAGAGTTTTTATTTATAATTTTTAATAGATACTTTGCACATGTGATGTAACATAACCTACTTATTTTTTCTCCCATGTGAAACCATTAATGTCTCCAATTTTCTAATACAAAGATCTATACATTTTTGTATAAAGGGAATTTTTCTTCTTTTTTGAATAGGTTTCTTAAAGCAATTCCTTGAATAAGATTATTAAAAGAGAGGATATGAGTAATTTTATGTCTCTTGATACATTAATGAAATTTCGAATACCTATCCAGAATAATTGTGCCAATTTCCCTCACCACCAGAAAGGTATGACTATGCCAGTTTCTCTATTCTGCTCCCGTATTATTAAGCTTAAAAAATACTTAAAATACTTTTCTAATTGAATAAAAGACTAATACTTTGCTCTTATTGTAGTGACTATTACATTTATTGTTAGTCAGATGAAAAAGTTTCCACATGGTTGTTTGCCTTATACACCTCCTTTAGAATGAAATGACTTTTCATGTCTTTTGCTTATATCTAGTATATCTATTAGGGTCTTGGTGTAGTTCTTTTCTGAATAAACTTTATAAAAAGTAGATAATAAAATCCTTCATCTCAGATATAAAATAATAGATTCTTGCAAAATGAAGTGTGAATTCTCAGTAGTTCTGAGTGTCCATTTTATTGCTTCAGTTCATATTCAAATTTATAGCTTTGAAAATATTCATGTATTAGCATGACTTTCCCACATGGCAGCTTAGGGATATTTTGCAATATTAAATAATTTATGTAAGCCTTAAATTTGCAATTATGGAAGTATAGATATAACACATATGAAGTGTGATATTGATTTACATTAAAGAATAGAATTATTAATAGTTTTCCTTATAAAGATATGTTAAAAAATACACTTACATTTATAAAAATGTGATACAATTAAAATTTTATTTGTTTACATTTGATTTAAAATTTTACTATTCATTAAATTTAATTTGTATTATCATTTAAATATAACAAATGTTTTGAATATTTTAGATGATAAATAATTTGTTATAACTACATATAAAAAGTAAATTTAGTTTTAAAAATTTTACATTTACTTTTTATATTTTGATAAAATATTCTCAAATGTACTTTGAATATAATGCCATTTTATTTTTTAATTCTTTAGATTACAAATTTCTAATCATGTGAAACAATTATGACACAGTGATTTTACTGAAATAAGAGAAAGAAAAATGCATTTTATGGAATTAAGTACAATTTTTGTATTACATATATAACTAATGCAAACATTGCTAACCCAACATCAGAATAATAATAATGTCAGCTTTGATATTTTGCCGACTTTCAGTCATATAAGAATGATAGTTTTACCCATATTTTAAAAATTTGTCACTGTGATGATATTTTTGCTTGTTATATTGGTTTATAAATTGTAAATATTTATAATATGGTATGTGGACTTTTATTTGTACTCTTGCTCCAGACCCCACACATATTAGGGGTAGGTCAACATATAGTAGTTATTTAATAAAGTTATTAAATATACAATTGAACAGTCACACTTTAAGTAAAGACATCTACTTATTACAGAAGTAAAATGTTCACTCTCTTGAGTTCCAAGTATTTTTTTCAAAGCCATCGCTCAATTAGAGTGGTCTTTTCTATTGTGGCAAATAACTAAAAGAAGTCTACACAAAAAAACCATAGAGATTTCAAACCTTGGTAAAATAAATTAACAGAAAATCTAAACACTAATGCAGAGTATTTTTCTGAGCCCCTTTTCTTCATATTTATATTGCTTTAGCATTCTCGTCCAACAGAATCTAAGACTTGATGATTGTCAAACTTTTTGTGCTTCTCTTCTATAAAGTTGTGTTGGAATACATGTAAGAATAAATTTTCTTTTTTTAAAGATGCAATAATTACTTTTAGAAAAATGTAATGTGTAGTATTTAAAGCAGTAGGTTGAGAATCACACATATAAAAGAAACCAAAGTCCACTGATGAGGGAAATAGTATGTAACAAAAACTGCAACTGCTGGAACTAAAGCCCAGTGCATATCCCAATATTACAATATTCAAGCACATTTAATGAATAGTCAGAAACTGTGTTTTTATTTAACATGTAGCATAATCTCGTATGCCTCAGTTAGGTGACATTGCTCAGCATTCACACTTCTGTTTTTACGGGCAATTTATTGCAAAATAAAATCCCCAATTTTAAACAACTTTACATTCTAAGTAGTTTTGGTCATTCTAAAGTGAAAAACAACCACGATGCAGGGCTTGTTTTGTTACTTTTTTTCTGTTGTTTCAGGTACTGAGATGCATCACCAACAATAATAATTTATCTTTACTATTCTTTCTTTACAAAATTACCAAAACTGAATGGGAAAATCAGTAATGCAATAGGTGATTATTATTCTTCTTTTTTATTATTTTTATTTTTTATTATTTCTTTTGGTATTTTATTTTACTCTGGACTAGTGAATAATGTGATCGTAGATTTTCCGCAGTTTTCTATTTCATCTAAAGCCCTAACACAAAATAAAATGATATGATAATGGGTAGATCGAAGTTTTCTGAGACCTGAGGCTTAAAAATTTTTAGAGATTTTATTTTTTTAAAGATATCAATTACAATTGAGTATGTAAACTAAGCACAAAAGTTAATATATATTCAAAATGACTAAGTAACTTGCAATACATTACACATTAAAAAACTTGTCAAATATCACAAACATAATTGAGAAAAAGAAAGCAAAATGTTTCAAGTGATTTTCCACAATACTTCTATAATATTTTTTCTGTATGTTTTTCTCTGTATAATCGCTAATCGCTTGTAAACATGAAAAATTATTTTGTCATAGTTTATATAGAGAGAATAAGAAGGTAAAAAAAGCCTTTATTATAATATGATTAATTTTAGATGATTGATCTTTCCTGGTTATTTGATGAGTTTCCTTGGGAGGGGGTCTTCAGAAGATTGCATTTCTTTTGAAAACAAGTTTTCTTACTCAGATAAGGAAATTCCAGAGAGTCTCTCTCTGCACTTAGTGAAGAATGGGGGTAGTGGGGGCAGGTATTGGGGGAACAGTGGACAATAAGACAAGGTTAAAAAGACCTTGATTCTGAGGCAGCTTGAAAGGCCTCTCAGCATGTAAAAGTGCCAGTCTTTGGGGTATCCCTTTTTGAGCTCAACACTGATGAACTAGGCTTTTAATTTTCATTTTGTTTCATTCTAAGATAAATTCACAAAAACAAAAATCACTAAGAAAGAAGTTTATCCCTCAAGGGAAATAAAATATGTTTGGTTTACTTTTTTTGTGATACGTAGTATTTTATTATTTGGGAGTAGGAGATTTGTTTCTTTGCTCCTGAAGTACCCAGGGTTGCAATGGCTTGCTATTACTTTCATACCCTCAGGTTGTTTCATTCCCCCATTTTCTTCTCCTCTATGAAGAGGGCATTTAATTCTCAATCATCTGGCCTTTCTTTGAGTTGATATATTGTATGATTCTCATGCATACATGTGCATCTAATATATTAGTTATGCTTTAAAAATAATAATAATATAATTAATCCCAGTTTTTATAATTTTGATAATTTAGAACAGTTTCTTTCAATATTATAACTCATTATTGTCAATGTCATTTAAATTTTAGGGTTGCTATCAGACTTGGGAAACCTCTGTCATATATTTTTCATATGTTAGATGTAAGATTTCAAAGGCATTTCAAGTTTTCCTGTGCAGTAGCAATGCCTAAGTAACCTTAGAATTGACAGCATTTATTATCCGGTTTGCCAACAATGTCCTTGTTTTACTGACAGATTTTGAGTTTTGTGTTACTTTTATCAACGTCAGTAATTCACATCAAATCAGCAAAAAATTTAAAGATTTTTTCAGTGTGGTCATTTGATTAATTCCTCATTAATTAAATTGTCAAAAAATCCAATAGCCTATTTATTATTTTGATTCAAACCTTATCCCTTCTTCTTAATGAATTATTGCTTTGGTCTGATCTGAATTTATTTTTTTAATTTTAATTTTATTTTTTGAGACAGAGTCTTGCTGTGTCACTGAGGCTAGAGTGCAGTGGCGTGATCTAGGCTCACTGAAACCTCTGCCTCCTGGGTTCAGGGGATTCTCCTGCCTTAGCCCCTCGAGTAGCTGGGATTACAGGTGCATGCCACCATGCCTGGCTAATTTTTTGTATTTTTAGTAGAAGTGGGGTCTCACCATGTTGGCCAGGCTGTTCTCGAACTCCTGACCTCGGGTGATCCACCCGCCTTGGCCTCCCAAAGTGCGGGATTACAGGCGTGAGCCACAGCACCTGGCCTGAATTTGTTTTTATGATTCACTTCATGATATCAGAATAATTTCTATTATGTCATTCTATTTTGTTTTCATAATCTGTTAATTATTTTTATTTGAATTTTCTTTAATAAATGTTAAGATTGTAATAAAAGATATCTGTTATATATGTCTAAATCAAGACTTCATTATGTCTCATTTGCTGAATTGAAACATTTCGCATTGCTTTTCCAAATTGCAGTTAAAATGGCATACCCTCAATTCAACTTCTCCTTAGTTGTATCCCCCAAATAACATGTGAGAAAAGGAAAAATGAAGTTGTAAAAATAATGATCAAAATAGATTGTGGTTAAAATATCTTCTATGTTAAAATTTAGCAAATAAATATCACCATGTGAACACAATACTAGGGCCCATCACAGTATAAATTAGATTCATGGCAAATCAGCCTGATCTGACAAAAAAAAATTTTTTTTAATGCTGCTAGGGGCTTATTGTCATGCTGTCAGTTGTCTTATATTAATGCTAATAAAGTTTTCCTCACAGTGTTTGTAAGGTGATTTTTCTTCATGATTTCATATAATCTAAAATCTTAGTAGAAGGAATCTCAAGATATCAGCTGGTTTAGGCACTTGCACATAGTCATGTAAATTATTACTAAGCCAAATTAAGTGACAAGGCGATGAGGTTCATGGATTTTCTAGGACTTATTCAAGGTTACACACAAATACACACACACACACACTCCAATGTGATTAGGATTTAGAAATTATTACTTAGACCTGTTAAATAGTCTTATCTGGGGAAGACCAAAGTGCCAAGATTGTTTCAATCAGGAATCAAGAGAAGAAAAGTTACAACAGTAAAAACCTGAATAAGTAGTTCTATTTCCGTTTACAAAATGATAATAAATATTCACTGTAGAATATTAATTAAATATAGTAAGCAAAAAGAAGAAAATAAATTGACCCCATATCCTAGCTATCAGAGATAATCATTATTGCCATGTTATTATATAGCCTTCAAATATTTGAGCTATTTTCAAGTTTTAGTTTCTTTATTTAAATTTAAAAAATGTTTAACTCTTGTGGCTACATATTAGTTGTATATATTTATGGGGTACATGACATGTTTTAATACAGACATGAAATGTGAAATAACCACATAATAGAGAACAGTGTATCCATTCCCTCCAGCATTTATCTTTTGAGTTACAAACAATCCAATCACATTCTTTAATTTAATATATACAGTTAAGTTATTATTGAATATTGTTGCCTTATTGTGCTATCAAATAGTAGGTCTTATTCATTCTATTTTTTGTACCCATTAACCATCACCACTTCTCCCCCAACTGCCACTACCCTTCCCAGCCTCTTAACCATCCTTCTACTTTCTATGTCCATGAGTTCAATTGATTTGATATTTAGATCCCATAAATAAGTGAAAATATGTGATGCTGTAGTTCTGTGTCTGGCTTATTTCATTTAACATTATGATATCCATTTCCCTCCATGTTGCCTCAAATGACAGAATCTCATTCTTTATCATGACCGAATAGTACTTCATTGTGTATATACACTGTATTTTTTTAATCTATTCACCTGTTGATGAACACTTAGGTCACTTCCAAATCTTCGCTATTGTAAATAGTGCTGCCACAAACATAGCAGTGCAGATATCTCTTTGATATACTAATTTCCTTTCTTTGGGGTAAATACCCAGCAGGATTGCTGGATCTTATGGTAGCTCTATTTATAGTTTTTTGAGGAACCTCCAAACTGTTCTCCAAACTGGTTGTACTAATTTACATCCCCATCAACAGTGTACAAGAGTTCCCTTTTCTCCACATCCACACCAGCATTTGCTATTGCCAGTCTTTTTTTTATGTAAGCCATTTCAATTGCACTTCTCAGATGATCAATGATGTTGAGCACATTTTCATATACCTGTTTGCCATTTGTATGTCTTCTCTGTAGAAATGTCTATTCATACCTTTTGCCTATTTTTTCATCGGGATAATTAGATTTTTTCCTATATAGTTGTTTGACCTCCTTGTATATACTGCTTATTAATCCCTTGTCAGAAGGGTAGTTTGCAAATATTTTCTGGCATTCTATGGATTTTTCTCTTCACTTTGTTGTTTCCTTTGTTGGGCAGAAGCTTTTTAACTTGATGTGATACCACTTGTCCGTGTTTGGTGTGGTTGCCTGTACTTGTGGGGTATTACACAAAAGGTCTTTGCCCAGACCAATGTCCTGGAGATTTTCCACAATATTTTCTTACAGTAGATTCATAGTTTGAGGTCTTAGAGTTAAGTCTTTAATCCATTTTGATTTGACTTTTGTATAGGGTGAAAGATAGGGGTCTAGTTTTATTCTTTTGCATATAGATATCCAGTCTTCCCAGCATCATTTATTGAAGAGACTGTCTTTTTCCCATTGTATTTTCTTGGCAGCTTTGTCAAAAATGAGTTCACTCTAGGTGTGTAGATTTGCTACTGGGTTCTCTATTCTGTTCCATTGGTCTATGTGCCTGTTTTTATGTCAGTATTATGCTGTTTTTCCTACTATAGCTCTGTAGTATAATTTGAAATCAGGGAATGTGATGCCTCTTGTTTTGTTCTTTTTTGCTTAAGATAGTTTGGCTATTCTAGGTCTTTTGTGGTTCCATTTAAATTTTAGGATTGCTTTTACAATTTTTGATAAGAATTTCATTGGTATTTTGATAAGGATTGCATTGAACCTCTAGATGGCTTTGTGTAATATGGACATTTTTACAATATTCATTCTTCCAGTCCATAAACATGGAATATCATTCCATTTTTGGTGTTCTCTTCAATGTCTTCCATTAGTGTTTTATGGTTTTCATTATAGAGAACTTTTTTTGGTTATGTTAATTCCTAGGTATTTAATTTGATTTGTGGCATCATAAATGAGATTACTTTTTGTTTCTTTTTCAGATTGTTCACTGTTGATATATAGAAATGCTATTGATTTTTGTTTGTTGATTTTGTATCCTGAAACATTATTGAATTTATCAGTTTTAATAGTTTTCTTGTGGAGTCTTTAGGTTTTTCCAAAGATAAGATCATAACATCAGCAAACAAGGATAATTTGACTTCTTCCTTTCTAACTTGGATGCCCTTTAGATCTTTCTCTATTCAAATCTTTTGTCCATGTTTTCATTGGATTATTAGACTTTTTCATATAAAGTCATTTGACCTCTCGTCTGATTGCTCTAGCAAGGACTTCCAGTACTATAGTGAATAACAGTGGTGACAGTGGGCATCCTTGTAATGTTCCAGATCTTAAAGAAAAGACTTTCAGCTTTTCCTTATTCATTGCGAAACCAGTTGTGGGTATCTCATATAATAGCTTTTATTATGCTGAGGTATTTTCCTTCCACCACCAGGTTTTGAGGTTATTTATCATTAATGGGTGTTGAATTTTATCAAATATGTTTTCAGCTCAATTGAAATGATCATATGGTTTTTAACCCTTCATTTTCTTGGTATGATGTATCATGTTGATTGATTTGTGTATATTGAACCATCCTTGCATTTCAGGGATAAATCCCACTTGGTCGTGATGATTGATGTTTCCAATGTATTGTTGAATTCTGTTTGTTAGTATTTTATTAAGTATTTTTGCATCAATACTCATCAGAAATATTGGCCTGTAGTTTTCTTTTCATGATGTGTCTTTGTCTGGTTTTGGTATCAGGGAAATAATGGCCTCAAAGAATGAATTTGGAAGTACTCCCTCCTTCCTTATTTTTTGAAATAGATGGAGTAGGATTGGTATTAGTACTTCTTTTAGTGTTTGGTAGAATTCAGCAGTGAAGCCATTGGGTCCCATGTTTTTCTTTACTGCAAGACTTTTTAATATGGCTTTGATCTCATTACTTATTATTGGTCTGTTCAGGTTTTGGATTTCTTCTTTATTCAATCTTGATAGGTTGTATTTATCTAGAAATTTGTTCATTTCTTCTAGATTTTCTAATTTATTGGCACATAGTTGCTCATAGCAGTCACTAGTGGTCCTTCGAATTTCTGCAGTATCAGTTGTAATGTCTCCTTTTTCATTTCCAATTTTATTTCCTTGCATAGTTTCTCCTTTTTTTCATAGTTAGTTTGGCTAATAGTTTGTCAACTTTGTTTAGCTTTTCAAAACACTAAGTTTTTGTTCATTCATTTTCTGTATTTTTTTCCTTTTCATTGTATTTATTTCCCCTGTGATGTTTATTATTTCTTTTCTTCAACTAATTTTGATTTTGATTTTATCTTGCTTTTGTAGTTCCATAAGATGCATAGTTAGATTGCTTATTTGAAGCTTTTCCTCTTTTTTGATGTAGGCACTTAGAGCTATAAACTTCCCTCTTAGTACTGCTTTTGCTGTATCTCATAGGTTTTGTATATTGTGTTTCCATTATCATTTGTTTCAAGAAAATTTTTGATTTCCTTCTTAATTTCTTCATTGACCCTCTCATTCAGGAGCATATTGTTTAATTAATACATATTTGTATAGTTTCCAAAATTCCTCTTGTTATTAATTTCTAGTTTTATTCCATTGTGACCAGAGAATATGCTTGATATTATTTTAATTGGTTTGAATGTTTTCATACTAGCTTTTTTGATCTAACATATGGTCTCTTCTTGAGAAGGAGCCATTGTACTAAGGAAAAGAATGTGTATTCTGCAGCTCTTGGATAAAATTTTCTGTAAATGTATTTTAGATGCATTTGCTCTATAGTGCACATTAAGTCCAATGTTTCTTTGTTGAGTTTCTGTCTCGAAGATATATGTCCAGGGCAGAAAGAGGGCTCTTGAAGTCTCAAACTATTATTGTATTATGGCCCATATCTCCCTTTAGCTCTAATAATATTGCCTTTATATAATTGGGTGCTTCATGTTTGGGTGCATATATATTTAAAATTGTGATATCTTCTTTCTGAATTAACTCTTTATCATTATATAGTGATCTTCTTGGTCTCTCATAGTTTTTTTCTTGAAATCTATTTTGTCTGATATAAGCATAGTGACTTCTGCTATTCTTCTCTAGATTTCCAGGCAGAGACTCTTGTTCTTTTCCCTTACTTTCTCTCAAATGTACAGAATCTCTCTCTTTCTGTGTTCTGAGCCACCTAAAGCTGGGGGTGGAGTGACACAAGCACACCTGTGGACACCAACACTATAACTGCACTGGGTTAGACGTGAAGCTAGCACAGTACTGGGTCTCACCCAAGTCCTGCTGTAACCACTCCCTCACTTTGGCTTATATTACTCAAGGCCCTGGGGCTATACCATCAGCATGTGGCAATGCCAGCTGGGCCTCTGTCTTTCCCTTCAGGGAGGCAAGGTCTTTCAAGCCTCGGATGGGTCCAGAAGTGCCATCCAGGAGTCAGGGACTACAGTCAAAATCCTTAGAAATCCACCTGGTTTTCTGTTGTATTGCAGCTGAGCTTTCCACTCTTCCTTCCCCTTTCCAAAGGCAGAGAAGCCTCACTGTGTAGCCACTGCCACCACAGGCCATGAGGAGTACTGCCAGACTACCACCAACGTTCCCTTAAGGCCCAAGGTCTCTTGAGTCAGCTGGTAGTGTATGCTGACTGGCCTGTTACTCACTCTTCAGGGAATGGGCTCCCCTTTGGCCCAGGGTGGGTCCAGATATGCCATGCAAGAGTCAAGTCCTGGAATCAGGGGCCCCAAGAGCCCACTTGGTGCTCTGTCCCCTTGTGGCCTTGCTGATAACTAAGTTGCAAGACAAAGTCTCCTTTACTTTTCCCTCTGCTTTTCTCAAGCAGGGGTTCTGTCCCATAGCCAGCACAGCTGGGTACATGCTGAGTCTCATCTGGAGCTAGCAAGTCTCAGAGGTTCACCCAATGCTCAGGATGTAGTATCTGGGTATCGCTGCTGGTTCAGATCCCAAGGAATCTTCAGTTAGCAGGTGATGAATGATTCCAGGACTGGCTCCTTTATTCCAAGGCAGAGGGTTCCCTTCTGGTCTAGGGTACACCTAGAACTGTTGTCTGGGACCTAGAGCCTGGAATGGGGGCCCGAGGACTCTGAGTGGTGCCCTATCCTGCTGTGGCTGAGCTGGTATCCTAGATGCAAGGCACAGTCCTCCCCACTCTTCCTTTTTATCTCCTCAAGCAGAAGGAAGGGGTCTCTTTTGGAGCCGTGAGCTGTGGAGCCTGGCATTAGAGGAAGGGTGATGCCAGAACTCCCTTGGCTGCCCCAGCTGGTATCTCAGTATATCGCATGCCCCCACAGTTCACTGTCTCTGGGCCAAATTCAGCTCTAGGTCTCACCTAAGAGTTGCAGTCCTTATGGCCTAGATTGCCTTTCAAGTTTACTTGGAGACACAGAGTGCTGTAGCCCTTAATGGCGAGGTTTGTGAGAAGTTGGACCACTGGGATCAGCAATTCCCTTCTGTCTAGGGCTGGTCTAAATGCTCCCTACATGGGCAGGTGTCTGCTGAATTTGGTCTGGTTTTCCTTTTTACTCTAACAGGACATCACTAAGTTCACTGCCTCATAATTGCTGTGTTCTCCCTCCCCCAGTGCCCAGAAAATCTCTCTGCACCATGCTACTGTTGCTGCAAGGGGTGGCATCGGCAAATAGGATGGTTTTTTATTTCTTCTGTGCCTCTTTCAGTGATACAAAGTTAAAACCAGGTACTAGAAGTGCTCGCCTGATTTTTGGTTCTTACGAACATGTTTTCTTCTGTGTAGATAGTTGTTAACTTGGCATCCTTGCTGGGGGACAATCAGTGGAGCTTTCTACTCTGCCATCTTTCTCCATCTTCTCCCCCAAATTTTTATTTCTGTAAGCAATTTTGTAGTGGGCATCCTTCTATAAAGTTTGCTACACATCCATGATCATTTCCTAAGTATAAATTCTTAGACGAATTGTGTAGTTGCTCATTGAAGCAAACACATCCATGATTTGTGAGGAGTCCTGATACATATGACTAAGTTGTCCTTACAAATGCCTCAATTTACATACTTACCCCAACTGTTAAATGATTCTACTTCTCCATGATATTATATGAAACATTTTACAGCAGAAGATATGTCTGGTCCTTTAGAAATATGACCATACGAGATGGAAATAAACATTCCAGAAAACCATATAGTACATATTATTCAAATACTCTATACCAAGAAGCTCTTTGGAATCACTTTCTTGTTGTGCTTAAACTTACATATCAAATTATTAAATTGAAATGCATGGAAAAAGCACACATAAATGATAGTAGAGGTCTAGAAGGTATTAGAAAACTGTTGCAGAGATAATTATTTAAGATAACATATCAGGTAATATTATTGTATATTTATACTGTTTAAATGACAGATGGTTGAAAAAAATATAACCCTGAACATCTGGAAATAATAGGTAAGTACAATTCTGGGTGAATAGCTTGGACTCAAACTAAACACTAATTAAGGTTATTGCCTGTGCATGTCATGTAAAAATCATTACTTTAAAATTATCAAAAATTCTGGTGAGGTGTATAATGATTAAGAGACAAAGAATAGCATGTAGTAATGTAAATTATTACACCTAAGATAATGGAAAAACCAACTTCAAATTGAATGAATTTATATGTAAATCCACAATTTTGGAACTAATACATGAGAAGGATAATTTTGTTTACATTAGTTAGCATATGGAGAAATCCCTTGAAACAACGTTATGATTTCAGCAGGAGAGCAGACATAGAAAGAGAAGGCATTTTCTGTTGCTTAAAGAATTTACCAAACAGCTCAACAGAGCAAATAGTCTTTAAAGTACGAACCACTTTTATGCAAGCAGAAGCACTTAATCAACACATTATTAGGCCACATCTGTAGGGATCTGATAACTAAATTCACTATAAATCACTTTAGAACAAAAAGCTATAAATTATCATGAGGACTGAGAGTGGCAAACAGATTTTAGCTTAAAAAAATTTGTGTTTCTCAAAGAAAATATTTAGTTGGTATAGTTTTATTATATTTTCTAGAAAAATCTGTGTTTAAAGAAATGGGAACCCTATGGGGTACATTTCCTTGTCACTCTGATCTAACCTCTAGGGGATTTTGTCTCTAGCACTACAGTTTTAACTACGTACAATAAAATCATTTCCAGTTAAAAGAATATCACAATGAAGATAAAAAGCTGGGGAAAATCTCTGAGGTAGTATTTGCAAAATATAAGCACACCTAAAAAAAACTAAATAAATAAATATATTACAAGCTTGATTCTTCCATTTGTGATACAGATTCAAGACATCACAGTGACGTAAATCTAAATTATATCATATTCTTAAATATTAACTCTTTAAATTAAAATAAGTGAAAAACGAGAAAACATTTGTGAATCAAGTATAGAGCATAGCTAACAACTGCTGTGAGAGGAAGCAAATAACTCTGATATAGCTCTTGTCCTTAAGGAATTTGCACTATAGTTAAGGGGGAAAAAAGAATGAAATTCTATCATTTGCAATAACTTGGATGGAACTGGAGAACATTATGTTAAGTGAAATAAGCCATACACAGAAAGACAAATATTTCATGTTCTCACTTATATGTGGGATCTAAAATAATTGAACTCACAGAGACGTAGAGTACAATGATGGTTACCAGAGGCTAAGAGGGGTAATGAGCAGCAAGGGATATAGAGGGAATGGTTAATGGGTATAAAAATACAGTTAAATAGAAGGAATGAGAACTAGTGTTCAGTAGCACAATAGGGCAACTATACTGAAAAATAATTTTTTGTATATTTCAAAATAACTAAAAGAATGGGATTGGAATGTTCCCAACTCAAAGAAATGATAAATTCTTAAGGAGATAGATACCCCAATTACCCTGATTTGATCATTACACATTGTATGCTTGCATCAAAATATTACATGCACTCCATAAATATGTACAACTCTTATGTGCCTATAATAATTAAAAATTAAAAAATTAAAAAATATTCTAAATGTAAATTGAATTTACCGGGAAGTACAAAATAATCGAATACATCTGTAAGTATTAACGAAATATAAATAATAGGAAAAATCAGAATTAGTGTGTTAGTATCTGTTAATTTCAGTTAATACTATCAGCAAATGATAATATGTATTTGAAAGGGGGTGTGTTAAGATGATTAATAGGTATATATTGACTGAAATGGGCTCCAGGTATTCTAGGAGTAAACTAGTTCAATTTCAAGGAGCTGCAGTAAAATGCTTTTTGCATGGTAAGTAATTGGAGCTTCACAACAATTTATTTAGTGGGTACTATTGTGAAAACCATTTTTCAGAAGAAACAGAAACAAGATGGGTTAAGTATTTTACCCATGTCTACACTGCTAGCAAATGTCAGACCTAGCATTCCAGCCAGTTTGGCTACTGTGAAGGTAGGAACAAAGTCTCTAGGGAGGTGAGAGCAGATGTGATCTATCTCTGTGCTACCTCTGCTTGATAAAAAAAGTAAGCACATCTTTAAAAGTGCATGGGTCAGTAGAAAAGGAACAAGATGTATTGAATAGATTTGGATAGAGTTTAGTATAAGAACCTTCTCAGGTTGCACCAAGTCAGCAGAGAGCAGGGTCATTGAGGACACAAACAGAAATAATGCACAGATTAGGGTTAGGGTCAAGCATGGTTCCAATAGAGTTAAATCATAATTAATGTACAGCTTGCTGGGCATTTTTGAGGCCTTATTGTCTAATCTTTGCAACAACAGCAAGAGTAGGTAGATTGATTTAGATATTTTGGTTGCAAATAACTAAAAGAAGCATGAAATAGATCAACAAAGAAAAAGGACATTCTTTGTTAGGACACAAGAGTGTTTTATGACATCCAAACGTGTGATTGAAAAATCCTCAGAAAAGAATTGGATTGAGAAAATTAAAATTTGTCAGGAAGTGAGGAAGCACTTTCCCCTCATTTCTTGACTCTCATTTTTTTCTGAAGGTCTGCTTTATCTCTGTCATTCTTCAGAATAATTATTTGTTGCTTATTCTCCATGGCAGAAGATGGCAGTCCATAGTCCCCAAGTTCATTTCCAATTTCAAGGGTAAGTGGAATGGGGAGATGGATTTAACCTGGGTTAGATTCAGGCCACTCAAATATGACTGGGGATGGGTCATCTAGTACAAGCTTGGCTATTGGTGGTCCATTTCCTTGGACCAGGTTTTCTGTTAGGAAGAGTGACAGCTATGAGCTTAGGTACAATAGATACTGTCATTTATCTTACAGGTGTGAGAAAAATGAATCTCAATAGGAGAATTAGATTCTCCAAAGTCAACCAAAGCAGAAATGAGCTTTGTACCTAGGTCCTGTGCTCACAACGCAGTCAGACTTTTCATCATTTTATAACTTCTTCCTAAAGCAAGAAGCATTCTTACACAGATTGAGAATCAAATAGATTTGAAGTGGCTTATGGCAGTGTTTTCACTGTGAATGGGGGTCTAAATAGAATTTATGAGCATGACATATGAGGCTTCTGCCTCAAAAATGATCACAGCAAGATGAAGACTTGTTGATCGTTGAACACATGCAAGGAAGTCAGAAACAAAGATGTGGCTTGATCTATTCCAGTGCATAAGTCAGACCTACATATAACTACCAATAGTCATTGATATTGGTGCCTTTTTATGCCTAGCTCTTGAAGCAGGGCCTAGGGGTCTCAATAGTCTTGTTCTGTGAAGACACTCATTCAACAAACACTTATTGAGCATCTATTCTGTCATTTTTCTAAATGCCAGGGATACAGCAGTGAACAAGATGGACAAAATTCCTGGGCCCAAGGAACTCACATTGCAGCTGGGGCAGACAGGATAAGTGACAAATAGTATATCATGTGGTGATAAGTGCTAGAAAGGAAAATTAGGCAGAGTAAAGGGATAGAGAATGAAGTGGGTCTACAATTTTAATTAGAATGGAGGGTGGTTAGTAAAGGTCTCTCTGAAGAGGTGAAGTTTGCGCAGAAAGAAAATAATGTGAGAGAGAAAATCAGCAGATATCTGGGAGCAGATATGTCCTGGTCCTCCATTTGAAAGCCTGTTTCATAAGTGCTCGCATATTGTGCAAATCGGGGGATTCTAATTTTGGGTGACACTTGAATCTTTGGAATCCTCTTTTATTAGACTATTTTTGTGGTGGATTCATTGTAAAAATGGCATAAATCTCTACTACTGTTAGGATCTATGCCCTTAGCAATGTGACTTTACAGCTCCTCCCATTAATAGCTAAAAGCTGCTGATTTCCCACTTCTTAAATCTGTTCTAGCTGTGTGACTTCATTTGGCCAAAAGAATGTAGCAGATGATGGTCCTGTTCTGAGTCTAGACCCCAAGAGACCCAACACGTCTGTACTTTTTTGGGGAACCCCTACCTCTCTCCTAAGAGCAGAACTAGTCTGTTCTGCTGGAAGTCATGAGACCATGTGGAACAGAGCTTATTCAGCCCAGTGGCACCAGATGAAGTCTCTGTTATGTGAGACAACCAATATCAGGCATATTATCCACTGATCTGCAGATCTATGAGTGAGCCCTGTCAAGCTCAACTAATATGAGAACTTCCCAGCCAACACAATTGACCTCTGAGCAATAGTACATGGCTATTAATTTAGGATATTGAGTTTCATAATGGTTTGTTATGTAGCATTATCATGGCAGCAGATAGCTGATGCTCTTTTTGAGTAATAACTAATTAACAATAGCTCTCAGGAGTTAAGGGATCATGATTGTTTAAATTTAAAATGTATATTTACAACTCAGCCTGGGATACTATCCCCCATTTTGATGTGTGTGTGTGTGTGTGTGTGTATGTGTTCAAAGTGTGTGCATCATGGGATGATGGGATGACAGGTCAGAAAGGGGGAGTGAAAAGGGAATGTATGCTGAGAGAGAGGGTCAGAGTAAGTTTACTGTTTACCAGATATGGAAACTTGAAAGACTTCTTTTCATTTTATATGAACATATGATAATGTGGTAAAACCAACACACATAATTTCATAACCATGAGTTGGTGGAATGTGACAACAGGGGCCTCAGAGGCTCTCTTGTGTTCCTTTGTTTAGGCTGCATCATTGTTAATAATAGTGCCCCTGTCCCCACCCAATCTGGATAAAACTCTAAATGTTGTCATTGTAAACAACATTGCCAGAAACCAAATCTCTCACACTCACTATGCAAAACACATATGAAAGATGACAAGAGCTAAATTACAGCCTTTACTTTCACCCTATCAATCTTCTCTCTGCCTTTTGTAGTCTCACTTTTACAAAACAATTCCAATTGTATTTCATAAAACACCAACAATTTTTTAAGCTCACAAAATCTGTTTTTCATTTTGTAATGTGTTTTTCTGTAGGACTTCCTCTCTTTCTGTTTATTCAAGCAATAGAAAGAAGCTTTATGTATAAAGAAATGTTTGTGAAGCATAGATAATATACTTGCTTTGAGCTGGGTTTTTCAGGTGGAGGAATGGATTTATACTAATCATGCTCCCTTCCCTCCTTTCAGTCAGCATTCAAGTTTGCTGGTGTGAGGACTGCTTTGCAATGTCATGGAAATGAAACAGAAGTGACTCGTCGCCATATAAGTATTGTGTCCTCAGCAATTAAGTTAAGCAGGTTCTAGTTTTAATTACAATAGAACCACTTGATATGACTTCAAACTTTTTTCAACTGTTATTATATTCTGACTTATTTTTGATATACTTGGCTTCTTATTTATTATCTTCTCCTTAAGTAGAAGTTACTGAAAGGATGTTTCAGCAAGCTCACATAAATTACTTTCTTCAGCCTTTTTTGGTATTATTTTCAACTACTTTTCTCTTGCTTAATGGGTAAACTTGTATAAACTAGATAAACTTAGCCTGTAATTATTTCAAAGATAATATTTTACAAACTGGCACAGTTACACTATATGTAATTAATATTTCTTATATTTACAAATTTGCCTTTAGCATTGGTCTTACATAGTTTTTCACCAAATCAAAGATTAACACAACAATTTTCATATTTATTTTTTACTCCCTGTTTAAATGTATTTATTTGTACCTCATTCCATAAACAGAATTTGAAGTCAGATAATTCAAAGATGAATATGACAATATTTGAAAAATAATTTTTTCATGAATGTTCCTTTTAAAACGTATTCTCTTGATAACTGAGAATTTTCAAAAGTGACAGTAAGAAAATATTACGCATTGTCACAAATTATCCTAATACCCATTGGGAAATGTACAAATGTTGATATAAAGAATCTATAAAAAATTCTATGCAAAATTGTAAAAGTATTTCTGTTGGCAATTTATTTATTTATTTATTTATTTATTTATTTTTGAGACGGAGTCTGGCTCTGTCGCCCAAGCTGGAGTGCAGTGGCGCAATCTCGTCTCACTGCAAGCTCCGCCTCCCGGGTTCACGCCATTCTCCTGCCTCAGCCTCCCGAGTAGCTGGGACTACAGGCGCCTGCCACTAAGCCCGGCTAATTTTTTTGTATTTTTAGTAGAGATGGGGTTTCACCGGGTTAGCCAGGATGGTCTCGATCTCCTGACCTTGTGATCTGCCCGCCTCGGCCTCCCAAAGTGCTGGGATTACAGGCTTGAGCCACCGCGCCCGGCCTCTGTTGGCAATTAAAATCATAAATAGAAATAGTCAATTTACTCTTCTTAATTGTAACTGGCATGCTAAAAACTGTTAGTTTTCTATCAAAATATTTATTTCCTATAAATGTATTTATTTACCAGATATAAATGATTCAGCTCTATAATAAACATTACATTTTTTAATCAGGAAACTATCATTTATGTGCTATGATTGTTAAAACTTTTTGGTTTAAACACAACTGGAAGATACTCTGAAGCTCTTAAGTGCTCTATTTTGCAAACACTTGTTTTGTCTATGCTCCAAGTTGTGTCTTGAACTTGAAAATGGCTCCTAAATCATGGTGCATATATCTAATGATGATTTCTACTACAGGGGTGGGGTATTAGATTATCTATTTACTCAATAACAATTTTTAAATCATATATTTAGAAACCATTACAACTATAGTTGAAATATAGTTGACAAAAAGCTTGCACTGTTCCCTTCTTCAAGCATACATCTGGTAAGACAGCAAGTTTTCAACTATAGTTGAAATTACCAGGAGAGAAGCACACTTTCTCCCTCTCCACAAGTACTAAAGCATTTGCTGAACATATGTTGTCTTGCTTCATACAATTTTGCTTATAAAGTAGTTGGAGATCTGCTCTCTGACTTTGGGAAAAATATATACCTGAGAGTAAGAGAACCTATAGAAATTAGGTCCAGATCTATACTTGTAAGAATGTCTTTAGCAAGTAAAAACAAGTTGTATTTTTTAAATGTTTTTTTTCTTTTAAAGGCTAAATCAATCTTTCTTTCTCTCTCTTTCTTTCTCTTTCTTTCTTTTCTTTCTTTGTTTCTTTCTTTCTCCTTCCTTCTTTCCTTTCTTTCTTTCTTTCTTTCTTTCTTTCTTTCTTTCTTTCTTTCTTTCTTTCTTTCTTTCTTTCTTTCTTTCTTTCTTTCCGTCTGTCTGTCTCTCTCTCTCTCTCTCTCTCTCTTTCCTTCCTTCCTTCCTTCCTTCCTTCTCTTTTTTTGTGACAGGGTCTCACTTTGTTACCCAGACTGGAGTGCATTGGCACAATCATGGCTCACTGCAGCTCAAACTCCTGGGCTCAAGAGATCCTCCTGCCTCAGCTTCCCTAGTAGCTGGGACTACAGGAGTGTGCCACCACGCCCAGCTAATTTTTTAAATTTTCTTTTCGTTTAATTTTTCTCTTTTACAAGTATTTGTAATTTAAAAATTTTGTCTTTTATTTTTAATTGTTCAACTTTTATTTTGGAGTCTCGCTATGTTGACGAGGCTGATTTTGAACTCCTGGCCTCAAGCAGTTTTCCCATCTTGGCTTACCAAAGTGCTGGTAAGATTACAGGCAAGAGCCACTGTGCCTGAACTGAATTTATTTCAAGATGTTAATACGGATTGAATAATTGTATTTGTAGGGATTTGTGGTGATTCTGATAGAGGGTAAGGATATGCCAGTGTCCATTATTCATTCTGTGTGCACTCAATTATCTAATTGTTGGCATCATTATGGAGGAGAAATAATTTGATTCTGCAGTTATAAAATCTGCAAAAATCATAACTCCACCACTAACAAGCCATATCTTCTTGGTCAAGTAAGAATTTTGCTGAGGTTCAGTTTACCAACTCTAAAAATATGCTATTATGACATCATCTACCTTCTGCTAGAATTCTTAAGAGGATTGAATGGAATAATATGTTTAGAAGTTAATTGTAAATGGTAAAGGGATTTTGAAGTAAAATCTAGAATTTTCCTGAGACAGGTAATATACCCTCTATAATATATGATACTAAGTCAACCTATCTTCTCACCTCATTTCCTCCACATGACTTTACATTAATACAATACAAACTGAACCCATTTATACATGCAACTTACAATGGGATAAATAATTTAGTGGCAAGAATCTGCAGTGATACAGGCTACACTATTTTGGATGTTTGCAATTTTTGTAAGATGAAGTTTGTCCCCACAATATTAAACAGACAAGTTGGGTTGGGTAATTGTCACTTCACTTCTTTTCAGTCTGAAGAAGTTTAGTCACATAGTATTAATTTTTAAAAAGGAGGAAGAAGACTATTTGCCAGGCTTGGGATGACAGAGATTTTCTGGTAAAACATGTCAAGTAAGAAGTGAGAAAACGATGAAAGCAGCAGCGAGGTTGACACGGACTGAACTCAGATAGCAGGCAAAAGAAACCATGAAAGGAAACACTTTGGGAAGTTTTGCATATCCTAATGAAAGACATTTTAGTAGAGAGAAAGTGTGGTCTCAGTGGAGAAAACAAGATGTCACTATAGAGTGGAGGAGAAGGTAAATTAGCCATTAGGAAGACAGCACTATATCAGAGGCTCTGGACAAGAAATAACCAAGCCTGGGATAGCAATTTTGGATATTCACTTCTGTAACAATGGATTATTCTGTTGAAAGAAACAGCTAGACTAAATAATGGGCTAAATCCACATTCTAAGCTGACAAGCTAATTTTGTAAGGCACTCTGATTTTCTTCTTAGGCCCTTATATACTCCAAAAGCTACTGAGATCATAGATGGGTTTTTGCTAATGAAGAAACCTCAAGTTATACAAAGGCCAGGTCTTAGTAATAATTACAGAACAAGCAGTCTACCTTTAACTAAGCCAATATTTAATTGGCTCTTTTCAGTCATCCTATACTATGGAAAAGTGGAGAGCTTTAAAATGTAATGCTTCACAGTTTTGATCAAACATGATTCCCTTTTCCTCTACATACAATAACCTCTTATACCCAGCAGTGATTACACAGCCCTCATCACTGGCTGCTAGTGTTAGAAGCTATATCAGCATCTTCTGAGGCAGCTGGATAAAAAGTTTCTATGTTTATCTTTTAAAAAATCTTTCATTCTCCTGCCTTCTAATACAGTCTGGAAATACATTTTGAATCAACTCTGAAAAGAAGACAGCTTAAATACTTGACAGCAGTTATACAGTAAAGGCAGGACATAATTTCTGTTTCAGAAACCATGTGTGCAAGCTGATTTTTCTCTATAGCTAGAGTTTTAGGGCAAGATTTCCAAACAAGCATTTGTGTGCATAAAATGGGTAATTGCACACACAAATGGGCAATTTTGTATGCAATTATCCATTTTGCATACGCAATTATATGCTTCTGAGGGTATTACGCATGTACATGAAATTTGGTAAGCATACCCATTACACCTTCCTTTGAAAATCTGGTCCACATTGTAGGTTTATTGCACGGAAGAAAACTGGGATTCTTCCTGTGTGATAATGTAATTGCAATCATTACTTTTCCTTAACTTTTAATCAAGGATCTCAAAGCCCATTAAATTACTAACCTAATCATCCCAACAGCCTTATTATCGATGGATACTAAATGTTATGAGAATCTCATTTTAGAAATTAAGAAATCAAGACACAGAAGTTGGACTTCTCTAAATATTAACTACTATGCATTTAGGATTCCTTACAAACGGTTCCCTAGAATCCACTCTCCATCTGCCTGCTCATATGCAAATCTAAAGGAACAATTAATGCAAATGGCAAAGGAATTGAGCATAAACACAATGTTTCTTTCCTTCTGGTCTAACCAAGCCAAAGTTTATTCACATTTCTTCCCCGACAAAAAGCTTGCACTGTTCCCTTCTTCAAGCATACATCTGGTAAGACAGCAAGTTTTAATAGGAGAGCTTGTTCACCTGGAAAATTCCTATGTCATTGTCAAAATGAGAGAATAAAACATTCATTCACTTCACGGAAGTAAATTGTGTCTTCAGGTTTGCAACATGTTTCGCAGAAGGCTGATGAAAGAGGTTTATTTGACTGATAACAGCTTGAATTTTATGGTTACACATGTGGCTTTCTCACAAAGCTGAACACAATGTTCGTTGTGGCTTTGATATCATGGAAAGAAGACAGACATTTTTGAATATTTGTGGTGGTGGTGGTTGTTGTAGTTAACTTATGTGCCCTTTCGTATTCCTGCTTGACTTGCTACCTGTCTACCATGTCATTATACAGTCTGTGCTGACAGTATTGCAGAGGCAGAAAGCCCAAGTTTTTCCAGAGAAGGAAAGAGCACAGTCATTCCCCTGCAAAGAAAACAAAAAGTCAGATTGGCATCTACTACAGAGAGATTACAATTTGAAAGCAACTGTGCCTGAAACCTATGAATTGCTTATGTTAAGACAAATTATAATATTTGTAACTGACCTTTTATTGCGATATTATCTTGTAGTAGTAGTAGTAGTAGTAGTAGTGGAGTATTAGAAGCAGCAGCAGCAACAGTAATAGTAATGTAATAGTAATAGTAGTAGCTCCAGCAGGAGTAGTAGTAACAGTAGCAGCAGAAGTAGGAGTGATACAGCTAATAACAAACAGAAACACCTAACATTTTGCTACTTACTGTGTGCCAAGAACTATGGTAGGTTTTTTTTTTCTTTTTTTTATTATACTTTAAGTTTTAGGGTACATGTGCACATTGTGCAGGTTAGTTACATATGTATACATGTGCCATGCTGGTGCACTGCACCCACTAACTCGTCATCTAGCATTAGGTATATCTCCCAATGCTATCCCTCCCCCCTCCCCCCACTGGTAGGTTTTTAAAACAAATTGTCTCTTTTCATCATCACAATAACTCTGAGAGGTACTTATTTTTAATCCCCTTTTACAGATGAGAAAATGAGTTAAAAAAAAACAAAACAAAACTTGTCTGTGGTCACACAGCTACAAAACAGCAGGCCTAGGATTTGCCCCAGTGAATTCAGAATTTAAAAGCTATGGCTATGAAAATGAGTACAAATTCCGTTTTAGCCATTTTGTTTCTATTCCTAGGTAGTCATAGAAGATACAAGGGAAATTTTGCCAGTTACCTATTCGTCAAAATGCCACTCACAGTGTGCCGTTTTCATAACTCATGAATTTTAAATTAAATCTTGCTAAGTAGTATTAAATCAAAACAACACGTGTAACAAGTCATGAGTTAGACATAGTATTAGACAGAATGAGGGGCCTGACTTGGAGGCATACTGTTATTTCTTGATGAAAATAAGTGAATTATCTGCCTTAAGATATGTGTGTATGTATGTAAATACAATTTCACCTGGGTGAGTTGGCCTTCTGAAGTACCTGTCTCTGTCAATAATATTTGTTTCTTCTTATAATAATAACTAAAGCTAAGAAAGACCTCAAGAAATAAAATGCATGCTGTTCATTAGTCTTAAACCTTTCATGATTAGCATGTTTATTGGGATGTTTAATAATTTGCTTTCTTTAGAACCTTTCATCTTAGAGTTCCGGTGTGCTTTATAAACATTCTCTTAGCACTGCAACCAGGAAGATGTATATGCATATATATGGCTTAAATATGCCCCAAATGATTAAATGGTCTACTTTAGGTCACAAAGTGTAGAAAAGTCAGTTATGAAAGCCATTCTTTTGTTGAATGATTTATTCTAAACATGCATATAGAGCCATCATTTTAGAAGTATATGTTCCTCGAAATGTATTTCTGTATGGGATTGACAATCATGCCCAAAACACTCTAGTTATGAATCAATTTGTAAAACCCAAATCAGGTACTTAGCACCTAAAAAGGGCTTTCTTGAGTCAGTCACATAACTACAGTGATCTAGAAAAGCTCTGTAAATAAGTCTGACGCATTACAGTTATATAAATGAATGTACTTGCAAATGCACATACATAAGGATATCAGGATTTTTGACCCGATTATTTGGCCAAAGATTTCTCCATTGACCCATATTTACCCAGAAGTTGTATGTCATAGCTCATTTTTCACAATCTCTCTATCTTCCTCATGTGCATACCATAGAAGCCTTATTTTTCTAAAATTTTACTTGGGATGCCTAATCAACCAGAAGAAGACTGCAACTAGGATGCCTCTGTGTCATTTACCCAAATGCAATGTGCCTACTCTATCTACAGAGTTAAAAGTTAAAATACTTTGTGTGAATATAAGTAGTGGGGACTGGGGAATGTAACCTTGGCTGATAGGTTAGAAAAACGCATTTTCTTAAAATCCCATACTGTGAAGTCAAGAGTTAAAGGGTTTGCACACAGATGTTATGTTCTATACCCAAATTGTACTTTTGCATGCCAACAGGCATACAGTTATCCTCCTAGCACACAAATTTATAATTTTAAGCACATACTACATGCTGAAATATTTACATAAAAGTAGGCCCTGGAAACACATTACTTTTACCCTTGGTGAGCTATTATAAAAAAATATGCGAGATCACATACATATATGCAAATACAGTCTGGTGTCTCTGAGTTTTTTCTTACCTTCATCAACCTTCTTTTATTAGAGACACTATTCAATTTAAAAGTGGATGAGGAGCTAGTTCCTTCAGTTTTTTTCTTCTGCCCCATGCTTCTGCAAACCATTCACTCCCCAAGTAACCGTCTCCACTTGTGCAGGTTTCTCATCCTTATAATGCCTTCTACATTTCATTTTCCAGGCAGTTTGTCTAGCAGGCAGTTTTTTCCTTAAAGCAGATTCTTTAAGCTTAAAAAAGTTTTAGGTGCTCACACAAAGTACTTTCTTTCACCCAAGAAAGTATAAAGGAAAGATAGCATTCTAAGAGAAGCACAAGTATCAGGCAAGCTTAGAAAAACTGTTAATTTATTTTACTCTAGAGAAGGCAACATACAATCATTTCTGGGGTTTGCTGACATTGAAAGTTGCACATGCTCGTATGATATAATTCATTTCAGAAATGAAGTGAACACTGTTTTTTAGGTTCTGCAGCGTTTACATTTATCATGGCTACCACAGATAGTTTTAAGATAATATTATTTTGTTTATGCCAAAATGGTACAATTAAAAATTGACTATAATCTTGGTTGGAAAACTTTAAGGGAATTTAATGCATAATCAGAGTTCAACAGATAATATTCTCATCAGCAAAAGAGTGTAAGACCTTAACCCAAGGCCAAAAACAAATTACCCAATCACCCATCAGACATCAGAATGAGAAGATTTAGTGTGTATTTAACTGGAACGCATGTATTTTGCAGGCTCACTAGATGCAAAATCATGTAGAACAAGACATCACCAAGCTATTTGAAAATGAAATTGTAGTTTACTCATCACTGGGGATTTAGCAGTGTTTCTGAACTGGGTGAAATAACTCAGGATGATTCCTCTTTTTTGGACTCTCATATTGTGAACAGATTTGGGGATTATTGAAAATGGAGAACACAAGTGACTTTTCACTGAAGAATGTATATTTCAAGGTAATAATTGCATTATGGACATTTGTTGTAATGGTGGTCTGTTTATGAGGCGAGACCAAGGTCAGGTGTTGCGCATCATTAAGACACAGATGATGAAAGAAGGAATGAAATACATTCATCGGCAAACAAATATAAAAATGAAAGAAAGTTAACAGGGAAGAACATGGAGCAATGGGTGAAAAAATGTCTTTTTGGCCTCTCAATCAAAGCCTGATAATATGCCCCATGATTCTTTCAATTAGTTCCCCCTGCCCCCCGCCAACCCGACATTCATTTCTCCCCCAACATTTATTTTAATTAAACTAAAGTAAAACTCATGTCTGTTAATTGCCACTCACATTTTCTTGGCTTTTCTGACCCTAAGAAAAACCTCATTAATGTTAGCAGTAATCTTCTTTGTTACCTAGCTCTAATATGCTCATTTTCAACATGATTTGTAGCATTAGGTAGAGCAACGACTTCTGTTTCCCTTCATTGAAACTAGGTATCTGTGTTTTCTGTACATTGCACTCAACATTTGCCCTTAACCGTCTATAAAGTCAAATATTATTCACTGTGTCTATAGACTTTGCTCTCACTGACGGTCCTGTAAACACTCTGAAATTGCTTTATCCTGATGTCTTACACATGCCCCTTGGCATCTTCTGTACCATTTGCTTTCATTTAAGATGCTTTTTCATATGGCATTGTGAAATAACCATTCTATATAAGCAAGCTTGTAGAAAAGTGATTAAGATGTATCAAAATTTTAACCTCTTTTTCCACTATCACGTTTATATCCAACGTCTCTTTATCTTTTAAGAGACAGTTTCTCTTAGGACACCTTTTGCTAATAAATTATTTCAAGTTTTTTTTTTTCTTAACATTTATAGAATCATGTGTACCACTATAAAGTACCAACTTCAATTCCAAGTGGAGCATTTCACATTGAGAAAGACCCCAACAGAAGTTAGAGTCTCAGCATCAAGGATTTTCCCATGGTGATTGGAATATACATGGAAGTGATATTCAGTAATTTAATGACAGCAGATCCAAACATATAAGGTAAAACCTCCCCATCTGTGCCTAATTCTTTAGCAAGTGTTCACAATGCAAATGCTACGGGCTTTTCTAGGTCATTTGGCATTATGTGAGAAATCACTGCTCTGATCCCATATGGTGAAGCGTCAGTAGCTAAACAGATTGGCAGGGCAGGGTCATAATACACTAGAATCCTTGAGGACATCAGTTGCTATTTAGTCAGTTCAAAAGCAGCTTGACATTCCTTTCACCAATGACATTGTTTATTTTGCTTTAATACTTCTTTCATAAAACGTAACTACTATAGGACAATTTGGTTTAAATTTTCTGAAGTAGTTTTAACAGAAATAGGATATGTCATTCTATGTATAGAAAAATGACATATATTTATATGGTAACTGTAATAGATATTTTGCATATAAAACATGAATGACATATACTCATACACATGAATGACAGAATTAATCAATTAAGCTTTTAATAATATGATCAGAATTTCTTGCTGAAAACATACAATTTTAGACTTCTATTAGGAAAAGATAAATGTAGGAGATAAAATGTAAATGAAAGCATTTACATTATTTTCAGGATGATTATCCCATAGCTTTAACCCATCTACTTCTCTGTAATTGAGGTAGAATGGCATACTAAACTAAAAGGTCATATATTATACTTAATTGACAAACACTTAAGAAGGTTAAATCTCTAAAAAAGAACAAATATGGTAAATATGCTAAAGTTAGAGAATGAGTGTTTGTTACCTGATTTCTATAGCTTGGTCACTCACTCATTCATTCATTCACTCATTTTTACCAGCATTTTTACTTAATTTGAAGTCATCTTAAAACTGTTTGCCTTTTGGCTATTCACTAAGATGCTCCTCAAATGCAAAATATTTCATGTTAACCTTCCCACTTTCTAATTTTGTATCATAATTAAAGGTAATGGGGGGTGGTAGGGAAGATTAACAGGCGCCACCAGAATCTCTTCTTATTGAACAACTTCATTTCAGAATACTCGCCAAACATAAATATATGATATGTGAGGTTCTATAAAATCTACATCACTTTATAATTCTGCAGTTAGATTAATTATTGCAGTGTATGGCTAATCTTCCGTATGTAAGCAGAGCTTGAGTTATAACTAGTCATCATATATTACACTTGATATACATATATAGCTCATAAAAACAAATGGAGAAAGTTGTCAACTTCCGTTCTAAAGGCTATACTTGGAAAATTTTCTTTTGATATGCATAAAGCAGTTAGAAGTTTAAAAAACTAGCAAAGTATAAAATTCTTGTTCTTACAAAATACTTGACATACATGGTTAATACATGTTATTGTCATATATGCATAAAAATGTTTGATTGCTGTGAAAATTTGTTACAAAGAGTGAGGTACCATTTCAGGAAAGGACAATCACAGAGGACCTCTTTAAAACTATATAAAAATTAAGCAAGTTATGAGCTTGAGGTAGACCAGTCCTGCCACTCATAACAACGAGAAAAACTGGATAAAATTTTAAAAAGTATATGTGAAAGTATCAAACACCTGCTCAGCAAAATTACTTGAGGGATAATATAAAAAAGGGAGCCACAGAGCAATGAGTAAGAATTCTACAGCATTTGCTTACTTTTAGTCTGCCACTTTGGCAGTAATCTCTAGGCTGCTGCCCAGAGAGAGAAATAAGTAGAACTTTTGGCAAACTTATGGGTCAAGACAGACCAAAATAGGAGTTCAAGACTGCTTTGAAGAGCCAGTATGAACCCAGTGAGAAGGGAGGTTCTCTGAACTGAGCTTGACACATTGCCAGCTTTTCTTTTAAGTATTTACAAATTTCTTGAACTGGGCAAAGCAGGAGACTAAGAAACAAGAAGAAAGGGTCTGAAGGGCTAAAAGAATCTATCCATCAAAAGATGGAGTGATTCTAAACATTAAGGCACAAGACAACACAACTTCAAAATACATGAAGCAAAATTGTGAGATCTGAAAGAAGAAATAAGAAAATTCACAATTATGGTTCGTGACTTCAAAATTACACTTGCAGCATTTGATAGAACAACTAGACAAAATATTCAGGAAAGACAGAGAAGAACTGAATAAGACCATCAATCAAGATGATCTTATTGATATTTATGGAATACTCCACCCAATAATAGCAAGATACATATTCTTTTCAAGTGTCCAGGGAGTTTTCACCAAGATATACCATATCCTGAGTCATAAACAAGCCTCAACACATTTAAAATAATTAAAATTACACAGAGTATGTTCTCTGATCATAATGCAATCAAACTAGAAATCAATAACAGAAAGACAACAGGGAAATCTTGAAACAAGTGAAAATTAACACATTTCTTAACAATTCATGGGTCAAAAATAAGTTGGAATTTTTTAAAAAATATTTTGAACTAAAAAAGTTAAAATAGAGCATATCGAAATGTTTGGAACACAGCTGAAGCAGTGCTGAGTGGTATATTTATAGCACTTAATTCTTACATTAGAAAAAAAAAGTGCCTAGCACAGTGGCTCACACCTGTCATCTCAGCACTTTGGGAGGCCAAGACCGATGGATCAATTGTGCTCAGGAGTTCAAGACCAGCCTGGGCAACATGGCAAAACCCTGTCTCTACAAAAAATATTTTTAAAATTAGCTGGGCATGGCATGTGCTTGTAGACCCAGCTACTCAGGAGGCTGAGATGGGAGGATCACCTGAGCCTGGAAGGCTGAGGTTGCAGTGAGCCATGATAGCACCACTGCACTCCAACCTGAGCAACAGAGTAAAACCTTGTCTCAAAAAATAATAAATATAAAAAAAGGAAGAAAATTAAAAAAAAGAAAACACCTCAAATTAATAATCTAAATTGTTACCTAGAGAAATTTAAAAAAGAGAAAATTAAATGCAAAGAAAGTAGAAGGAAGAAATAGTAAAGATAAGAGCAGAAATCAATAAAATTGAAGGCTGAAAAACAAGAAAATATTAATTAAAAAGTGTTTTTAAACAAAAATAAAATAGACTTCTGACAAGACTGACAAAGACAAAAAGAGGGAAGATGCCCATCACCAATATCAAGAATGAACATGGGGTATCACTACATATCCTGAAGCCATTAAAAGGATTCTAAGCAAATATTACAAACGACTCTACACACATAAATGTGAAAACTTAGAAAAAAATAGACCATTTACAAAAAATCGCGAACAACCAAAATACAATTAAGATGAAATAGAAAACATTAATACTTGTATAACCTTTAAAGAAATTACATTTATAATTAAAAGTACTCCAAAAGAAAACCTCTAGGCTCAGGTGGATTCACCGGGAAATATTACCAAATATTTGAAGAAGAATTCACACCAAATGAAATTTATACATTTGTTCTAAAAAACAAATAATGAGGGAACACTTTCCAATGCATTTTATTGTCAGTATTATCCCACTATCAACACTAGAAAAAGACAGCACAAATAAAGAAAACCACAGATTAATATCTCTCAGGAAGTTTGATATAAAAATCCTCAATAAAATATTAGGCAATCAATTTAAGCACAGTATAAATAAATAATATGCCATGTTACTTAAAGTATGCAAGATTGGTTCATCATTTGAAAATCAAACAATGAAATCCACCGTATCAACAGGTTAAAGATGAAAAGTCATATGATCCTATCAAAAGATACAGAAAAAGCATTTAACAAAATTCAATATCCATTCATTATAAAAACTCTCAGCAATCTCGGAATGTAGAGGAATATTCTCAACTTGTTAAAGTGCACCTAATGAAAGTCACAGCTAACATTATATCTAATGGTGAAAGACTGAAATCATTTACCTAACATTGGAAACAAGGCAATCATATGCACTCTTGCAATTCTTACTCAACACAGTGCTGGAAGTTCTAGCTAACCATGATAAGGCATGAAAAGGAAATAACAGGCATACAGACTGGAAAAGAATATTTAAAGATATTCTATTTAAAGATAACACAATGGTCTACACAGAAAAATCCTAAGCAGTCCACAAAATTATCTTCTAAAACTGATATGTGAGTTCAGCAAGGTTTCAGAATACTCTTACAATTTTTTAAATAAAATAAATTGTGTACATTTATATACTAATAGTAAACACATGAACACTAAAATTTAAAATAGAGTATTATTTTCAATTGTTCAAACCAAAAAGAGGAATACTTATGTGTTATTTTAATGCAACATTTACAGGATTTGTTTGCTAAAATTTATACAATATTGATTTAAAAAAATCAAATAGTTTTATAAATGGAGAGACAAACCATGTTCATTGATTGGAAGACTCAACATTGTAAAGACGTCCATTCTTCCCAAATTGATATACGATATCGCTCAATATCCTAGTTAAGTTTTTGTAGTTACAGATAAGATTATTCTAAAGCATATATAGAAAAGCAAAGGAACTAGAATAGCTAATACAAATTTGAACAAGAAGAATAAAGTGAGAAGAATCAGTCTAGTCTATGTGATTTTAAGACTTCTTATACAGCTATAATAATCCAGGTTGTGTGTAGTATTGATGGAGGAATAGACACATAGATCAATGGAACAACATAGAGATCCCAGAGATAGACCCATGCAGATATGCCCTATTGACTTTTTTTTTTTTTTTTACAAAAGTAGAAAAACATTTCAGTGGAGAGAGAAAGTTTTTTCAGCAAATTGTGCTGAAGCAATGGGACAGCCACAGGTACAAAAATGAACCTAGACCTATGTCTCACATATTATGGAAAATGTAACTTGAAAAAGATGATGAACGTTACTGTAAGTTTTTATAGCATAAAATTTTTGGAACTAAGTGTAGGAAAAAAGTCACTGGGATCTAGAACTAGGCAAAGAGATCCTCGATAAACTGAATTTCGTGTAAATTAAAGGTTTTGTGAAAGGTCTTAGTAATAAGATGAATAGTTACAGACTTAGAGAAAATATTTATAAACCACATCTCTGACCAATGACAAATTACTAATATTCAGAGTACATAAAGCTCTTTCAACATTCAATGGTGAAAACAAAAAAATCAAATAATTCAATTAGAAAATGGGCAAAATACATGAGAAGATATTTTACTGAAGAGGATATACAGATGTCAAATAGATACATGAAAGGATATTAAACACTATCAGGCATTAGGGAAATTAAAAGTAGAACCACAATGAGATCATTATGCACCTCTCAGAATGGCCAACATAAAACACTAGTGATGATACCAAATGCTGGAGAGGATGCAGAAAAGTTGAGTCATACATTTCTGGTGGAAATGTAAAATGGTACTGCCACTCTGATAGTTTGACAGTTTCTTAAAACACTAAACATACCACTGTCAGACATGCTAACAATTGTAATCCTGAGCATTTATCTTAGAGGAATGAAAATTTATGTCTACACAAAAACCTGTTCAAGAATGTTCACAGCAGTTTTATTCACAATAGCAAAAAATTAGAAACAACTAAAATTTCTACAATAAGTGAATAGTCAAATAAACATTGGTGCAACCATATCATGGGCATGGGCTACTAACTAGCAATATGAAAAAACAAATTATTGATACATGACACGACTCACATGAACCTCATGGATTCTATTTTATAACGTTCTTGAATAAACAATATAGAGAAGAAAAAAAATAGTGGCTTCCAGGGATTTGGGATTGAGATACAGGTGTGGAATTCTGTGGCAATAAGGTAGTAGTGCAAGATTACTATGAGGTAATGGAACAGTCATGTATCTTAATTGTGGGGGGGGGGGTAGTTATGCAGAGCTACCTTGTGATTGAATTTCATAGAATCACATACACACATACACACACACACACCCCTACACACGAGTGCATGTATAATTTGTGAAATCTGAATAAGCTTTGTGGACAGCGCCAATGACATTTATTTGGTTTCAATATTGTACTATAGTCACACAAGGTATCAAACTTGGAGGCGTCAAGGTGAAGGGTGCATGGGATCTTCCTGTACCTTTCTTTGTAACTCTCTGTAAATCTGTGATTATGTCAAAATAAAATATTTTTTAAAAGTAAAGATAACTAAAATATAAAATAACTTCTGCTTGGGCTTCCTGTGCCAGACAGCCCTTCTATGCAGATACCCTTCTCACCAAGTTTCTGCTCTTTTGCCCTTATCATGGCCACTGTGGCTTCCCCTCAATTCACTAGTGTGAATGGCTACCTTACACTGTCCCACCTAGTGTCTTCAGGGCTGTACTACTCAGGGAAGAAAAGGAATTGAAGGAAAGAAGGAAAAGGAAAATAAAGGGAAGGAAAGGAAAAGAAAGAAAAGAAAAAAAAAAGAAAAATGAAGGAGAAGAAAGGAAAAGAGTCAATATATTTAAAAATGACACTTCAAAAGTAAATTTTTCTTGTTACAAAACCAAGATACAGTTAAAAATAAGATTATCATAGTACAGGTCTTCACAAACTTCATGATGGCACACAGCAGGTTTCTCAAATAACTGTTGGTGTATGTAAGTTGTGAGGTTTTTCAAAAGTAATTTTGTTCTACTAATAAAGTAACAAAATTTTTGCATGCATTTCTATTATGTTATAGTAGAGAGAATCAAAGCTTATCTTTATAAAACGCAATAATTTCATTCACTTGCGCAGTGATGAGCTGTCCTGCATGGAGGAGTCAGAGTAGTTACCTAGGTCTCAACATGTAGAAATGTCAAGTTCAAGTAACCATCACTCATAGTATACTTTGTAGTAGGTGAGAGGGTTGAAAATCAACACATTAGAAAGGTAGTTCTAACTTTTCCTAGGCTGAATATCAGAAACTTTTTAAATAAATACAATAAAAATTAAACTTGTAAATTCAGAGTAAATGAATTTTAACCAAGGAGTGGCCAGACTATAGAGTTTTGAACTTTGGTTCAAGCAAAGATAACTTTCCACCAAATTTTATATGAAAGGAAAGCGAGCTCTCTTCCAAAGGGAAATGTGACACAATTCTCTGTAAATTTTAAATAATCTACACATATTATGAGTGGTTCAGGCAAACATTATGCAAGAGGAAGAAAAGCCACATGCTCACTTGTAAGGATGGCCATTACACAGAATGTTGGTTTATGGGGATATTTGGTGGGTTTTCAATGTTAACTATTGATACGGGAGGGGAGCAGGGAAGTGCTGGGTAGAGAAGGACAGGGTCCTTGGTGAAGGTTCTATCCTCGGGCCTATATTGGCATCCAAATGTTGCATTTCTCCAAGACTACTCTGGCCCACCATGCCCCACATTCTGTGCCCATAAAAACCCAGGAGACACAAGTGGCTGGACATTGAGAGGAGCATAGGAGCAGAAGAGCACACCGACAGGCACCAGCAGATTCTGGAAGGCCGTCAACGGCAGGACAACCTGGAATTCTGTCTTGGGCAGTGAGAGGAGAGTCTAGCCACTGGGCGGCCTGACTTCAGGGGAAGACCACCTTCCCATTCCATCCCCCTTCTGGCCTCCCCATCCAGCTCACTGAGAGCTACTTCCACCACTCGATAAAATCTTGCACCCATCCTCCAACCCCACATGTGATCTGATTGTTCTGGTACACTAGGGCAAGAACCTGGGATACAGAAAGCCCTCTATCTTTGTGATAAGGCAGGAGGTCTAGTTGAGCTGATTAACACAAGCCGCCGGCCGATGGCAAAACTGAAAGACCACACTGTAACACATGCCCACTGGGGCTTCGGGAGCTCTAAACACTCAACCCTAGATGGTGCCGTGGGGTTGGAGCACAAAAACGCTCCCCACAACCTGGCTGACTGCGTGCTCCCTTTAGCGGTCTGAGCAGCGGGGCACCAAAGAAGCGAGCCACACCCCTGCCACACACCCTGGGAGGGAGATAAGGGAACTTCTCTGGTTTCACTATTTTGTATTTCAAATAAAATAGCATTCCAGATCATGGCATAAAAGGAAGAATTTAATTCAATTGCAATAACTTGGTAAATATACACCATTTTATAGTGTATTAACATTTATTGAGATAATCTCATACATATTTAAAATTTGGGTCATATTTGGCTTTAAAATTAGATAAATATGCTCAGTTTTAAAAAGATTACCCTAATTTACTTTAAAAGTAAATTTTTTATTGAGGTATAACAGACATAAAGAAATGTTCAAAAACCGTATATGTACAACTGGCATTTTTTCTTTAATTTATTAACAGCCTTATTGAGGTGTAATTGACATACAGTAAGCTGAACATATTTAAAGTGTGCAATCTGATAAGTTTTCACATGTGTAGACTCCCATGAAACCATCACCCAAATCAAGACAATGAACATATTCATCATTCCCAAAGTTTTTATGTGACCTTTGGTAGCCCCACCCTTCCCTACCTCAGAAAACCACTGATATACTTTTTATTGGGAATGATTTGTCTGCATTTCCTAAGATCTTTGATATAAATGTAGGTATGCAGAATGTACTCTTTCATATCTGGCTTTTTTCATTCATCATAATGCCTTGGAAATCCATCCAAGTTGTTTTGTGCATCAATCATTGCTTAGTAATAGTCCATGGTATAGATGCACCAGAGTTGATTTAACTATTCACCTACTGAAGGACATTTGTGCTCTTCGCCAATCTGTGATTGCAAATAAAGCTGCTATGAACATTCATGTACAGGTTTTGTGTAAACACATTTTAATTTCTCTGCAATAATTATCTAGATTTGGAATAGATGGATCACACTGTAGATATGTTTTTCAATCCTCCAACAATGGCTTTTTCCCAGAGCAAGCACAGATTTTCAGCCTTTTGCCTGCACCCAGAATTGGCAGGGGAGAAGGAGCTGAACTCAGCTCACCTTTCCAAGATCCTGTCTTCTTCACAATCTTAGCCTTTATTGTCCTCATTGGTTTAGCAGCTCTCCAAATAAGTTTGCATATTATCCAGTTTTTCTAACTGATCTATCTTAAGTTGCATTGAGCTACAAAGAAGCAAAATACTAAATTTCTATTTTAAACTAATACATTTTCTAAATATTTTTTAACATGTATGTTAATAAACTTTTGTATATTGATTATATACTTAGCAACTTTGCAAAACTTTTATGAACTCTAATAATTTGAGTTTTTTTTGAGTTTTCATGTAGGCAATATCATCATTAGCCTTTTGTTTGCTCTTATTTATTTCTAAATATTTTATTGCCTTTTATTTTTTTAGCCAACTGGCCAAAATCTCTGAAACAATATTGAAAAATATGGTGAGTCTTGTTCTTAATTTTAAGAAGAATGCTTTGAAGATTTCATGACTGTCATGCTAGCTCTAAGTTTTTGGAAGATGTCTTTTATCCGTTTAAGAAAATCCCCTTCTACCAATAAGCTACTAAGATTTTTCCTTTTATCACAAATGATTTTTCACTTTATTTAATAACTTTCCCAAATTTTTAAAGATGATTATGAGTTTTTACTTCTTTCTCTTTATATGTAAGTTACATTAATAGATGTTGAACTGTCCTTTCATTCCTGGACAAATGCCCCTTCATTCCTGAACAAAGGCTAATTTGTTCACAAACGTGTTATTTATTAATGCATTATTATATTTAATTTGCTAATATATTGTTGAGGATTGTTATCTCTCTATGTTTATAAGTGTGTTTGGCCTGCAAATTTTCTATCTTATACTGTCTTTTTCTGGTTTTGGTGTCGTGGTTATGCAATTTTCATAAAGAGCTTTAAGAAGTATGCCATTTTTTCTCTTTTTTGAAAGTTTTGTTAAGTATGTTCTTTGAATGCTTGTCAGAATTTGTCCGTAACAACTTTTGATCATTCATATTTGCAATTCTTATGTATTTAAGTTTGGTAACTTACTATTTTTTTTCTTGGATTTTCTCTATTTTACCTAAGTTTCAAATTTATTAACAAAAGTTTCTTCAGAATATTGTCTTCTATTTTTATTTAGCTATGTTTTTATTTTATTTCTAATATCGGTTATATGTATCTTCTCATTTTTCTTCTTCTTTAAAGAGCTTGTTTAATGTCATTAGTGTTTTCAGAGAATCAACTTTTGTGTTTATTGATTTTTCACTATTTCAACTTTATTTTCTATTTCATCAATTTCTCTTCCTAGTTTTTTTCTTATCATTTTCTTTCTTCTGCTTTCCCTGGTTTCATTCAGTTGATATTTATTTGTCTTTGAATGTTGATTTTAATGAGAATAAAATTATTGTCTGTCAATCATTTTTCTCAGTACTTTGTATACATCATTCTACAGACATATGGCTTCGTAGCTGATGTTCAGAAATCAGCTGTTAATCTAAGCTTTATTTCATTTAGATAATCTGATTAGATTGATATTGGATCTTCTCATACTAATCTTCATGATTATTAAAGTTTTAATATGTCTTTAATAAATTCTGAATTATCTCTCTAGCTCTATTTCTTAACTTAAAATTTCTTTCTGCAGTGTTGTTAAATCTTATCATTATGCCATCTGTTGAGCATTTAATTTCGGTGATCATATATTTTTTATTTCTACATGTTCTACTTAGTTTTTTCTCATGTTTTTTTCTTATCTGTTTACTCCTTTTTTATTTTAAGTACTTTATATAAACTTATATTTGGAATGTGAACTGAATTCAATATCTGTAATTATTATAAATTCTCTAGTTTCTTGTTTCTGCTGATTCTTACTTATTGTAACTTATTTCCTCATGTGCTTAGTAATTTATTTTTATTGTTATTTCATATTCCTTGTAATTTGATCTGGGGACTCATTGAGGCCTTTATTAAAATGTGTTCTTCCAGAAGGGGTGTGTACTTGTTTTTATCATGTTCCTGGGGTCTTGTATTTTTTCAGTCTGAAATTTTGGCTTAGAGTTTTCAGGCTATACAAAAAGTGTGAATTCAATCTCCAAAGACATGTGTGAGCAAGCTCATAATTAGGAAATCTGACAAGGTACATGGACATAGCCATTGAAAGTAATGCCCTTTGGGGACCTCAGCCTTATGGGGTTATCTCTATCAGACCTTGTTTCCTGTTTTAGTCCAGGGCTTTGGGGCCTGTTCTCTGTTCATGTAACTTGTTACATCCTAAGCTCTATGCTGCAAAGGATGAGACATACTGAAAGGAAAGACTCATTTCAGTTTTCTCTTATTTTAAAGAATGTGACTTCTTTTTTGTTTCTAGCTTATAAAGAATTTTGTTTCCTTACCTCTAAGTCATCTATGCAGTATGAAAAAAATTAAAATATTAAACTAATATTTTTCCTTTACTTAATAACACAATAAAATACTGGGAAAATATTTTATTTATTTTCCCACTACTGGGTATTTATTCAAAGGAAAGGAAATCAATACATGAAAGGGATACCTCTACCTCCATGTTTGTTGCAGCACTATCCACAACAGCAAAGTCATGGAATCAACTTAAGTGTTTATCAGTGGATGAATGGATAAAGAAAATGTGATGTATATACACAATGGAATAATAGTCGTCCATAAAAATAATGAAATCTTGTCTTTTTCAGCAATACGGATGAAACTGGAGGTAACTATGTTCAATGAAACAAGCCAATCACAGAAAGACAAGTATCACATGTTCTCACTCTTATGTGGGAGCTATAAAATTTGATCTCATGGAAGTAGAGAGTAGAATTATAGCTACCAGAGGCTGAGAAGGGTGTTTGGGTGGGGAAAGGGGATGAAGAGAGGTTGGTTAATAGGTACAAACATATAATTAGATCAAAGGAGTAAGTTTCAATGTTCAATTACAATAGAGTGACTGTAGTTAACCACAATGTATTGTATATTTCAAAATAGCTGGAAGAGAGGATTTCGAATGTTCCCAACACATAGAAATGATAAATAGTTGAAGTGATGGATATCCTAAATACCCTGACTTGATTATTACGCATTCTATGCATGTAACAAAATACCGTATGTACTCCATACAAATGTACAGATATTATACAACAAGTTTTTTTTTTTGAAATGGGGGACAAAATTATGTGACTAAATAATAGTCACAGTATTGCATGTAGAGTCCTGTGTACCCTTCACTAAGCTTCCTCAAATGGTGACATTTTATATAATAGTTACATAACATTAAAATCAGCAAACTGACAGGGGTACATGTGTCATTGAATATAGTCGGCCCTCAGTATCCATGGGTTCTACATCCTCAAAATGTACCAACCACAGGTCAAAAATAGTTTTTTAAATGACACAACAAAAGTAATACAGATAAAAAATAATACAAAAAAATACAGTGTAACAACTGTTCACATAGCATTTGCATTGTTTTAGGTATTATAAGGAATCTAGTGATGATGTAAAGCAGGAGGATTTGCATAAGTTATATGCAAATACTATGCCACTTTATATAAGTGACTTGAGCATCCATGAATTTTGCCATCCATGGATACTCAGGGGTGACTGTATGTCCTAGAATTGTATTTTATAAATTAAAGTTACCAACTTTAGGCAAATCATTTAACGCAGTTACTTGCAAAAAATACAATTCATGAAGAAAATAAGGATTTCATTAAAAGATCTTTTTTTAGAAAATTTAAAATGTGAATATAATAAAGGTGCTGTCATTGTTTTAAATTTTTTGTATTTCATATTTTTATTGTTTTATTGTTTTATCTTCTATGCATTCTCTTATATTGTTCTCCAGGGTCCACTGTTTCCTGCCATCTTTTCTGCTCTTTCCTTGAGTATTTTCATTCATGCCTTTAAAAAAAACCTTACACTGATGACTCCAAAATCTACACCTCTAGCCCAACTTCATCCTGAGTTTCTGCCCTTAGTCTCTATTTTAGATATTTCTGGGGTACTTTCAATCAACATGTCACCAATGTATCGTCACTTATACTTTCCCTCCATATCCTCCTATATTAGTTTATTTTTACACTACTATAAGGAACTAGCTGAGACTGGGTAATTTATAAAGGAAAGAGATTTAATTGACTCACAGTTCTGCATGGCTGGGGAGGCCTCAGGAAACTCACAATAATGGCAGAAGGCAAAAGGGAAGCAAGGCACAGCTTACATGGTGGCAGGAGAAAGAGAAAGAAGAGGGGAAGCACCACACACTTATCAAAACAACCAGATCTCGTGAGAGCTCTGTCACAAGAATAGCAAAGGGGATGTCTGCCCCACGACTCAATCACCTCCCACCAGGCCACTCCCCCAACACCTGTGAATTATAATTCGAGATGAGATTTGGGTAGGGACACAGAGCCAAACCTGTATCACCTCCTTAACTTCCTTTTAAAATGACTAATTTTACAACCTCCTTAGTAGTTGCCCTAACTAGGAATTTGGGCTTAGTCTTTTACTCTTTCACCCATTTCAATCCACGCTGATCTCAGAATCATTTCTAGTCTATCTATGACATGTCTCTCAACCTCTGTTTCATTTCCACTGTCACAGTTTTGTTTCATTCCCTATAATTTTACTTGTTCTATTAAAAAATTCATAAAGGATTCCTGGAATTCTATCTCCTCAATAATGTTACCAAGACAGTTCTTTACACTGGCTAGTTATCTTCCTAAAACAATTATGATCTCATCATTCTTTGCTTAATGATTTCCAATGGCACTGACTCTTCAAACTCTTCAGTTTGGCATACATGGCCCTTCACAATTCCAACCCAGTCAATCACTTTATAGTGCCATTTTCTACCTCAAAAGCCTCCCCCTTTTCCTCAGCTGTGCAAACTAAATTCAAGCTGACTGGACTTCCTTGCATATGTCATTTCCCTTTACATCTTTAAGTCTTTGCACTTGTATTGAGTGTTTTCTTTCACGTCTTGTCTTAGAAAAATTCTATCTACCTCAAGACCCAGCTCATTATCACCTCCTTTATAATGCCTTCCCAGACTTTTTTACAGTTATTTTCTCCCTTTTTTAGTTTTCCCACAACATTTTCTCCATGCCTGTCTTTTTGGTAGTTATCACATAGCATCTGTTTGATTGTAGTTGTCTCTTCCAATATATTATATCATTTCTGAGGAAGAGACCTTACTCAGCTTTGTTTTTCCAGCATTTCAGAGAAAGAAATGTTTATTAAATGAATAAATTTTAATTAAAATCCAAGAGCTCAAGGGATAATGCTTACTCTTTTATTCATACTTAATAACATGCTCATCCATGTGTATTTTATTTTGTATTGCCAATATATACATAATTCAATGAAATTCACTTCCTTTTCTGGATTATTCACCTCCAAACATAGTCACATGACATGTTTAGTTTAATAAAAAAACCAGAATTTTATTAAAAAAAAAAAAAACTAGCAAGACCTGCTTTTGTCTACTTTTTCCTCTTGAAATTACATTTCATTAATGGAACACTCATGAAACTACATTTTAACTTTGGTTTTAATTAGTTGATATTATAGTTATCAATTTAGCTTTGAGGGTATGTTGGTGTTATTGATATAATAATTAAATATAAAAAGATTAGTCTATTAAAAATATACTAATTGACTTCTGCCAAACATAACTAATTACAGCTGATTGGTCAAAATAGTATAAGAAGTAACTTTAATTACTTAACACTGGGTTACACATTTTATTACTTCACGTAAGCATTTTTCTTTTTTCCTGAAAAAAAATTAACTACCGCATCATTCATGTTGATTTAATTTAGAACAAGAAAAATATGGAAACAGGTTTTATGTGTTGCTTGTTCAAATAATAGAATTAAGAGATAATGTCAAGAAAGGAGAATGCAGCCGTGGATAAGAGTTTATTGTTGCAAAATATTACAAAGTGCTATTGAACAGGTTAACCATTTGGGGCGCAATTACATGCTACTTGAAAATTGTGTTTAAATTGCTTAAATTACCACCTCACCTAGGAAATAGAACACTGACTTTTTTTTAAATGAAAGCTTTTTAAAAAACTAGTATGAATCATAGATCTCTCTTCTTTTTACTGCTTGTCACTGAGATTATACACACACACACACACACACACACACACACACATATATATACACATGATCCATGGTAAACATTTTTTGAGCTGTTTCTTTTACATAAATGGACATTTATATAACAGATTTCAATGCTGCTTTCTGCTCTGTCCATGAGAGTTATCAAATATAGCTTCTGTTAAACTTTGGACTAATTTACCATAATCATAAAAATAAATTGATTGAGACATAAAATCATACTCTGTAAACACAGAAATAAGCACTAACTTTTCTGATTCTAGTAGTTGCTTAAATAATGTTCTTTTGCATACTGCTGGCTAAGTAACATAGCAGAATGACCCATGTCTTACCCGAAAAAGAGGCCAATAAATGACATTTTACTGAAGGAGAAATTATCAACAAGGATTGATTAGGTACCAATTTTGTTAGCAAAGCACTGCCCTGATCTCTGAGATAAAATCAGTGAGTAATAATTGTACCTGTCATGATATATAAAGAGTATAATCAGAAGAAAGGTACTTAACATTTACACTAAAAACCTGAAATTATGATTCAGCACTGGTTAATGTAAACTTGCTTTATATATGGCTAAATTTAAAGACTAAACCCAATGTTGGTACAGAGGTATTTTTTGGTATTAACTCTATGGAGCACTCTTACTTTTGCTCTTAATTTTTGGCATCGACGACTTATCTGCTTTTGGCTGAAATCCAAGTATTGATTTTAACCTACAAAAGCACTTTTTTGCTATAGGAGCTGGTTATCTTAGAGATCGTCATTTTCCTATATATCAAGGGGTGCTTCTTCAGGCAGTGCTAATATTTAATTTTAAGTTGTTAGTGTTAGTTGGACTAGGAGTCGACATACCTACTTTAGAATATAATGTGCTGCTTTTCCTGCAGAAAACAATGTAAAGTCTATATGCTTAATGAGGCCTTGATTTAAAGAGTTTGCAAATGAAGCTCACTTGTTTTATACTCACTAATAAAGTGTATGATTATTTGAAAAATCTATAAAAGCCCATAGAATGCACAGAAATAGAACATGATTTAAAAAAAAACAAAAAAGTATTCTACCTTTTGATTAAAATAATTTTGCAAATTCCTTCTCTATTGTTATCTCATTTTAAAAAGAGTAAAGCAACAAAAACTACATTTAACATATTATCATAAAACAAAACACGAGCTTTTCAACAATTCCAATAATTTCTTAAGGTCATTCTTTTAAATTGATGTAAACTTGTTTTGTTTTTACAGCTTAAATGACTTTTCCATCATCTTTTTAGCTGAGCATTTAGTTTTGCTCCAGGCAAATCAATGAAAAATCATCTACTGAAAGATAAAATTTTGTTTATACACATTCACCAGAGACTAGTTTGAAACACACTTCTGTTAGTAGGCTATAAAATGAAATGGCTGTCATAAGGGTTATGCTCTTTGTTCCTCCAAAAATGTATCCTGCTTATATTTGAATGTAAACAAATTTTTTAAACCAATAATTTAGGAATAATTTTAAAGAGATTTCAATAAAATAATCTCATTTTAAAATGTGAAACTTACTTTAAAAATAAAGTTTTAATTATAAGTGTAGAAGTAATGCATTATTAAGCTTGACAAATCTTTGAAGCACCAAGAAAAAACTGTTAACCTAACTTTGGACTTAAATGGAAAGCAAAACAATTCAATTTATTTTTATACTAGCACTATCAAAAATAGCATATTACAAATCAAATTCAGAGTGCAACTCAGTAATAAAAGGAATGCTGAAAAGGAAAGTTCAAAAATGAACATAAACAGAAGTCATTCAACTGAATGAATAGTGACAAGAGTATAGCCAAATAAAGCAGGTCACTGTCCTCTTTTTCAAAAATGTAATGTCTTTTCTTCACTCGTTGTTTATCTCAGACCTATACAGCTTCATTTTGCAAAATCTCACCTCAATAATCACAGTTTAATGATAATAGCTATTTTTAAATGTGTGCATACTATATTTTAGATAATAGCTTAACCATTTTAAAGTATTTACTTATTTAATCTTTATAACAATCTTATGAGACAGACACTGTTGTCCTAATTTTACAGATATAGAAACTGAGACATTGAAAGATTAAGTTGCTGCCTAACTGGCAGAGTTGGGATTTGAACCTAAGTCAGAATTTGAACATAGGCAGAATCGATCCAGAGACAATAGACTTAACCATTAAGTATTGTGCCTCTTAAGCATTTTTAGTGTACATGCCCATTGTTTTATGGTGACTACATCAAGCAATGAATAAGTATATGAAAAGACAGTTGTTTTCAAGGAGCTCACATTTTGGAGGTGGTGTGTAGTATGAACACTAAACATTTCTGGATTTTTTTGTTATAAAACATTTAATTGCTGTGTTCAGAAAGGATGTAGATGAAATAAAGATAGAGGGAGAAAGTCAGTTTGATGATTATTGGTGTAGACATTAACTTAAACACTTTTTGAGACTTTTTGAGTATCTGTGATGCCAGGTGCTAATTAACACAAGCTTGTATTTTGAAAGAGGATATTAATCTAATTGGAGAGTCATATATGCCAATGAATAATTGCTGTGGCATGTAATAAATATTATAAGTGTAAAAGGTATCATAAGAACAAAAGACAGAGGGATTGAATTAGAGTATTGTATAATAGGGAAGATAAAGGGAAAATTGAGGCAGATGTTATGGAATGGTTCCTATATTTGTCCCTTTCTAATTTTATTAGTCTGTTCTGATGCTGCTAATAAAGACACACCTAAGACTGGGTAATTTACAAAGGAAAGAGGTTTAATTGACTCACTATTCCACATGGCTGGGGAGGCCTCACAATTATGGTGGAAGGCAAAGGGGAAACAAGACATGTTTTACGTGGTGGCAGGCAAGAGAGCATGTGCAGGGGAACTCCCCTTTATAAAACCATCAGATCTTGTGAGACTTATTCACTATCATGAGAAAAGCACAGGAAAAACATGCCCCCGTGATTCAACGACCTCCCACCAGGTCCCTCCCAGTACACATGTGAATATGGGAGCTAAAATTCGAGATGAGATTTTGGTGAGGACAATGCCAAACCATATTATTCTGCCCCTGGCCCCTCCAAAATCTCATGTCCTTACATTTCAAAATGAATCATGCCTCCCCAACAGTCTCCCAAATTCTTAACTCATTTCAGCATTAACTCAAAAGTCCACAGTCCAAAGTCTCATCTGAGACAAGGCAAGTGTCTTCCACCTCTGAGCCTGTGAAATCAAAACCAAATTGGTTACTTCCTAGATACAATAGGGGTACAGACATTGGGTATATAAACCCATTTCAAATGGCAGAAATTGACCAAAACAAAGGGGTTACAGGCCCCATGCCAGTCTGATGTCCAACAGGGCAGTCATTCAAACTTAAAGTTCCAAAATGATCTCCTTTGATTCCATGACTCACATCCAGCTCATGCTGATGGAAGATGTGGACTCCCACTGCCTTGGGCAGTTCCATCCTTGTGGCTTTGCAGGGCACAGCCCCGTTCCAGCTACTTTCATGGGCTGGTGTTTAGTGTCTGCCGCTTTTTCAAGTGCATGGGGCAAGCTGTCAGTGGATCTACCATTTGGGGGTCTGGAGTACAATGGCCCTCTTCTCACAGCTCCACTGGGCAGTGTTCCATTGGGGACTCCGTGTGGAGGCTTCTACCCCACATTTCCCCTCTGCATTTCCCTAGTAGAGGTTATCCATGAGGGCTCTGCCTGGCAGCAAGCTTCTGCCTGGACATCCGGGCATTTGCATACATCCTCTGAAATCTAAGCAGAGGTTCCCAAACCTCAATTCTTGACTTCTGTGCACCTGCAGGCTCAATACCACATGTAAGCCACCAAGGCTTTGGGCTTGCAACCTCTGAAGCCACAGCCTGAGCTGTACCTTGGCCCCTTTTAGCCATGGCTAGAGCAGCTGGGACATAGGACACCTAGTCCCTAGGCTGCACACAGCAGAGGGGCCCTGGGGCCAGCCCAGGAAACCACTTTTACTCCTAGGTCTCTTGGACTTTGATGGGAGGGGCTGCCATGAAGGTCTCTGACATGCCCTGGAGATATTTTCCCTATTGTCTACTTGATTAACATTTGGCTTCCTGTTACTTACACAAATTTCTGCAGTCAGTTTGAACTTCTCCCCAGAAAATGGGTTTTTCTTTTCTGTTGCATCATTAGAGGCTGCAAATTTTCCAAACTTTTATGCTCTGCTTCTTCTTGAATGCTTTGCCACTTAGAAATATCTTACCCCACATGATCTAAATTATCTCTCTCAAGTTCAGAGTTCTACAGATCTCTAGGGCAGGGGCAACATGCTTCCAGTCCCTTTGCATAGCAAGAATGACCTTTTCTCCAGTTCCCAATAAGATCCTAATCTCCATTTGAGATCACCTCAGCCTGCACCTTATTGTCTATATCACTATTAGCATTTTAGTCAAAGCCATTCAATAAGTCTCTAGGAATTTCCAAACTTTCCCATATCTTTCTATCTTCTGAACCCTCCAAACTGTTCCAAACTCTGTCTGTTAACAGTTTCAAAGTCACTTCCACATTTTTGGATATCTTTACAGCAGTGCCCTAGTACCCAGTACCAATTTACTGTAATTATCTGTTCTCATGCTGCTAATAAAGACATACCCAAGACTGGGTAATTTATAAAGGAAATAGGTTTAATTCACTCACAGTTCCACATGGCTGAGGAAGCCTCACAATCAGGGCAAAAGGTGAAGGGGAAACAAGACACCTCTTACATGGAGGCAGACAAGGAAGTGTGTGTGCAGGGGAACTCCCCTTTATAAAACCATCAGATCTCATGAAACTTATTCACTATCATGACAACAACATGGAAAATCCCGCCCCCATGATTCAATTATCTCCCACCGGGTTCCTCCCACAACATGTGGGAATTATGGGAGCTACAATTCAAGATGAGACTTGGGTGGGACACAGCCAAACCATATCACTAATGATCCTGGTGAAGTTTCAGGACTCTGTAAAGTTATACCTTCCAAACAAACCTACCTTATCATACACCTATCTCTTCATTTTTTTTAATTGTTGCAAAATATTTTACTTATATTTTTACACTGTCTGTAGCAGTCATGTCATTGAATGCTGCTTTGTACTATGCATTGTACAGACTAGTTCTCAAAACATAAAGCTCAGTTAAAATGTCATTTCTTTATAGAGGCCTGCCTCCATTATTATTCTAGCTCAAGTAGTCAACAGCCCATAAGTCATTATTTTATTACCTATTTTGTTTTCCTCTTTGTGCTTATCACTATCTGAAATTGCCTTATTAATGTGTTTATTATCTATTGTTTCCCACCAGAATATTAGGGCTGTGGCTATATCTAATATATATATATATATATATATATATATATATGTATACACACACATATATACATATATATATATATATATGTATACACACACATATATACATATATATATATTCAGCACTAGAACATGTCTGACATACAATATGTGTTTAAGACAAGAAGCATAATTATAGCCAGGTGTGGTGGCTCACACCTGTAATCCCAGTACTTTGGGAGGCCGAGGCGGACGGATCACGAGGTCAGGAGATCGAGACCATCCTGACTAACACAGTGAAACCCCCATCTCTACTAAAAATAGAAAAAAAAAAATTAGCCAGGTGTGGTGGCGGGTGCCTCTAGTCCCAGCTACTCAGGAGGCTGAGGCAGGAGAATGGTGTGAACCTGGGAGGCAGAGCTTGCAGTGAACCGAGATCGCGCCACTGCACTCCAGCCTGGGCGACAGAACGAGACTCCATCTCTAAATAAATAAGTAAAGAAGCATAATTACAATGAGATATGAAGTGCTCAGTATTGCATTTCACTTTGATTAAATTGTAGGCAAACCCAAATTAATACTTTGTCATTTACCTTTAGTTGCATTTATTTTTTTCTTACTCTTTGATTCTTTTTAAAAACCATAATACATTTTCATCTTCATTGTAATATAATTAGAATACAAAATAAATCATCCATTTAATTATATATTTCAATGTACTTTGACAAATGTATACACTTGTGTAAACACCAAACCTAACATATCCCTTTGCAATCAATTGTCCCCACCTCCGTATAAGCACCAACTAATAAGATTTCCATCACCATAGGTTATTTTCGCTCCTTCTAGAACTTCATTTGTAGTATGTAATTTTTTGTTTCTTACTTCTTTGCTCAGTTTAAGGTTTTTTAAGACTTTCATGTTATTGAAGATATTGGTGCTTTGTTGGTTTAGTGCTGAGAGGTATCACATTGCACAAATATACCACAATTGACTGCTTCCAGTTTTGAACTATTATCAAGAAAGCTGCCATGAACATTCATATAAAAGTCTTTTGTGGATATAAGTTTTCATTTCTTTAAGTGTATAAGAGTAGCTTTTTTGAATCATACAGTAAGAATCTATAAAATATTTTCCAAAATGGCTGGACCATTTTGCATCCCACCAACAATGTATGAGGCTTTCATTTGTTACAAATCTTCACCAACAAATAGTTTCATCAGACTTTTAAATTTTACTTTTTCTAGTGTGTGTGTAATAGTGTCTCATTGTGGTTTTGATTTAATTTTTCTAACAAGTACAGTTGTTTACCATATTTTTGTGTGCTTATTCGTCATTCATAACTACATTTTAATATGTAAGGTATCTGTTCAAATCATTGCCTTTTAAAATACTGGGCTGTTTGTCTTTGTAGGAGGCAAAATAATGTTCCCCACAAGATGTCTACATCCTAATCCCCGAAGCCTTTATATACCTTACGTAGAAAAAGGGGCTTTTCAGATGTAATTAAGTTAAAGATCTTCAGATGGATAGACTATTCTGGAGGACCCAATCTAATCACAAGTTTGACCACAGAAGCAAAGGAGAGAGAGAGAGAGAGAGAGAGAGAGATGAGGGAGAGAGACAGACAGAGAGAGAGAGAGGTTTAAAATGCTTGGCTGTTGGCCTTGAAGGTGCAGAAAGTGGCCATATGATAAGAAATTTAGGTGGCCTCTACAAAAACTGAAAGAAGGCAAAAATCAGATTCTCTGATAGAGCCTCCAGGAATGCAGTCCTGCTGACACCTTGATGTTAGGACTTCTTATCTCCAGAATGTTAACATAAATAAATTTATGTTTTTATGCCACAAAGTTTATGGTAATTTTTTTTTTCTTTTGAGACGGAGTCTCACTCTGTTGCCCAGGCTGGAGCACAGTGGAGCGATCTCAGCTCACTGCAAGCTCCGCCTCCCGTGTTCACACCATTCTCCTGCCTCAGCCTCCTGAGTAGCTGGGCTATAGGCACCCGCCACCATGCCCAGTTAATTTTTTTGTATTTTTAGTAGAGATGGGGTTTCACCATGTTAGCCAGGATGGTCTCGATCTCCTGACCTCGTGATCCACCTGCCTCGGCCTCCCAAAGTGCTGGGATTACAGGCCTGAGCCACCGCGCCTGGCCAGTTTATGGTAATTTTTTACAATAAGAAGCAAATCCATCTTATTATTGAGTTGTAAAAACTCTTTATATATTCTGGACACAAATCTTGTGTTGAATATATGTAATTCAAATTTTCTAGTCTGTGAATTGCCTTTTCCTAGTGTCTGGCTTGCCTCTTTATTTTCTTCATATAACTTTTTGAGGAATGAAAGTTACAAAATTGTGATGAAGTCCATTTTCTTTTTTGATTATTGCTCTGTCCCTTGTCTAACCAATCTTTTTCAATCCCAAAGTTATAAAGATATTCTATTGCTTTCTTCCAGATATTTTTAAGTGCAGGTTTTTTTGAACTTTTACTTTAAGTTCCCTTGTACATGTGCAGGTTTGTTATATAGGTAAACCCATGTCATCAGGGTTTGTTGTACAGATTATTTCATCACCCTGGTTTTATGTTGAGCTATATGATCCATTTTGAGTTAATGTTCCCATATGATGTGAGGTAGTAACCAAAAAGCCATAGACAATATATAAAGAAGTGAACATGGCTCACATCCAATAAAACTTTATTTATGAACACTAAACTTTGAATTTCATACAAATTTCACATGTCATGAAATATTCTCTTTTTTCAGCAATTAAAAATGTAGATGAAAAACCATTCTTAGCTCATGGGCTATACAAAAATAGATGGCAGGCTGGATTTGGCACATGGGCCACATTTTGGCAACTCCTACTTTTTGCATCACATCTAAATAAGTTATAAAACCCACAATACAATCTTTTAAAACCTTTGCTTTAAATAGTCATACATATTTTAAGAAAATTAAAAGTAAAATATAATTTTTTCACATTTACCTACATACTTTCAATCTCTGGTGCTTGTCACTTCTGCCTAACATTCTGAATTTCCAGCTAGTATCATTAGCCTTCATCCATTAAAAAAAAAAAAAAATAGCATTTCCTATAGTACAGGTCTGATAAAAATACATTATTTTTATATTCACTTGTCTGAGTATATCTTTAGTTTGCTTTAATTTTTGAAGTACATTTTTATATGAAATTCTGGATTGAACTTTTTTCTGCTAGATATTTCTTCAAAGATATTGATCTAATGCGTTTGGGCTCTATTGTTTCTGATGACAGATCAATAATAATTTAAATCAATTTTTATGACTATGTAATATGCCATTTTTTAGAGTTTCAAAGTTTGGTCTTTATCTTTGGTTTTTACCACTATGACTATGATGTGCATAGATGTGATTATATTAGTATTTTTTCTGCTTGGTGGTCATTGAGACTCTTTTATCTATAAATTTATGTCTTTCACTACATTTGGAAAATTTGTGTTTTCAAATATTTTTTCTGCTCTGATTTCTCTTTTTTCCACACTCTAGGTCTTCAGTTGCATGTATGTTGAATCATTTGCTAATGTTCCATATTCCCCAAGGACCTTATTATCTTTTAAAATTGTTTCCCTTTTCTTTGTATTGAATAATTTATATTTATCTCTCTTCAGATTCACTAATCTTTTCTTCAGTCATCTGTTTGTGAGTCCATCAGTGACTTTAAAATTTGCAATATTTTGATATTTTAGTTCTAGAATTTCTATCCTATTTGGTTATTTTAAAAAATTTCTCTGCTGACACTTTTATCTTTCCAATTATTATAGGCCTATTTTACTTTGTGACCTGAGGCATATTTGTCATAGCTGCTTTGAAATTCTTCCATGATAATTGCAACATATTGGTAATCTCAGTATTGGTCTTTATTATTTATCTTCACACACAAAATTTGGGAATCTTCCTCTGGCTCTCCTTTATATGAGACCCGTCTTCTTACTTTCCATTTGCCACGCTAATCTCAAACTCTGTATTCTATTTCTTTAAGCCAGTAAGACACTTTTATTTGACTTTTAGCCACCAAATATAGCACAGATAAAAGATGTAAAAAAAGGGAAACTCACCCAGTGCAATTATGATCTTCCAAGCTTCAACCCTCTTTGTTAACAATAATTCAAGAATCTGCATTTTCCAAAACAAATTTTGTTCTACTAGCAAATACAATAACAAAAGAGAATTTACATTTCCAAGACTAAAATTTATTCTTTAATTATATTACACAAATGTCAGTTTTAAATAATTTTTTTACCTACGTAAAATTGTAGAGTAGAGGTAGGAAAGCTCTAATATTACTGAAAGAACAGCTTTAGCGAACTTGATTTCCAGTGTGTTACAGTCTATCAGAGACAAGGAGAATCTGGATTGCCCAAAGCCAAGATTAATAAATGCCTCTAAAAGCAAAGACCAGGTTATGTCCTGAGAATTTCTTTGCCTTGGCTTAATTAAGAGTTGAAAAATGAAGATGCTGCTTCTGTGAGTGGTTTTCCATTTAGGAAAGTATCTGAAATGCATTATTTCCAAGCTATTTTTACTCTACATTTTATAAAGTTTTAAGGCAGTTGCTAATATTTGGAGAAAATTCACACATAATGCCTATATCTAAATATAAACTTTCTATTAGACTTTAATACATATAAAGAAAGGTAATGCAGTATAATATTGAAAAAGTCTGATACTTAGCTAAACAATCATTTGAGGCTTAGAGCTTAGATGGAGGAGTATACAAGTACATTTTTCCTTCAGCATCACTCAGCTTGCATGGGTAAACAATAGCATCATCCCTAGTCTACTTATGTCAACCCATTGTGCCTCATAGAGTATAACAGATCTTAAGATTTTTGGAGCCATCCATGATTTTCCTCTGGTTCTTTTTTATGTAAGAAGCCTCTCTTCATTGGATTTTCTTCTCAGTCACTCCTTAAGGATATCCTTTGTCTCTTGATTCCTCAGTTAGGTCTTTAAACTTGGTTATGCTTTTATTCTATTCCCCACTTCCACCCATAGACCTGAAGATAACTTTGCATAATAAATTCTGTTATATTTGGAAATGTGTCTGAGTAAGGATTTTGAGTGGTGGATAAAGAAATGATGCTTTCTGATGTGGCTTGGCTGTGTCCCCACCCAAATCTCATCTTGAATTGTAACTCCTGTAATCCCCACGTGTCATGGGAGGAACCTGGTAGGAGGTGATTGAATTATGGAGGTGGGTCTTTCCTGCACTGTTCTCATTATAGTGAATGAGTCTCACAAGATCTGATGGTTTTAAAAAGGGAGTTTCTCTGCACAAGCTCTTTGTGCCTGCCGCCAACCAAGTAAGATGTGACTTGCTCCCCCTTGCCTTCTGCCATGATTGTGAGGCTTCCCAAGCCACATGGAACTGTGAGTTCTCCATTAAACCTCTTTCCTTTGTAAATTGCCCAGTCTTTGCTATGTCTTTATCAGCAGCATGAAAACAGATTAATACAGTAAATTCGTAAAAGTAGAGTTGGGCACTACTATAGATACCTGAAAATGTGGAAATGACTTTGGAACTGGGTAACAGGCAGGGGTTGGAACAGTTTGGAGAGCTCAGAAGAAGGCAGGAAAATGTGGGGAAGTTTGGAACTCCCTAAACACTTGTTGAATGGCTTTGACCAAAATGTTGATAATGATATGGACAATGAAATTCAGGCTGAAGTGGTCTTAGATGGAGATAAGGAACTTCTTGGGAACTGGAGATGACTCTTGTTATGTTTTAGCATGTTAAAAGCATCCAGTTTTATAAAGGAAGAAGAGCATAAGAGTTCAAAAAATTTGCAGCCTGGCAATGTGATAGAAAAGAAAAACCCATTTTCTGAGAAGAAATTTAAGGCAGCTGCAGAGATTTGCATAAATAAAGAGGGGCCAAATGTTAATTCTCAAGACAATGGTGCCCTGTGTTCCAGCCACTCCAGCCATGACTAAAAGGTGCCAAGGTACAGCTGAGGCTGTGGCTTCAGAGGGTGCAAGCCCCAAGTCTCAGCAGCTTCCACATGTTGTTGAGCCTGCAGGTGCAAAGAAGTCAAGAATTGAGGTTTGGGAACCTCCACCTAGATTTCAGAGGATGTATGGAAGTGACTGGATGTTCAGGCAGGAGTTTGTTGCACGGGCGGGGCCTTCATGAAGAACCTCTGCTAGGGCAGTGCAGAAAGGAAATGTTGGGTCAGAGCCCCCACACAGAGTCCTTACCTGAGCACCACTTAGTGGAGCTGTGAGAAGAGGGCTGCCGACCTCCAGACCCGAGAATGGTGGATCCACCGACAGCCCGCACCGTGCACTCAGAAAAGCCTCAGACACTTAACACCAGTCCGTGAAAGCAGCCAGGATGGAGGCTTTAACCTGCAAAGCCACAGGGATGGAGCTGCCCAAGACCATGGGAAACCACCTCTTGCATCAGCACGAACCGAATATGAGATATGGAGTTAAAGGAAATCATTTTGGATGTTTAAGATTTGACTGCCCCACTGGATTTTGGGCCTGCATGATGCCTTTAGCCTGTTCATTTTGGCCAATTTCTCCCATTTGGAATGGCTGTCTTTACCCAATACTTGTACCCCCATTGTATTTAGGAAGTAACTAACTTGCTTTTGATTTTACAGGCTCATGAGCGGAAGGGACTTGCCTTGTCTCATATGAGACTCTGAACTGTGGACTTTTGAGTTAATGCTGAAATGAATTAAGACTTTGGGGGACTGTTGGGAAAGCATGATTGGTTTTGAAATGTGAGCATTGAGATTTGGGAGGGGCCAGGGGCTAAATGATATGGTTTAGCTGTGTCCCCACCCAAATGTCATCTTGAATTGTAGCACGAGATCTGATGATTTTATAAAGAAGAGTTTTCCCGCACAAGTTATCTTCTCTTGTCTGCCGCCATGTAAAATGTGACTTTCACCTACCACCATGATTGTGAGGCCTCCCCAACCATGCATAACTGTGAGTCCATTGCACCCCTTTCTTTTGTACATTGCCCAGTCTCAGGTATGTCTTTATCAGCAGCATGAGAACAGACTAATACACACAGTTTACTTAGTTTATGTTGGGCAGTTTACTTCCTTGAGGAATTCCTTTTCCTGTTATAGCAAAATATTTACCTGAGTCCCCAACCCCAACTAAGACAGAGTGACTTCTCAGTGTCCACTAAAATTTCCAGTACACTTAGCCCTTACAGTAGTTTTTGAGAGCAAAACTCTATTTCTATCTCTAGCCCTAAAACGTTCATTATATGCCAACACAAAAGAAATATATTCAAGTTTTCACTATCCTGGATATGATTCAACAACAAATTAATCAAGTATTCAATCATTTTTCTTTCAATAGTCACTTATTGAGTACCTACCATGTATCAGACACTGTATTAACCAATGGGGATTCTAGAGTAAGCAAATAAATAAGGCCTTTCCCAAATGGCCCCATCCAGAAGAAATCCAGTGGATAGAAATGAATTTACACTCAATAAGATCAGATAGGACTAACAGTACTAGCTATTTGAAAACACAATGATAGGGTAATAAGTGTTTGGATATCTACTTTCTGTACCAAAGATTCTTAAGCTTCTGAATGCATAAGAATTACAAGAGAAATTGTTTGAAATGCAAATAAAATTTTTTGAAATGCATATTCTTTGGACTCACTTTCAGAAATTTTTATTCTTTGTTTGGGGTGGGCCAATAATATTTATATTTACAAGCACTCGAAGTGATTCTGATGCAGTTGCCTACAGTTTAGGAAAATAAACTACCCCCATAGACTCTGTCAAGCAAAAGGCTATTTAATTCTCAGTGTCTTTCACCAGGATTTTTTTTTTTTTTTGAGATAGGGTCTTGCTCTGTCACTCAGGCTAAAGTGCAGTGGTGACAACATGGCTCACTGCAGCCTTGACCTCCTGGGCTAAAGCGATTATCCTGCTTCAGCATCCTGAGACACACGTAGCTGAGACTACAGACGTGCATCACCAAGCCCAGCTAGTTTTTATATTTTTTGTAGAGACTAGGTTTCACCATGTTGCCTAAGCTGGTCTCAAAGTCCTGGGCTCATGCCATCTGCCTGCCTTGACCTCCCAAAGTGCTGGGACTACAGGTGTGAGCCACCACGCCCGGCTTACAATTTTGAACTTTAGTTTTCTGCTGGGAGTGGAAAATGGGTATAGAGAGCTACAAAGAGCTTCACTTTTAATTTTATGACAAAGCAATGCCCGAAAAACAGCAAGTTCACAACTTTTCTTTAATCCATCAAGTGCTAAAGTTGCAGGGCAACAAACTGACTTGAAGACAAAATAGAGATGAGAACTGCAGAGACAGACAGAGCAATGATTCCCTGGAGCAAGATGCAGTCCCAAATCACTAAGAGTTTATCTAAGGTGACTGGCAAAGTATAGGTGAAGACTTCCCAAGTGAAAACCCCTGGTGACTCAAATCTAGAAGTGCACACCCTCTTGCAGGCTTCTTCTCCACTTTCCCACTGGAGATTTGCTGAAAAGATTAGGAGAGTCCTGAGAAAGTTGCCCTCGTGGTCCAGAAATGAGGAAGGGCTGCAGCCACTGAAGGAGAGGCAAAAAACTTCCTGGGGACCTTTCTCTCCATAAGTCCTAAGGAACAAAAGCCCTAATCTGCATGGAGTAGGGGTGGGGAAGGGCAAGAAATGCTGTTGCCTTAGGGCAGTAGTGAAAACTCAATGCACCTAGAAGAATGAAACAAGAAAAAAATAACTTTCTACCACTAGGGTAGGGGGCAAAATGCATACTGAATTTAGAATTATAGTCTTATGAGAGGCAGTAACATAGAGAAAGCCACACTGTTCAAATCTAGGAAAGGGCTACTAGCACAAGACTGAAGTTTAATCAGAACAGAGAACATCTCCCAGCCTCCACTGTGAGGCTAAGAAGGGTGGAGTAACTTGTAATTTGCAAGAGAGATTCTTTCTGAGGCGCAGCACAAAGGAAAGACCAAAGGTTCTAAGGGGATTGCTTACAGGACCCACCATGGATATGAAAATTCAGATGCTCAAGTCCCTTATATAAAATGGCCTAGTATTTGCATATAGCCTAAACATACCCTTCTATATAATTTAAATTATCTCTAGATTTCTTATAATACCTAATACAATGTAAATTCTATGTAAATAGTTGTTATACTGTATTTTTCAAATTTATATTCTTTTTTATTTTTTTTAATATTTTTTATCTGCACTTGATTGAATCCAGATGTGGAACCTGTGGATAGAGAGGGCTGACTGTATATTGATAAAATCCCTCTGAAAAATCAGCTCCCATCCTAAACACAAGTTATCACCAAATGCATTTAAAGCCTGTGTTATACCGAGAGTAACCATAGCAACAACAAACTTCAGTCCCAGCCCAATACCTAATTAGATTAACTGGAACCCCTGAATTAGAAGCCTACCGAAATGAAAGGCATGCACATTTCCAGGCGTAAATATTACTTACTTCAGTTTCTACTGTCCTCTACAAGATGTTTGGCTTAAAGAAAAACACTAAGCTTAAGAAATGGCAAGAAAAGCAATACACTCCCAAGAGACATGAAAGCATCACAACCAGACACAGACATGACACACGTATTGTAACTGACAAAAAGTTTAAAATAGCTATGATTGATGTATTGAAAGCAAAAATTTGGAAAACTAGTAAGACCAGATAGGTCATTTCAGCAGGAGATGGAAACTCAGAATCAAAAGGAAATGCTAGAAATAAAAAACACTGTTACAGAAATGAGGAATGTCTTCAATGGACTTATCTGTAGACTTGACAATGGCCTAGAAATGAAACACTGAGCTTGAAGATGGTCTATAGAAAAAAAAAGAGTGAAAACAGAACAAATTCTGACATGAGGAGATGATCCTGGATTATCTGGATAGGCTCTGTATGCAATCAAAAGATCCTTATAAGTAAAAAAGGAAGATGGGAGGGTCAGAGTCACATAGAGATTTGAAGACGCTACACTACTGGTTTTGAAAATGGAGGGAGGGGCCGTGAGCCAAGGAATGTCGATGGTCTCTAAAAGCTGGAAAAGGCAAGGAAAAGGATTCTCTCCTAGAGATTCCAGGAGTCCTGTTGGCATCCTGATTTTAGCTCAATATAAACCCAGTACTCTCTGCTATACTAACACTATTGGCTTGGAAAGAGCATCTCAGAATTAACTGCAATTTGGTGTTCACTCACATCCTAAAATAAATCCTGTCCATATTTCAACCACTGTTCAAAGACCCATTTAAGGCTCACATCCTCTAAAAAGCCTTCTGCAGTCTTTTTCAGTATTTTACTGTGTAGTTGATATGGTAGGCAGAATAATGCTCTCATCCTAAAGCCCAAAAAATGTGAATATTTTAGGTTACATGGCAAAGGGGAATTAACATTGTAGAGAGAATCATGGCTGATAATCAGCTGACATTAGAATAGGGAGTTTAGCCTGGATTATTTGAGTGGGTCCAAAGTAATTACAAGAGTCCTAAAAGTGGAAGATGAGGTCAGTGGAAGATGTGACTATGGAAGAAATGCATAGAGAGATGGCTTGGAAGATGGAGGATAGTGTCCATGAGCCAAGGAGTGTGGACAACCTCCGGAACCTAGAAAAGGCAAAAAAAAAAAAAAAAAAAAAAAAAGTCCTCTGGAGCCAGAAAGGGAAGCAGCCAACACCTTTATTTTAGCCCAGTGAGACCTGTGTTGGAATGCTAACCTACAGAACTATAAGATAATAATTTTTGCTGTTTTAAGCCACTAAATTTGTGGTGATTTGTTATGGCAGCAATAGCAAACTAATGCATCTTCTGTAATCTTTTTCTAACCTATTGGTTTCTCTTTCATCAGTTATAACTCCTAAAATTGGAATAATTAAGCAGTCTTTAAAGTAATGAATGCAATGATAAAGTATTTTTTTTCAGTATGCCTAAAAATGTAGTCTTCACCCTCACCCTAAATTTAGAGCCTGTTTTATATGTCTCCTACTTAATGTATCTATAGTTTTATTTTTTTAAATAATTCAAAATAATGGTCAATATTATATTCAATAATTCAGAGTTTTCACCATTAAAATTAACTTCTTCCTTTTTTATGGATGCATTTACCAAAAATTTGGAAATAATCTTCACTTCTGCACCTATTTAGTCATCATCTGATCTGGCAAACATTTGTTTGTTTAATCCCATATTTTGAAGTGAATTAAAATTAACAAGGTAATGTTTAACCATATCAATTCTTATGATTTAGCAAATATTTATGCCACAATCAGCAGCAGTAGTACCAATATCATGAAGATTAATCAGGAATTGATATGTCAGTTTCGTTGTACTTCCATTCGGAGGCAACAGCCTCATTGGCTGCTGTCTTTTCCTGGCAGTAAAATAGCTGGACTTTGACCTTTACAGTTGAAAAAAGAAGAAATTGCCCTCCCTGTGTGATACTAGAAAAATTGGAATTAGAATAAATTTCCCTGTGAGGTTATATATATGTAACAATTTTGCAGGCAGAGACAAGTGACCCAATACTCAACTAATTAGGCATGTAAAAGGCCAGTCCTGCTGGGTCTAAAGAAGTGAGTGAAAGAGTAGAGGGTCCTAAGGAGTGCTGGAACCATTTTAAGTCTGTGTTATCAACAGCAACAATGAAAATTGGCTAGTAAGAAATATATGTCCTCCTGTCTTGAATGCAATTATAATCTCATAGTATATTACAGTAATGTTGTTAGCCTCCATATTGTATTTGAACAACCAAAGAAAAGACATAAAGGTTGACCTTTGTCTTTCTCACCTATAACAGCTAGAGTCAATAAGCTTTATCCAAATAATCTCCTGATTTCTTTACAAAATGACAAGTAAATTACTATTGATCCAATAATGCAGTACATTAATTCAATAATTTGTGAAATACCCACGCTCTGCCTAGCAAGTGATGAGAGTCAATTATAATAACAATAAGTTTTCTTACCAGCAGGGGAGTAGTAATGAGTGGGGTAGAGAATCAGAGTTTGCAGTGAGAAAATATTTATTCATTGAATTCAATTTTATTTTAAGGGCATAATGACTCTCAAGATCTATTATTGAGATGTAGGGAGGTTACCAGTGGTTCTTAAATCCGGAGAGTTATTAAATTTCAGAGTGTTTGAAAATATGTGGGGTATTTCTCCATAATCATTGGGAATTATTATTGGCATTTAATGCCCTGGGGCCACAAACACTAAATGTTCTGTAATGCACATACTATGGCAAAAGTGCTCTCTTGAAAAACATTTTGCCAGACCAATGGAAGTGTATTAGTCGTTTTCATGCTGCGGATAAAGACACACCCAAGACTGGGCAATTTACAAAGGAAAGAGGTTTGATGGAGTACTCACAGTTCCACTTGGCTTGGGAGGCTTCACAATCATGGCAAAAGGTGATAGGCTCGTCTCACATGGTGGCAGACAGGAGAAGAGAACTTCTATGGGGAAACTCCCCTTTAAAGAACCATCAGATCTCGTGAGACTTATTCACTATCATGAGAATAGAATGGGAAAGACCTGCCCCCATGATTCAATTATCTCCCACTGGGTCCCTCCCACAACATGGGGGAATTATGGGAGCTAAAATTCAAGATGGTATTTGGGTGGGGACACAACCAAACCATATCACTGTGTTTATTGGGAATTTCAGAAGATTCAGGCAGATTGTTTTTTATCACCAATTAAACTGAATTCATTACAATAAACAATAATTTTCTACAAACTCACCTTAATCAATAGTTAGAACAGACCTACCTAACACAAGAACTGTGTGATCATAGCAATACACAGAAAGTTCTAATTGTGCCTCATTCTTTCATTCACTGAGAAAAATCCAGGATAAGAAAGGAAGGAATAGAAGTGTAAACAATGAAGTCAGTAGTCTTGAATATTTCTTGGGGCATGAACTGTAAAAATGTAACCTATTATGTGTAGACCTCCCCATTTACACATATAACTACAGTTTGTATATAGGTTCATATTAAGAAGTTTCTAAGAGCATGTTAGTGGGTACAGATGGTCCCCAACTTATGACTTATGATATTTCCACTTGTGATTTTTTTGATTTTATGATAGTGTAAAAGTGATATGTATTTACTAGAAACCATAGTATGAATAGTCATGCAAACATTTTATTTTTCTCTGTACAGCATTCAGTAATTACATGAGGTATTCAACACTTTACTGTAATATAGGCTTTGTTTTAGATGATTGCACCCAACTATAGACTAATGTAAGTGTTCCTGAGCATGCTTAAGGTAGGTGAGGCTGAAGTATGATGTTCGCTATGTTAGGTGTATTAAAGGAATTTTTGACTTAGGATATTTTAAATTTACTATTGGTTTATCAGGACATAACCCCCTAATGAGTCAAGGAGCACCTGTGTTTGCATGTGCATGTGGAGAGGAATCTCTTAGTTTGGTCTCGTCTGAATGTCATCAATGATACCCTCAAAAAGGATTTATACAACAACAAATCACCAAAAAAGGGTATAGTCTGATAAGTGAAAATGGTTTGTGTCATTTCCTTTCCCCTATAAACTGGGCAGATAAAGTTAACTTATATTTATATTTTGGCACAATTTAGCTAAACACCTTAGCATATTTTTGTCCTTGGTTTAGTTCCACAAAAAAACAGCTATTGATCCTTTGCTCTCCTTATAGACTTGTATAGGTCATTCAGTATGAGGCACACCTATGGAAATTAGCGCTTCCTCTTCTATCAGGCTATTGCTTAAATTGCATCACTAGTAGCTAGAACTTTCTGTAAACTTTTTAAGGGAATGTTTACAGTCTTTGTACACAAATCGTTATTAAATGCAGTGATGCTGTGTGTGGAAAACAAACATTACTCTAACTTGAAGAGAGTTGGCTTTTGTTTGAAACACAACTCTTTAGCTTAAATTTAACAAACACTTTTTGAGAGCCAATTATGATTCAGACATTCACATCAGCATTATCTCATTTAATCTTCTTTAGTCTCATTTAGTCTTAATCACTATGTTTGGTAGGCAATATTTATTCTCATTTTTACAGATGAAGAAACAGAAATCCAGAGCATTAAGACAACCTTCCCAAGGACTGTTTGATTCCAGTACTCATATATTTTTTTCATTATGCCATGTTTCATCTCACAAGATAAAAGTACTTATTGGTTTGTTTTCTTCTCTAGGTGTAATGTAAACCATAGAAAAAGTGATGCATAGATGTGAAGCCAGTGTGCTAAAACCCTTTCTGCTAGCCCTGAGACTTTCTGACATATCCGGTATTATGTTGTGATGGTAAGTAGTATACTCAGAGAGTGCAATTAGTTGATTTAGGTATCAACCCTGGAAGAAGATTAACATTTTATTAATTAAGATCAGTATGGGGCTTTTTACACTACTGGAAGGTCAAGTAAGAGCAAAGCTTCTACAATATCCCTCTCAGAAGAGTCATCAGTGTGGCCTAGTGGCCCAATCTCTGAAGATGAACAAGCAGAATTATTGGGATGTGCAGTAGTGTTACGTACCAGGCTGGCTGATGTACCCAAGACAAGATACAGAGAAAATAGTACCAGAAGTACAGATGGAATTATAATGACCTGCTAAAATTCCTAGCTGTAGCATTCTTCTAATCCCTGTAGCTCAGTTAACTGATCTCCATCATAGTTGAACCTTATATTCTGACTTATCACAAAGCCTATAAAGAGCCTTGCAATTTGTCTTTGTAAGGAAACTCCTTACCCTTTCTAACAAAATTAATCCCAAACCCAAGATTCTACAATGTTGAAGATTTCTTTACGACATCATTTCTCCAACTCCATTCATATCAAACATGCTGGGTTGCTTATATTCACAGACATTTCTTTCCACTTCCTGCCTGGCCTTTCTGCATTTTAACTCTGCTTGAACCATGAATAAATATATTTTATTAGTACTTTTCTTCTATTAACTAATTTTGAATGATAGTTCCACTATGACTCTACTCTTTCCATTTTGGTCCTGTACACTAATTCAGAAAGACTCCTGACTATATCCTAATTTTTACAGTTCCCAGCATTATATTAAACTCTGTAGATCTACCTGGATTTCTGGTTCCAGTAGGCTCTCAGTCCAGTCCCATTTGTGATAGAAAGAGTAATAATTTAGCTCACAGAATTTTGCTTATAGCTTCTGTCTGTATGACATTTAGAATGAGGTGTTTAGCTTTCACTAAATCTAATCCATTCTTTTCTGGGAAGGTGATGTTTTGAAATTTCTCCCAACAAGAGCAAATGGAAATAAATATTCACAGATTCTTTACTTTTTAATCACATTTTTATCTAGCATTTTCAGATCTTTCACTTTAAATTAGACTGTTGATTAGCAACAACCCTTCAAAATTACCTGGCCTGACAAACACATGACCAAAAGATGAAAATTATTTTATGTACATAAATTTCTTGTAAGAGTTTTCTTTACTGACTTCTTGTCTCCAACTACCCAACTAGTAATGTTTCTTTTCTTCTGGTGAAAATGTGTTCAAGTCCTCAAAGCTACCTTTATCATTTGATATTATTGTTTTCTTTGGTATTGACAGAAGAAAAGAAAACAGCTTCAAGGTATGCTCTCGGCCACTATCATTATTGCTAATTAGTTTGTTCCCCTTAGACTGATATTACTTCTAGCACTTTCTGCTGATTACAAAGAGGTTAGAATATTCACTGCATAATAATATCAAATTTGAGTATGAAGCATATCCGTTTTCCCATGTTTAGATATTCTGTAACCTTCATATATTAGTAATACATATTACAAAACAAGTATTTTAAATTTAAATTATGGAATTGATTATGATCCAAGCAATGTGAATGCATTCTTAGAAATAATAAAAAGTTGTATATATTAGAATATCATAAATAATTGAAAGAATGGAAATAAGGAGCAGAATAGCAAAGATGATTCTCTCTCTCTATAAAGTCCTCATTAGACTCTGCCAAGCTCTGTTCATGTCTACTTACACCATTCCTTAGGAAAGACACTTATGCTTAACTTAGTATCTATCTATTGTCCTCAAATAGTTCAAAAGTATATATAATAATGATAGCTTAAGGGAATTGAGGTTATTCTGATTTGAAAAAAAATGTCTTGGTGGTGACCTAATTACATTTTGCAGAATTATGTCAGGATTTGAAAGTTTTGACTACGAGAGCAGTTATCTTTGTTAGTTTTCAAGAGCTAGGAGAGTCTTAAATGTCTTCAAATCATTAGCCTTAGATACTAACATCTGGTTAATGGAAACTTCCCAACTTGTAGCCCACTTGAATCTCTTGTAGACATTGGAAACTAAATCTGTGGGAAAAATGGACTTACAGAATTTGAATATCAAATATTCAAAGAATTTGTCTTGCTTTTTGATTCTCTGTGCATATCACTGTGGCATACATTACCATGCTGAAGATAATTCATTGGTACTTATTCTTAAAGATCTTGAAAGTCACAGATTTCAGAGCATTGTATAGACATCCTTATTCCCCATTCAGAGGCATTTCAGTAACTGGCTATAAGCATTTCAGTGTGGCAGTTTTAAGAGTATGTATATTGATGTCAGACTATCTGCATTCCAGGCTTAATTTTACCCATTACTACCTGTGTGACCTGGGCCAAGTTACTTTCCTGAAAATGAGGTTAATAAAAATATTTACCTCAAGGGTTGTGATGATTCAGTGCGAATCATCCATGAAAAGGAACAAACACATTGTCTGGCAGAGATTGAATGTTGTTTTGTTTTGTTACCTATTATTATTAGGAGGACAGTGAAGGGGCAAGTATGGAGGTACTCCTCTGAATTTTAAAGTGGATAAAAATGTCCGTGGAGAAGAGCTAAAAACTGACTAGAAAATCATATGCCTGTAAGATCTACCTTGTTGCATACTAGTTAGGGTGCAGGATGTATTTCTAACATCATTACTCAAAGGAAGGAAATTTTGTAACTGACTAAAATACATTCCAAGTCTACCAAGTATGGTCAAGGAATATTTTGTGTGTGTGTGTGTGTGTGTGTATATATACACACACACACACACACACATATATATATATAGTGAGTGTGTGTATATATATACACACACACACAATAATATATATAGTTTGGCTGTGTCCCCACCCAAATCTCATCTTTAATTGTAACTCTCACAATTCCCACGTGTCATGGGAGAAACCCAGTGGGAGGTGATTGAATTATGGGGGTGGATCTTACCTGTGCTATTCTCGTGATAGTGAATGAGTCTCACAAGACTTGATGGTTTTAAAAATGGGAGTTTCCTTGCTCAAGCTCTCTCTTTGCACCATCCATGTAAGATATGACTTGCTCTTCCTTGCCTTCTGCCATGATTGTGAGGCCTCCCCAGCTATGTGGAACTGTAAGTCCATTAAACCTCTTTTTCTTCCCTGTCTTGGGTATGTCTTTATCAGCAGCATGAAAATGGACTAATACTTATACATAATCTCAAGAGAAGCATATTCACATACTTCACATAAACCAGAATTATTGATTTGACTGTAAAGTTTTATTGAAGAAATATTTATCAGTAGTATCTTATCTAGTTTCATATTCTACTTCCTCCCTCTCTTATTCACAGATTGAACAGAATAAAGAGTTGCTAAACCAGAATCCTAAATGTAATGATTATGAGCATACCCAGGGGGGCTTTGCGAGAGAGCCAAAGATTAAAAAAAACCCTTTTTTGGACCCTTATTCAGATGAAAAATGAACAGTAGTTGAGCTATTGAAAGAACTGATTATTTGTTCAAAATGGGAAAAGAGAAAGAAGAAAGAAAGAAAGAAAAAGAAAGAAAGAGAAGGAAAGAGAGAAAGAGAGACAGGGAGGGAGAAGGGAAGGAAGGAAGGAAGGAGGGAGGGAGGGAAGGAAGGAAGGAAAGAAAGACAGAAAGAAGGAAAGAAAGAAAGAGAAAAAAGAAAGAAGAAAGGAAGGAAGGAAAGAAAAAAAAAGAAAAGAAGGAAAATTTCTGGTCCTCACATACAGATGAGAGGAAAAAAATGAAATGCTCATCAGAAGCTTCCTGGGAGATTTTTTCTTTCTGCCCACTCATAAAAGGAAGAAAGAAATAAAGAAAACAGCTGTGTGACTAATAAAGTAAATGGGAATATTCAGCTTGGATCACTGTTTTCAAAATGTAGCTGTGGCTATCCCTGTGAGTATCATGTAATGTTCTGATTTTCAGGTTTACAATGGTGAGGAGAACACATTTATTTAGCATTATGAAGTGAAATGCTAGAATAATGGTCATGAACATTAGAAATGCAAAAGACCAATTGCTATCTCCATCAATCCTGGAGAATCTGTGAAGGATTGCCCCCTTCTATATATTCCCTAGTGCTTTGTCCAGGCCAATTTTAAATAGCTTCAGCAATAAATTTCTGCCATTTCTTCTGGGAAACTATTTCACTACCTAATTAAATCTCTGAGATGACAACTTTTCCTGACATTCAAACTAATTTTTCCTATGTTCAATTGCAACCTGCAACTTCTATTTCTACAGCACATGCTTGTATCAGCCCAAGTAACTTCCCTGCTTCCTCAGTGCTTACAATTTTTAATACTTCCCCAAAATTTTGGTAGCCAGTTGCAGGGAATTTCTTTGTCAAAAATGTTCATTTCAAGATCAATGACTATACATATTTTATTATAGACAAAAAATGCAAGTTATTTCTAAAAGCAAACAGATGAGTTAGTGAGCAGAAAAAACATGATTTTAACCAGACCTAAAGCCATTAAGGAAATTGAATCTCAGAACAAAAACAAATTGTAGACCTTTTTCGCTCCTTCAGGCCTGGAAGGTCACTAATAAAGCACTCCACTTTTCACAAGGCAAACAATCTCCTTTTGCCCTTTTCTGTTATTACTCAGTATACATACATGTACTATTGTCTTTTTAACAACTGGGAGAGGCAGGAGGAGCAACCTAGACATAAATCAGGGATGTAGGGTTGCCCAGCTTCTTCTATGTCTCACCTACATGAGCTCCTTCCACCTCCCAAGATTCTACAAGAACCTAGCAAACACAACCTACAGAATTTTTTTTAGGTTTTAAAAAATTCCATTATTAGGCAGAAAATGTGCCTTTACGTTGTCAATGCTAGAATAGAGAGATGGAAATTTAGCATTTCAAACATTGTTTATAAATGTGGAAAAGATGTATTGATGTTGTTGTTTAGTTTTGATTTATTTTCAAAATAAACCAGTTGCGATATGATTCATGCACAAGTTAGATTTTAGGGATGAGTCATAGATTATGCAGTCCTTAAGTGGAATATTTTGGGTAATTTTTAAGCAAATAGGATAATTTCAGAGAAAATATATGCAAACTTTAGAGTGTTTGGCAGAAAGTGGGCAGATAGATTTCTTACCATTATGGAAAATTGCCTGGTAGGCAAGACTCATATTAAAGTGAGACTATATAAAACTTCAAAGTGGTAATATTTGTTAAACTCTCAAAGTATAACAGAGTAGTCATGAAAGTGATTCTAAATATTAATCTGGCTAAACAAACACCCCACCAATATTTGGCTGATGTTTCTAAGACTTGCCAGTGTTATCGTTTTGTTATTCCCTTGTTAGAAAGCTTAAGTTGTTTGAAAACGGACAACATAATAGTTATTATCAATAATATTTCAGAAAACTATTTAAATCCAAATAACAGTTACCTTAAGCAATGTTGATTTTTATTTATTGTGTTGCAAATATATGGCTCATAAAACAGTTAATTGCATGTTCTACATAGAAAATCACAGTTCTTACCCTCTAAAACTTTAACATTCCACTGCAGATACAGCAGTTCGAAACTAAAGCGGTAAATAAGAAAAATGATAGTTAATCTAAGCTATATATATATAAAGACCCCAACTCAACATTGCATGATTTTCACTGGATATTTCCAATTTTCAACAATATAAAAAAATGAGAAAATTTAAAACTCAAGAAAAAAATCAAGTAAAGAAATGGGGAAATAATGATAAGGTAGGGTGATGAAAGTGGAAAAAAGAATACTGAATATACAAAGAGAAAAAAATACAAACATTTTAGCTGACACATAAGAGCACAGAAGATAGTGATAGCAATAGTATCCAGGTTATTATAGAGCTACAAGGTAGTGAGGGAAAACAGATCAGAAAATACTTTTACTGATAAGAGAAGCTCGAAATAGGTTAGAAGTTAAATCTCAAAGGTTTTTAATCACTCAGATATTGTTTGCGATATCAGTGATATAAAAGCACATTTTACAAACTGAAGAGAGGCTTTCTCTTTTTTTTTTTTTTTTTTTTTGAGACAGAGTTTCACTATTTTTGCCCAGGCTGGAGTGCAATGGTGTGACCTTGGCTCACTGCAACCTCCGCCTCCTGGGTTCAAGCGATTCTCCTGCCTCAGCCTCCCAGGTAGCTGCGATTACAGGCACCTACCACCATGCCCGGCTAATTTTTTTTTGTATTTTTAGTAGAGACGGGGTTTCACCATGTTGGCCAGGGTGGTCTCGATCTCTCGACCTCATGATCCACCAGCCTCGGCCTCCCAAAGTGCTGGGATTACAGGCGTGAGCCACCGCGCCGGGCCGAGGCTTTCTCTCTTGAATTATGTGAGATAGAAACTCTTCCAAGATATTTGGAGGGAGAAGGAAGCAGTTGTGTTTAAAATGTTGAAATTTTCTTCATCTAATATGAAGAGATATATGAGCATAAAAGAAGCAGTGCAGCATCCTGTGATTTTAGGGAAGGTGACTTTGAGGAGATACTGGGCTGTCCATAGGACTTTTGAGTGTACTGCATAAAGGTTTTTGTTACGCTATGCAGGGAAACTTGAAATATTCAAGTAACATAAAAAATTCAATGCAACACAGCTTAATTAAGTCTAAAGATGGAAAAGGACAGAACAGGCCAATATGATTAAGGAGGAATGCAAAGAGTTGTATAAGCAATACACAGATGGTTTTTAAAAATACGTCTGCTAGGAAAATGGGAAGATCTATAAAAAGCAAAAGAAGTTAAGATAGACAAAAAAAGGAATACATGTATATATATATATACACACACATTATTGAACATTAAGCTGCTGAGAATATTTAAATATAAAACATTTTAAAAGTGTACTTGAAGGTAAATATTTGTACGAAAAACAAAAACAAGAAAGAAGACAGGATTAAGTAGATATGAACAATTTTCCACAGAGAAGACAATTTACTTTTTTAAACATTTTATATATATATATATATAGTTTTGTTTTGTTTGTTTGTTTTTTGAAACGGAGTCTCGCTCTGTCACCCAGGCTGGAGTGCAGCAAACATTTATTTTTTAACTGGAGAGAATACATTACAAATTCTCTCTTTTATTACATTTTAATCCCTATAGTATCAGAATATAAGTATAATATACATTTATACCATAAGAACAAGCAAGGAATCCTCTTCAATGATAAAATCTTTATCGTACTTACATGCTTATGGGGAAATTTTTGTCTGTACCCAGAGTTAGTTGAGGGTGCAAAGATAGTGTATAAAAATAGTTATAGCTATGATTCATTAATTTTAAAGATAAAAGTTCTAATTGTAGGAAAAATTAGCCATTTGCAGGTGCAAATTGTTGAAGGTAAAATTTTTGTAATTTTTGTGCTGCTTCCATATTCATGAAATACTGTATTGGCTTTTCCTCTTGTCCTTTCCTTTGTTACTCAGGCATACCTTGTTTTATTGTGCTTTACTTTATCAAACTTCGTATATATTGAGTGTTATACAAATTAATGATTTGTGGTAATCTTGCATCAAGCAAGTCTATCGGCACCAATTTTTCCAACGGCACTTGCTCACTTCTTTCTCTGTATCATATTTTGATAATTCTCACATTTCAAACTTTGTCATTACATCTATTATGGTGATCTGTGATCAGTGATGATTGATATTACTATTGTAATTGTTTTGAAGTGCCACAAGACACTTAGATAAATATTGTGTGTGTTCTGACTGTTTCACAGACTTACTGGCCGTTTCCCTGTGTTTCTTCCTATGCTTGGGCTTCCCTATTCCCTGAGACATAAAAATATTGAAATGAGGCCAATCAATACCAATCCAATGGCTTCCAAGTGTTAAGTGAAAAGAAAAGTGGTATATCTCTCAATTTAAATCAAAACCTGGGAATAATTAAACTTAGTGAGGAGGGCATGTCAAAAGTCTAGACTTGTAGCAAAACCATAAGCCAAGTTGGGAATGCAAACAAAAAGTTCTTGAAGGAGATTAAAAGTGCTACTCCAGGGAACAAAGGAATGATAAGAAAACAAACAGACAGAAAAAAAAAAAAAACAACTTAGTACTGACATGGAGGAAGTTTGAGTGATCAGGATAGAGGATCAAACCAGTCACAGTATTCCTTTAAGCCAATGCGTAATCTAGAGCAAGGCTCTAACTCTGTTCATTTCTGTGAAAGCTGAGAAAGTGAGGAGAAGAAAAGCTGGAAGATAGCAGAAAGAAGTCATCTCCATATTACAAAAGCACAAGGAGAAGAAACAAGTGCTGCTGTAGAAGCTGCAAGAAGTTATCGAGAAAATCTAAGATAAATGATGAAGATGGCTGCAGTAAACAACAATTTTTCAATGTGGACAATATGACCTTATATTGGACTATACAGGACTTTCATATATAGAGAAAAGCAGTCAATGCCTAGCTTCAAAGTTTCAAAGGACAAGCTGACTCTTTTCTTAGAGGCTAGTGCAGCTGGTGACTTTAAGTTAAAGCCAATGCTTATTGACCATTCTGAAAATCCTAGGGCACTTAAGAATTATGCTAAGTTTACTCTGCTTGTACCCTATAAATGGAATAATAAAGCCTGGATGATAGTACATCTGTTTATAGCATGGTTTACTGAATACTTTAAACCTACTGTTGAGACCTACTGCTAAGGAAAATAGATTCATTTCAAAATATTATTGCTTACTGACAATGCACTTGGTCACTCAAGGTCTCTGATGGAGATGCACAAGGAAATTAATGATATTTTCTTGCTTGATAACACACCTATTCTGTAGTCCATGGATCAAGGAGTAATTTGAATTTTTTTTCAAATTAAGAAATACATTTTATAAAACTATAGCTGCCATAGATTGTGATTCTCCTGATGAGTCTGTGCAAAGTATTTGGAAAACCTCCTGGAAAGGATTCACCCTTCTAGATATAATAAAGAATGTAATTTATAGGAGGACGTCAAAATATCAACAGTAACAGGAGTTTGGGAGAACTTGCTTCCTCTCTTGGATGACTTTGAGAAGTTCAAGACTTCTGTGGAGAAAGTCACTGGAGGTGCGGTGCAAATAGCAAGAAAACTAGAATTAGAAGCAGAACCTTCAAATATAACTGAATTGCTACAATCCTAAGCTAAAACTTGAATGGGTAAGGAGTTGCTTCTTATAGATGAACAAAGAAAGTGATTTCTTGAGATAGAATCTACTCCTGGTGAAGATACTGTGAACACTGTTGAAACAACAACAAAGGATTTTGAATGTGAAATAAACTTAGTGGTAAAGGAGTGATAGATTTGAGTGGATTGACTCCAGTTTTGAAAGAAGTTCTACTGTGGGTAAAGCATTATCAGACAGCATTGCATGCTACAGAAAAAGGAAGTGACAATCAATGCAGCAAACATCATTGTTTTCTTGTTTTAAAAAATTGCCATAGCTACCTCAACCTTCAACAACCACCACCCTGATTAGTAAGTAGCCTTTAATATCGAGGCAAGACCCTCCATCAGCAATAAGATTACTACTTGCTGAAGGCTCAGATGATCATTAGCATGTTTAGCAATAAAGTATTTTTAATTAAAGTATGCATATTGCTTTTAGACATGATACTATTACACATATATATACTAAACTATTGATTCAATATTACCTTTATATGCATGGTAAAATATATTTGTGTGACCTCTTTATTGTGATATTTGGTTTATTGTGGTGGTCTGAATCCCAACCCACAATATTTCTGAGGTATGCCTGTACAGGTAAACTGCTATTCAAATGAAAACCCTAGAAATTCACTTTGAATATAATGATATAGGTAGCTTAAAAGTAAAAGGATGGCAAAAGATATGTAAACCATAGTTATGACAAACCAAGGTGACCAAATTAATATTAGATAAATTAAACTTAAGAACAAATACAATAAAATGACATAAGTGAAGAGGGATATTACATATTGACAAAAAGGGTTAGTCTATCAAGAAGAAACATCTTAAATGTGTCTGTACCAAACAACAGAGCTTCAAAATACATAAAGGAGAAAAATATCAGAACTTGAAAGAGAAAGAGATACATCCACATTTATGGTTGGTGACTTCAACACTCCTCTTTCAATGATAAAACTAACAGAAAATTAGCAAAGACATACAAGAGCTAAATAACAAGGTCAACCAATGGATTCAATTATCTGTATAACAACCTTTACCCAAAAAGAGCCAAATACACATTCTTTTTAAGTACACATGGAATAATAACCAAGAAATATACTTTGGTTCATAAAGTAAACCTTAATAATTTTGAACAATTGAGGTAATACGAAGTACATCCTCTGACAAAAATGGAACTAAACATCACACTAATGACTAAAAGATAACAGAAAAAGATCTCAAAAGATGTGAAAATTAAACAGCATATTTTAATTAATCCATTTGTCAACAAGAAATGCTCTAGGGAAATTTGAAAGTATTTTAAACTGAATGAAAATGAAAACACAAAATGTAAAGATTTGTGGGACAGCTAAAGCAATGCTAAGAGATAAATTTATAGCACTAAACACTTAATTTCCTTTAAGAACTGTTCTTTTGCAATCGTATCTTGAATATGTCTCAGCAAAAAGAAAGAATAAACTATTGATACAGCAACTTGGATGAATATAAAGTCATTATTCTGAGAGAAAAAGGTAGTTTCAAAAGGTTGTATAGCATAGGATTCTACTGATATGACTATGAAAACACAAAACTACTATGATTGAAAACAAATCAGTAATTAAGGATGGGTGGAGAATATGATAATAAAGAGATAGAACTGGAAATTTTGGACACTGATGGAACTTTTCTTTGCCTGGATTATGGTGATAGTGGTTGCATGAATCTATACGTGTGTTAAAATTCATATAATGGTAGACAAAAATTAACTGTACTGTATGAAAATTTAAAAAGTAAAAGAACAGTAGAATGAGGTGGGGAGGGCTGGAGGAAACTCCTATAAGTGAAGGCTGGCTGTATGTCTGGCATAAAATTAGGTACTTTAATGCACACAAAAAATCTGAACTCAATGGAACAATTTGTTAATTGCATATTATCAGCTTTCTGGTTAATGTCCTTCAGTTTAAGATATAGTGGGAATTTAATGATCATAATCATGCAGTTTTTTATTTAAACCAATGTTTTCTTCTTCTAACATAATTGAGGGCAATGGTTTTCAAGGAGGCATCATTGTTTCTGATATAATATTACATTTTAAAAAGACATCTTAATAGAGTTTGATTTTTGTTTGGATTGATATTTAAAATGAGAAAGAAATTTTGAAGGGTGAAAACTTGGTATAATTTTGTACTCTTACAGCTTTAATATTTCATCATTTTAACTAAGGTATTTGAAATAATAGAAGTTGGTATTTCCAAAAAGCAAAGAAACACATATATATCATACATGGAATAATTAAGTTTTGTTTTCACAGAAATAAATATATCAGCTATTACATAACTTAAATTAATACCTTCATTTACAAAAAATGAGCTATGCTTCTTTTAGAAATATCTATCTAAGGCTTTTTATTTTTATTTGATTGGTCATTAATACTTTTCTACATACTGCATAGAATTCCATCAGTCTATTGGAGTATAATCTTCAGAAAATAAAAAAAAACTCTGATGAAAATGTAGAATGAACATATTAATTACTTATTTAGTTACTATGGAAACCTTTGAGATAATAAGGCTGGTTCAACAAGCGTATTGAAGAACAGGGGTTATATAATTCACCAGAAAAGGGAATCTGAAAGGTTTACTGAGTTAGAAACCAAACAGGTAAATGTCTACAGGGCAATAAAACATTACCTTTGTCATTATGTTTTCTACCAGACAGAAATTTGTAAGTGGACAGGTAACTTCATATAGTTTGGGTTCTAATTAAGTATTAAATTACAAAGTAAAACACAAGTACATTATCCTAAATAATAAATAGTAGAGCTATGTACTAGCACTGTAAATAGTTTCTGCTCCTTCTTACACTAAAACAAAAATACGTGAGCATCAAAATTGAAACTTGAAAGAAAAATAAATGCTAAACACAGATTTTCACATATCTTGCAAATAATTTCTTTCTTCTCCCCTTTCCTGACTCATGAACAAAATGAAATGTGAATATTATCAAAATGTAGACATCTAAAACCAGATCACTCTAGATGCTTGAATAATTTAAAAATATTTTCTCTTTCAAAACATTTCTTTTTATTCTTTGTCCATGTTGACTTCACACTTTCCTTAAACCTTTTTCAGCAATAATTTTCTGGGATTCATTTCGTTCTGTTTCCATCCACCTTTGAACTCCTATCTTTGATATTGCATATTAGGAGTATTTCTATATGTGATACTGTAACTCTCGCATTTACAAAATGTGGCAAAGTTTATGGCCTTTGGAAGAAAATAGGGCAATTAGACATATTCGGCTGTTCAACTGTGTGACCTTATCAGCCAGATTTTCTCTATTCTTTCCCTGTTTTACAAGTAAGTGTTCATTCAGTATCAGTACTATTACCACTGTTTTCAACTATTGAATTGACCTTTGGTTTTATAAACATCGGTATATCAACCATTAAAATGCAATGAAAATTTGTAACTGCAATTTATCATAAAATGTCCAGAGACAGTCTGCAGAGTAACACACTGTTAATCACAATCACAATCAGAGTCTTCCATGGCATTATGTCTGCTGATAGTTGGGAGGCACTCAAACTTTTTTAGCCCAAAGGTAAAACATTTCAGTTCTATCTTCTAGAACCAGAAAAAAAAAAAACTATAGTTATCACAAGAAGGAAGTGAAAAAATATGAGCTTCATACTGAGAAAACAATATAAATTTGTATTTATCACAGTAAAAGGTAAGGAACTGTATATTTCTAATTTGTTAATATGTATCTCCTATCATGTTCAGTTTTTTGGTGACTTTAACTTCAAATAGCCAAAGACTCAAATAGGTACTCACTACAAACACTAGCAATTTGATCCTATTAGAAAGAATTGGTTTTTCTCCATGTTTCATTTTTTATCTCTTTCAGCAGATCTCTTCATTCAATGCCAGAAGTAAATTTTTTCAATTGTTCACCTCTGTCATATTTGGCTTAGACAAATATGTATGAGAAGAACATGTTCATTAATTTACACTATAATACTCTTAATAATTTTCATTATGAGAAGCAATGTGAAGACCATATATATTTAATGTGTCCAGAATGTGGAGGAAATACCTGATTATAAGTAGTCAGCAAAACCTTAATTTAAAGCACATTAATGTCTAAGCATTAGTAAATCAACCATTAAGTGCATTACTAGTCTATAAGAATAGTTCGTGGTGTTGTCTTGACTCCTATTTGCAAATATTCTTCCAATTTCTGGAAATGACTGAGAAGATAAATGGTTCTTTGTCTCTTCATTGCTCCTATATATCTTCTTTACCATGCCTTCGCTTTCATCCCACTCATATACAACTGCAAAGATGACCTGAAAGCTACAATTAACTTATGAATATTTTAAAAATAATTACTATATACACTATGTGGTAGCCATTGAACTAGACCTTTCATTTATGGTCTCATTTGACATGCACAGTATATTTTTAAGATATCATTATTCTAACTTTTATAGACAAGTAAAAAAAATACAGCACAGAGCGGTTTAGTGCTTAAAGTTTCAAACTTGAATGTGTCAGTTTTCAAAATTAGAGAATTTTATAGTGTATCATGTTTATTTCTAGTTAATATGGGCCATTTTAAATTTTTTTGGTATTTGGCTTTGGAAATATCAAAAAGGGCTCCCACTGGAAACAGAAGTGTATAAAACAAAGCTTTATAAAAAATTAACACAATATCTCTTTATTCATTGAGCCACTATGGCTGTGTTATGTTCATCTCTGTTTAAAAATACATTTAGATAAATATTGAGAAATTAGCGTTCTAAGGAAGTTTCAATATGTATTTTACCTGAGGATAAGGAGGTAAATATAGTTTTTATGGAAATGCTTATTAGAGAATGTGAATGACAGGAAAATATGGAACGTGATAATGGATAGTATTTTGTTTTTAAAATATCTTTCATCAGAACATTTCTAATTACACACACACACACACACACACACACACACACACAAAGCAAAAAGACACCCTAGAAATTCCCATATGGTATACAGGAATTATGAATCTTTTTCTACTCATTTAGAAACTCTACTATAAAAAATTTAAGTAATCTGGCTGTGACTGATTGGAAATAAGTTTAAAATTTCACTGATTTCATGACCACTTTCCTGACCAAAAAGCAAAGAAAGGTCTTTCACGTCTATCCCTTTTCACTTCCAGTGTTGTTATCCCAGACTGGGCTCTGTAAAGACAGTCATAAAGGCCCTCTAACTGGTCTCTTCAAAATTCAATGAATCTTCCACATCAATAACAGATAAAACTTCTTAGAGTGTTATGATGATTGTGTTTCTCATGCTCACAGTCCTTGGCTGGACGATTCTTGCTGACCAAATGAAATCTTGTTTTCATAGTTTTTTGACCTTGAAGAGATCTTAGAGTTGATATCATGCATCCCTCTGATTTGCCAGGTAGAAAAACCGAAGAGGGAGGGGAACTATTTATGTAAGGAATTGATTTCTTAAAAACTTTTTCAGCATATTACATGGAATTTAATGGTGTCTCACCACTCAAAAATAAAATACACATCACTCATTCTTATATATTAAAAGCCCTTTGTAATATAAGTCAAACCCACTTTCCTAGTTTTACCTATCAATATTCCCCTGGATTACAACCATCTTTGCGTGCACATGGAATTATCTGGCATAAATGTCTTTGCTTACATATTTCCTACTTTATTCCCAGTCATTTACTGTAAGACTATTATCCACTCTTTCAAATTTCAGATTAAACGTTACCTTGATCATCTAAAGAAGACTATATTTTATTTATTCATGCTTATGGCAATTTTCAGCCTCTTAAAGCATAGACCCCATTATATCGTGTTCACATTCTATCCCTTCTGTCTAATTCTAAGTTTTTGAACACAGATTCTGATCCTTGAACACCTATGCCTTCTTTACAACACCTAACATAGCACATTGCATGTATTAGGTGCAAAATAAATATTTGTAGCATGAATAAATACATAAGTGGATTAATTACCAGAAATTTTCAGGGGTCCTTTTCACTTATTTTATGTGATGTCAAAACATCCAGATACTTAGGACATCTGTATGGTTGGCATCAAATAGTAAAACATATGCATGGTTAACAGAATTTCCTTACTTTTCGTCTGAATGCTTTGGCATTGGTAAAATAGCTCAACTCTCTCAAAACCATACTATTTCTTTGGTGTAGGTTATAGTATTTTTTTCTTTGATTGAATAAAGAGCTTCAATTAAGAAAACTGACTAAAACCTATTTTAAGGCACATCTATTCAATAAAAAACACAACAGAAGTCAATTTTTTTGCAAATTGCATCAGTCAGATCTAAGTAATGGATATAGTTGTGTGTGTGTGCACGTGCGAATATTCTCTTCCTATTGATTGAAACTTTTGGCACTCATTTCTATGAAGCCCTATGCACATTTTGTGATATTTTCTTTTATTGCAATGCTCAGATGGATCATGCATCAGCCATCAACAATCTGTTTATGAAAGAGGAAACACTCTGGGAATTGTCAGTAAGATCGTCTTCATATCAGTGCATACTAATGAACATTTGCTTTTCAATAAAACTGCTGGGCTCTGCAAAAGTAGATACTTGATAATATATTTATTTTTCATTTTAAAAAGAATTTGTATTTGCAGGAAATGGTAGAGGGACTAGATAATCATATTTTATACTACTCTGGGTAAATATTTAGAGAGAAAAAAGCACATAAAAATAAAAGAAAGAATGCACATCAAGAATATACCTTAATAATACATAAAATATTATGATATATTGGAAAAGTAAAATGTTAACAACTTTTCATGTTGCAGAACATAAAATTCTTTAGTAACTATATTTATTCAAAACCGAATTTTCCTTAAGACTACTTAAACTTACACATCGCTATACTTTGATTAAAGTGTTTCTAGCATTACAATTCTTTGAGAAAATTTATAAGATGTGCTTACAATGCTGAAAGTATAACAAGTATTTATCATTGATTTCTACTTTGGCTCATATTAATGAGGGAGATTTTAAACCAAAGCTACTGTGCTTGAAATCTCTATCATAAGGGGAAGTAAATAAGTGTGTGTGTGTGTGTGTGTGTGTGTGTACATCAAATTTGTTTGTTCATTCTTTCTCAAACCTCCTTTGTAAGTGCTGACTGTTGGTCCAAGTTGGAGTTAATCTACAACAAGCTCTGTGGAGCCATATAATTTGTGTTCGTTTTGACAAGTCAAATACTGACAGATTACATATAATTACATATAATGCAGAATGAAACAGTGATCAAGTTGTGCATCTAGTTCCCATCTTTGGTCACGTTGGAGATATATAGACATAAATATCTCATAGACTTTCTAACATGGTTGTTCCATAGTCTAAACCATAAAAATAAAATAATATAGTTCCCTCCAAAGTATAACTTTCTTGTTACTCTGCTTCGTAAGTCTTCACCAGTGATCAAAACCAGTATCAATACATTTCTCTTTTTTTTCCCAAGTAGAATTTAATTCGTATTTTTAATTTGTTTTTTCTGTTGCAGGTTTACAATAATGACTGATTTTTTAAAAATAAAACTTGATTGTTTTTAAATCACTGTTGTTGAGTGTGTGTCTGGTTTCTGGATCTTTGTAACACTCTTCTATTTATACCCAAGAGTGAAATTAATACTGCAGGCATGAAAGCTGTATTATGAAAGAAAATAATTTCTTGTTTACCTTTAAAATATCTTAACTTCTAACTTTTTAAATTTTTTAAAATTTTGAACCTCAACCTCAATATCTATCTGAGACTGACTTTGGATATTGGTTTTGCTAATCTTATATTTCCTGGTTTTCTGACCTTAGACTGGTTTTTGGGCATGGTATTCTGTCTTTCTTGTATCTTATGCCACAGTTCTCTACCTTATCAGTTTTTATCCCAGGTTCTGTCATTTTTTTAAGACCTACTGCTTGTATAACTACTGATATTAGGTGAAAATGCATTCTGTTCTCATGTACATTTTCTAAATATGCCACAGGATAACACTGATTATTTATGTGAATCGTTACTATCAAATTTTTAGATAAACAAACTTATTAGAATCCCATCTCCCACTTCTACAATTGATTTCTATTTATGTGCTTAGTATAATATGAGACAATTTTTAAAACTTAAACATCCAAGTTTTCTGCAACTGATGACAGTATGTTTCTTTTTTTAACATTGTGAAATAACACAGTCAAGCTAATTAACATATCCATCACTTCACATAGTTATCTTTGTGTGTGTGTGTGTGTGCATGTGCACACATGCACAGACATGCTGAGAACACTTAGGATTTATTCTTTCAGCAAATTTCAAGTATAGAATACAGTATTGTTACATGTAGACAGCATGCAATACATTAGATCTCCAGGACTTACTCATCTTGAAAAACTGAAACTTTGTACCCTTTGACTAACATTTTCTTCTTTTAGTTCTTCTATTTTTTTCCTATGGAGGAAAAATAATCTATTTAGCTTCTGTAAAGAAGTTATTAAAATTTTTTGTTTCTATTTCTTCTAAAGAATAATTTATATATAAAAAAAGAATTTAAGTGTTTATTTAAATTAATTGTTACAGTTTTATACACCCATATAACTACTACTCAGAACAAGATTATCCCCAGAAAGTTCTCACATGCCTCCTTCTAGTCATTATCCCCAACTCTATTGAAGGCAATTATTTCCTAATTTCTATCACGATAGTTTTGCCTGTGCATGACCTTCATATAAAAAGAATCACACAGTATGAATTTCTTTGTGTTTGACTTCTTCTACTTGGTAATTTTTTTTACTGTGGTAAAAATATATGAGATCTACCTTCTGAACAAATTTTAAGTGTACAATACAGGATTGTTAACTATATGCAGTGTTGTATAACACATGACAAGAACTTCTTTATCTTGCATATACCCATTGAACAGAAACTCACCATTTCTACATTCCCTCCCACCTCCCAGTCCCTGGCAACCACTTTTCTGTTTTCTGTTTCTATTAGTCTGGCTACATTAGATACCTCATATTGGTGGAATCATGCAGGGTTTGTTCTTCTGTGATTGGCTTATCTCACTTTCCCTGATGTCTCCGAAGTTCATCCATGTTGCTGAATATGGTAGACTTTCCTTCTTTCTAAAGGCTGAATAATATTTCATTGTATTTTTCTTTATAGATTCATCCAGAGATTAACGCATAGGTTATTTCTACCTCTTGGCTATTGAGAATAATGCTGTAACTAACACGGGAGTGCAAATATTTCTTTAAGATCCTGTTTCAATTCTTTTGTATAAATATCCAGAAGTGGGATTTTTGGATCATATGGTAGTTCTAGCTTTAATTTTTTGAGGAAACTTTACACTGTTTTCTATAGCAGTTTTATCATTTACATTCCCAGCAACAATGTACAATGATTTTGATTTATCCATATCCTCACCAATGCATGTTATTTTCTGGTTTTGTTTATTCATAATGGCCATTCTAACAGGTATGAGGTGATAACTTTTTGTGGTTTTAATAAGTATTTACTTTATGCATAGGGTTGTTGAATATCTTTTCGTATACCTATTGGTCATTTGCATGTCTTATTTGGAGAAATATCTATTCGAGGCCCTTGCCCATTTTTAATCAGGTTAGTTGGTTTGTTTGCTATTGAGTTGTAGAAATTAATTATATGATATTAACCTTCATCAGATATATTATTTGCAAATATTTTCTCTCATTCTGTAGGCTGTCTTTGCAGTCTGTGGCTTGTTTCCTTTACTGTGCTGAAACTTTAATTTGATGTAGTCCCACTTTTCTAATTTTGCTTTTGTTGCTTGTGCTTTTTATGTAATATCCAAGAAATTTCCAAAACCAATGTCATGGAACTTTCTCCCTATGCTTTCTTGTGGATTTATAGTTTCAGGTCCTACATTTAAGTCTTTAATAAATTTTAGGTTGATTTTTGTGTATCTTGTAAGATATGGGCCAATTTCATATTTTGCAGGTGGATATCCAGTTTTCTCAACATTTGTAGAAGAGGCAATCCTTTCCACACTGTTTAAATTGGCACCCCTGTTGAAGGTCACTTGACTGTATGTGAATGATTTTATCTCTGGGTTCTCTATCAGTTCTGCTGGGCTGTATGTCTGTCTTTATGCCAGCTTTGTTTTTCTTTCTCAAAAATACTTTGGCTATGCTGGGTTATTTGTGGTTCTATATAAATTTTGCATTTTTTTAATTTCTGCAAAAAAAAATTTCAACAGAATTTATTGAATCTTAGATTGCTTTGAGTAGTGTGAACATTTTAACAGTAATGCATCTTTCAGTTAATAAACACGGGATGGCTTTCCATTTATTTCCATCTTTAATTTCTTTCAGCAATGTTTTAAAGGTTTTGGTGTATTTTTTTGCCTTCTTGGATAAGTTTATTTTTAAGTATTCTATTATTTTTATGTTATTGTAAGTAAGATTGTTTTCTTAATTTCCCCTTCAGATTGTTCATTATTAGTGTATAGAAACACAACTGATTTTTGTCTGTTAATTTTGTATCCTGCAATTTGCTAATTGTTTTTATTAGTTCTAATAGATTTTTGGTGGAATCTTTAGTGTTCTCTACATATAAGATGATGTCCTCTGTGAACAGAAATCATTTTAGCTCACAAACCCTCATTGACAATGCACTTGGTCACCCAAAAGCTCTGATGGAGATGTACAAGGTTAATGTTGTTTTCATGTCTGCAAATACAACATCCATTCTGCTGCCTTGGATGAAGTAATAATTTTTACGTTCAAGTCTTATTATTTTTTTTTTAAGAAATACATTGCATAAGGCTATAGCTGCCACAGATTGTGATTCTTCTGTTGAATCTTGGCAAAGTATAGAAAAAATTCACCATTTTAGATGCCATTAGGAACATCTATGATTCATGGGAGGAAGTCAAAATATCAACATTAACAAGAGTTTGGAAGGGTTAAATTCAACATAACCCTTCTAAACTTTACTTTGAGGGTTTGAAAACTTCAGTGGAGAAAGTCACTACAGATGTTGTGGAAATAGCAAGAGGAATAGAATTAGAAGTGGAGCTTGAATATGTGATTGAATTGTGGCAATCTCATGATAAAACTTGGATGGATAAAACTTGGATAAAGTGCTTTATGGATGAAGAAATAAAGTTCTTTTTAAAAAAAATCCATTCATCGCTGGGCGCAGTGGCTCACGCCTGTAATCCCAGCACTTTGGGAGGCCGAGGCAGGTAGATCATGAGGTCAGGAGTTGGAGACCATCCTGGCCAACATGGTGAAACCCCATCTCTACTAAAAATACAAAAATTAGCTGGGCGTGGAGGCGTGCGCCTATAATCCCAGCTACTAGGGAGGCTGAGGCAGGAGAATTGCTTGAATGCGGGAGGCGGAGGTTGCAGTGAGCCGAGATCATACCATTGCACTCCAGCCTGGGTGACAGGGCGAGACCCTGTCTCAAAAAAAAAAAAAAAAAAATCCATTCATCCACTGATGAACACTTAGGTTGATTCTATATCTTGGCTATTATGAATATTGTTGTAATAAACATGAGACTTCAGATCTCTCTTCAATATATTATTCAGTCGTAAAAAGAGTAAAATACTGTCACTTGCAGCATCACAGATAGAACTGGAGGTCATTATGCTTAGCGAAATAAGCCGGACCCAGAAAGACAAATATCACCTGTTTTAACTCATATGTGGGAGCTAAAAAAGTGGCTCTCATGGTGATAGAGAGTGGTGGTTATCAGAGGCTGGGAAGGGAACAGGGGAATGAAGGATGAGGAGAATTTGGTTAATGGATACAAAAATAGAGTCAGAAGAAATAAATTCTAGTATTTGATAGTGCAGTTGGGAAATTATAGTTAACAGTAATTTATTGTATATTTCAAAATAGCTGGAAGAGAAAAATTTTTATGTTCCTAACATAAAGGAAAAATAAATGCTTGAGGTGATGGATATCCCATTACTCTGATTTGATCATTACACATCGTGAACATGTATCAAACTTCACACGAACCCCCAAAATATGTAGGACTATTATATATCAATAAAAAATAAAAATTAACAACAAGAAGAATGGGTTTTTTTGAGATGGAATTTGCTCCTGGTAAAGATGTTATGAACTTTGTTGAAATAACAACAAATCATTTAGAATATGACATACACTTAGTTGATTGAACGGTGGCAGGGTTTGAGACGATTGACTCCAATTTTAAAAGAAATTCTACTGTGGGTAAATGCTATCAAATGGCACTACATGCTATAAAGAAATCTTTTGTGAAAGAAAGAGTGAAATGATGAAGCAAACTTCATTATAATCTTATTTTAAGAAATTGCCACAGGCCTCCCCAGCCTTCAGCATCTACCACTCTGAGCATTCCACAGTCATCAACATTAAGGCAAGACCCTCCATGAACAAAAAGTTTATGACTCACTGAAGGTTGAGATGATCATTAGCATTTTTTAGCAATAAAGTATTTTTAATTAAGGTATGCATGTATTTTTTTAGACATAATGTTAGTGCACACTTAATAGACTCTGGTATAGTGTAAACAAATTTTATGCACACTGGGAAAACAAAAAATTAGTGTGACTTGCTTTATTGTGACACTTGCTTTATTGCAGTGGTGTAGAACTTAACCCATAATGTCTCTGAGATATGCCTGTAGCATATATTCCACAAATACTAATTTCTATTTGTTTATTTATAGTTATTTTCATTTTTTATTTATTTTTAGAGACAGAGTCTTTTTCTGTCACCCAGGCTGGGGTGCAGTGGCATGATCTCGGCTCACTGCAACCTCTGTCTCCTGGGTTCAAGCGATTCCCTCGTGCCTCAGCCTCTAAGGTAGCTGTAACTACAGGCACACACCACCACGCTCTGCTAATTTTTTGTAGAGATGGGGGTTTCACCCTGTTACCCAAGCTGGTCTTGAACTCCTGACCTCAGGCAATCCGACCGCCTCACCCTCTCAAAGTTCCAGGATTACAGGCATGAACCACCACGCATGGCCAATTTATTTATACTTATTTATTCAATCTATAGGTTTTCCCTTGGTATTAAATAATGATTGTAACCTTAAAACCATTTTAATTAATATGATGTCCACTTCTTTCTCAAACAGTTAATTCTTAATACTACATTATTAAGCAGAAGAATAATTGAATAGGTTTACTTTGCCTAATGGAACTGGAACTGGAATTTTAATTAAAGGAACATTAGTCAACTTTCAGTCCAGAAGTAGCAAACAATCTTTTGTAAAGAACAGAAAGATCTTTTCAATTTAGTTTGCTTTTACTTTCAAATTGACTCCATAATAATTTTTTTCATATGCAATGTTGATGTCCTTGAATCAAATGAAAAACTGATGATTTTTTTCCACAAAATAGGGAAATAAGTATTTATATTAATTAGGATTATGCACAATAAGTAATCAGGTGACTTCAGGATCTCAAGTGTTACATAAAGAATCCAGTTTAGAACTACAATATGATAGAATTTCTAACTATAATATTAATTTTCAAGTTAAGCAGAAAGAAGAGGTCACAGAGATTTTTTTTTCCAAAAAGAGATGAATAACGAAAGAAGGAACCTCTATTAAAACTTGACTTTAAAATGTTTGAAGCCCACCTAAAATGAAGTAGACTTCACTGGGAACGTGTTTTTGTTTTAATTATAGTAATATTTTTCTACTTTACACACATCTATATAAAATTTTCCTGCATCAAATAAATGTTAAGACGGATAGGATAGCAATATCCAAAGCAATAGTTGAACTCTAGAAAATATTCTGCTCTACGGAGTTACATATATTTAGGTCGAACACATAGTGTATATTGCAATTAGTTCTACAGTAGCAATTAATAAGTTATTTTTGGGCTCTTCTGATACTCAGTTTTTACCACAGGAAAGCATGTTGCGGTTCTCTGCTAGTTTATTGCAACTTTTTTAATCTTTCTTTTTCTTGAATGGAAATTACGTTCAAGAAGATAAGCCATGCTAAATATACCGTTGTGATATATTTTCAGTGCACATTCTAGCAATTTACCATGAGATCCTAAAGAAGCAGGTTCCTGATTTGTGACAAAAATGTAAGTGAGCTGATCCTCTAAAGCATTTGGGGGTAAACTTTTTCTTTTCCTACTGTTTTGTTCTATATGTGAGTATGTGGTTGTATTTACCTAAACAATTTGCCATAGCTATGGTAATTAACCAATTTTGATTGAAAATGTTCTCTTAGAGATGATTAAAGGTTTCTATACTTCATAGGCTTATAATTTATATTTTAATTTTGAGGGACTATCAAGCTACTTGGTTTCTCAGAATAGATTTTTGTGAAACATGATGATTTTCGTTCTTTGGCCCAAACTACAAAAAAAAAAAAAGTTTTTTTCTTTTTTTTACGCATGAAAACAAATGCAATTATGCAATTCCTCAAACTTCTGAACATGGCTCCTGAATGATAGTATTATGTTTTAGTTGGGTGGATTATGTTAAAAGGTAGCTATAGCAAAAATAAAAATTATTTGTGTAGAAATGGCCTGATATTGCAAATATCTGACAGTGCCCACCCTATGTAAATTAATGATGTTCATCAAATAGGTTTTTATTTGAGAAGTTTTCCAAAATTTGTCTCATGAAGGAAAAAATTCTAAAGCTTCTAATTTTCAGAACAAAGTAGGAAAAAAGACAGTGTTAATTTTGCATTTATCAAATACCTGATAAAAGACAGATGCATTTTAGGTTACTTTTACTTAGGGATTGCAAGAAATGAAAGAAAAACTTTTTCTCACTAAACTTTTATTGTTTAGTAGGAAAAATGAGGTATATATAAGTAATTAAAGGAATAATTTAGGACAGAGTGTTACAAGTGCTATAAAACATGTATATCATAACTAGGAAGAAGAAAGTACATTTGGAAGAGAGAGGTCAGGAAAAGCTCTACAGTGGAGATTACACTTCAAGTGGGTTTTAAAAAGGAAGTAGAGTTTCGAAAAAATAGCATTGTCTCTAAGTATCAGTCTTGAACAGTCGGGATATTCTTTTTTCTTTTTTAATGATAAAAACCCAACAAAAACCTAGGACACCAAATAATTTATTTGCTTTTATGACTATAAGATTTATGACTATTTACCTAGCTTCAGACATTGCTGGAATTTAAGGGATCAGAAGATGTCATTAAGCCATCTCAATTTTTTTCCCCTGCATTTCTTTATGTAACCATCATTTTCAGGCAAGTGGCTCAGGGAGCTTTAGATTTACATCACAACAGCTTTCTACCTCCAGAAGAAAGGGAGGATAAAACTTTAAACAGTCTCAGTATAAGTAGCAGGATGAAATTCCATTGGTCTGGATTAGATCATGTGCACATAAATAAACAAACCACTATGGCCAGAGGGGTGCAATGCTCTGATTAGCTACACCTGTGTTATATGCTACGCCTTGGGACTGAAAGTAGATGTGGAAACATTATCAGTTAAACCATACTGAAAATCCATTACTAGAAGAAAGAGGACTGAAAACATAATAGAGAAATAAAAGTCAGTACATAGTGGGACATTGGACAAGTTATGTAACACTTCTGAACTCTAGTTTTCTTATCTGCAAAAGGAAATGATAAAATTAACTTCATGAAGTTATTATTAGAATGAAATTTGATGTTGTGTATAAAGTTTGTAGCACTTAGTATGTTGTGATAGATGTTAGTCTCTTTCCCCCTTCAGCATTCTAGGATTCTGGTTTGGTCTAATATTAACGTGGGCAAATGCACACACAAAGACCTACACCTGTAAATACAAAAACATAACAATACACATAGAGATCTCTCTGGATGATGTGGTGGTACATGGAGGTAGTGCTATAATAGATGGCTAAGAAGTTTTATCTCAGGCAATTATATGAGCAATTTCCTTTATACTCAATCAAATTGAGGCAAAATGGATAGTCTCAGTCTCAAAAATCTCAGCTTTAGGAACTGCTACTGGTTTAATGCCAAAAAACTTACAAAACTGTTAGCAATTCTCAAGTTACTCTTAAAATTGAAATTGATTCCATAAAAATAGTTTCATCTGCTATGATTAGGGACAATACTATTTTAACCTATAATATAGAAACCATGGAAAGGCATATTAAGCCTGAGAATCTCTGTACATTAGGTGCTAAAAAGAGGAGAATGCATACTGAATCTTCATTTAGGAGGGTATAATCAAAATTGAATGGATACTAGACAGAGTAGAAATATCTATTCCTGTTTCCTACTGGGATCTGTTGAGGTAAGACCAATGCATTTCTACATTTAATGTAGCAGGGCATGTAGTTAAGAAACTTATAAATGGAAAGTGGCCTCACAAATTACACTGAAACAACAGCAAATTATTCAAATCCTATCAGAATTTGAGTAGAAATTTTTCACAAAATCTTATATGTCAGGCACAGATGCATTCCAAAGCATGATTAGGAACAATATTGGAACCAATGATCTTCGGTGACCTATCACACTGTGTATCACACTGTACAGGTAGCTTTTGATTGTGCTTCTGTTTAGGACATGTCTCATTAGTGAATCCCCAGGACTGCCAACTAAACAGGCAGCCAGGTACAGAGAAACAGGTATTTTAATGTAAAATCTGCTCAATCAAGCACAAAACATAAATGAGGAAAAACAGTCAAAATAGCATATAAAGAAATGACAATAATAAAAAGATTACAAAAATAAGTCATCAGTAAATATATCACTGATTATGATAAATATGAATTGGTTAATGTCACATGTTAAAAGACAGACACTTTCTAGTCGGTATAAAACAAACAACAACCAGTAACATGCTGTTTACAAGTAACATACTTAAAATAGGATGGTTGAAAATAACAGCATAAAAAATACCTGGCAGGCAAATCTTAACAAAAGGAAAGCAAGTATACTAATATTAATAAGAAACAAAACAATTCACAGTAAAATAATTCAGAGTAATTAAGTGCAGTAAGCTATAAAACATTTACAAGATCTTATGAGTCCATACCAATTAATAACTAACCAATTAAACAAATAAACAACCAGATAAGGAGAGCAAGGGTTCTTCTTACAGCAGAATGGCAAGAGCTGGTAAATGTGGAGGGAGTACTGGAAAAACACTATTTCTCAACCATTAGAGTAAATATTGGAGCAGATAAGACTCATCAAATAATGCTAAATTCAGGAAAAAAAGTTCATGGTGAGCAGGATATTTCTGTGGTCTTAAAGTCTCTGTCCACAGACTTATTAATTAAGGAAAACATAGTAACTATACAATGGAGAAATTGAGCAATATTTTGACTGGGTGATGAAAATTAATATCAAAATTACATCACCAGTGAGGGGTAGATCAACACTGTATGCATCCAGATGTGATCCCTGGCTAGTACATAGCATCAACTATGTGGTGTTTTGGTTGAGAATGCGTAACTGGAATTGAATCATTAGCAAACATCAGACAAACTCAACATGGGCATCATTCTATTAAAACAAACAGTAAAAACAAAAAAACAACAGGTAGAGTGAGTGGGGACTGTATTCCTCAAAAATGTTGATGTCAGAAAAAAGTAAGAAAACATCTTCCAGATTAAAGAAAACCAAAGAGACATAGCAGCTAAATGTAAGACCTAACCCTAGACCGGTACCTTATTGGGTCAATTGACAAAACTGGATACGAATGTTAAACTGAATGAGTATATCAATGTTAAATGTGCTGAGTTGATAATTGTGCTGTTGTTATGTCAAGGACCAGGATATATGTAAGTTATCCTAAAATGATTTCAAAAAGAAACACACAAACACATGTGTGTTGTGTGTGTATGTGTATAAAGAGAGACGGTATAAAAGCACATGGTAAAATATTACCAATGTTGACAATAGATGAATTTTGGTAAAGAATATATGGATGTTTATGAATTATTCTTATTCTTGCAAGATATGTGTAAAGTTGAACTTATTTTCTTAAAAATTTTTAAAATTAAAAAGTGATACAGAACAAGGTTATACGTGTAAAAGACAATGCAAGACAAAGATACAAAACACATGAAACTTCATGTAACTTATGAAATAATATTGAGATATGAAATTACTACTATTTTCAGGTCAAAAAGAATTATTGACATGAAATTATTGTAAATGTTATATTGTTCAACTTAATGCATTAAGAGAGAAACATGTATTTTCTATTCTTATTTCCACATTAGCGACTTTTGCTAGATACAGACTTCTGGCAGATTGCTTACTTTTTTCCACAGAAAGTGGAATAAAGAGAGTTTGGAATAATAATCATCATGCTTAGTCTCTCTGTCTGTCTCTGTCCCTTTCTCTTGTCTTTGTGAGCTATATTTTCTTTATACAAACACAAGTGTTCTAATCCGTCCTGATGCATAGTGGGGATTCGCCCTTGCCAGTGTGACATGCAGTTGTCAAGCTGCGCCTGAGACTGGCTGGATAAATGTGTCTAAAGCAGAGACAAGGTATTACAAAAATCACTTGGCTGAGGGTCTAAAGCCTCATTCTCCTATCAGTTCTTACAGTAATAATCATTTCGATCTTCATGTTAATGACTTGTGACTATCTCTTAATTGGTTCTAAACTCAGGCAGGAAAGGTGGGGTTTTGTTTGTTTATTCCCTGAAATACCAAATATATAACACAGCATATGAAACAAAAGCTTCAGAAGAAATGGATCCATACAGAGTTATAGTTGGATCTATTAACCTTTGTTCAGACAGCAACTGCCAAGTAGGCAAAGAAAAATGAAATGTATAGTGTTTGAATTAAATAACCAATAAACTTTAAATTTAATTGGACAATTTATTTTCTTTTCAAACAAAATGGAACACTTTTTAAAAAATAATCATCTGCTAAACTTTTCTTAACATTATGAAATTGAAGAGGTATGGGCATTTCCTCTCTCTAATCCTTTGTAATTACCACATATTAGGTGAAGCTGATTACATGCTTCTTCCCCAAGTTTGACAATATGGAGAAAGTGAATAAAAGGTGCTGGGAGAGTTGTAGATTGTGTAAAGCCACTTTACTGGAGTTTAGAATCCAGAGATGGTGGTGGGGAGTGTTGAATTGTGGCAGACCCAGGGACGTGATTGAAAGTGCCCAAGTGTTTCCAGCTGCTTCCTGTTGTTCTTGTCTGTTGTCTAAGCATTGCTCTCTAGTCTTCCCACCGTATAGGCTCCATGATATCCTCATGATCAATTAATTTTCTTCTTAAATAAGGCAGAATTGATTTTTGGTTTTACCAACTAAAAGCTTGCTTGGTATACCATTAAATGGCAAATAAAAAGATATGAAGATAACCAGATCACCCTACAACAATAATGTGAGAGATAGTGCAATAAAACTCTAGGGAAAATTGAGTTGTAAGGATGGATGGAAACAGTCTAAATAAATGTATGCAGCTCAAACCTAAAGGTGATTTAAAAGAATAATGTAGCCGGGCGCGGTGGCTCACGCCTGTAATCCCAACACTTTGGGAGGGCGAGGCGGGCGGAGCACGAGGTCAGGAGATTGAGACCATCCTGGCCAACACGGTGAAATCCCGTCTCTACTAAAAAAAATACAAAAAATTAGCCAGGCATGGTGGTGGGTGCCTGTAGTCCCGGCTACTCTGGAGGCTGAGGCAGGAGAATGGCATGAACCCGGGTGGTGGAGCTCGCAGAGAGCCGAGATCGCGCCACTGCACTCCAGCCTGGGTGACAGAGCGAGACTCCGTCTCAAAAAAAAAAAAAAAAAAAAAAAAAAAAAAAAAAGAATAATGTAAAACAACTATATCATAGAATCCTGTGTTTCCTATATATTTTGATATGAGCTACTGAAGCAATGTAATTCACTATGTTAACAGATTAGAAAATAAAAATCATATGACCATCTTAATATGTGTTGTTGAAGAAAATAGTTGAAAAAATCCATTCCTCATTTACTACAAAAATCTATAATCAAAGAATAAAACAGCATAACGTTAACTTGAAGAATAATATCTACAAAAATACTAGAACAAACACCATTGAAACAAACCAACAAAACCCATAAAAACCCAAACATTAAGGAAAAAAAACTGTGTTAAAAATTATTGAGTCAAAAAGAAAAAAAACCCCTGAAATTATAGAAAATTCAGAGAATAATAATAGAATTGCATATAAGATCCTAATAAAGCTATACCTAGAAGAAACATTATAGCATTAAACACTATTATTGATAAATGAACAATATTAAAAATACATTAATTAAACATTCAACTCAAGAAATTAGGGGGAAAGCAGTATTGTAAACTCAAAGAGACCATATAGCACAGTGGATAGGAACACAGAGCTGACTTTGTATCCTAGTTGGTTCTACCATTCATTCCACTAACTGCATGGCCTTAGACAAGTCACTTAACCTCTCAGTGTTTCTTTCCCAATCTGTAAAATGAGGAGTGTCAACCTGTAAAATGGGGATACAAGTAATATCTACCTTCTAGAGTTGTTTTAAGGATTATATGTATTAATACAAGTATACTATTAAAAGCATTTGGCTTAGTTATTACTAATATCAGAGGAGCAGAAACAAGAAATTAATGAAGATAAAAGCTAGTATTGATGAATCAGAAAACAGAAAAAACAGTGAAACTAATGACTAAATCCAAATGCTTTTCCTTTAGAAATAATTATAAAATAAATAAACCAGCAGCTAATCTAATCAACAAGATTGGGAAAAAGTACAAACAATTAGAACTGGAAAAAGAGAAAATTATCACAGATTCAGAAAAATGCAAAATAATTAGATATGATGATGACATTGCTCAACCTTGTGCAAATAAATTTAAAAATCTGGATAAAATACATAATTTTTAATGAAAATATAATAACCATAAATAGCCTCCAGATGAGATTTTTAAAAAACTAAATAAACCAACTGCCATTAAAAAAATCTAGTCTTATTGAAGAACTATGCCCTTTCTCCAAAATAAGCATCAGGTTCAAATAGATTTACAAGGTAATTTCTCTTAAACTTTCAAGAAATAAATCATTCTGAAAGTATTCAAACTGTTCCTCATAATAGAAAGAGGAAGGTCCTAAACTCTTCTTATAAAACCAGCAATAACATTGACATCAAATCTTACAAAGACATCTTCGAAAAGAAAACTAAAATTTGATCTCACTTATGTATGTAGATGTAAGAATCCTGAAGTAAATATTGGCAATTAGAATCTATATGTAAAGAATAATACACCAAGATGATTTGGGTTTCTTTCTAGGAATTCAATAATGTTTAATATTAGGAAACATTAATATAATTTATCACATTAATAGGTATGGCAAATAGTGTATAATTTGGTCCTATTTTGTTGATCTCATTTGCACAGACATGTACAATTTCTAGAAAGATACAACATAAACAGTGAGACTGAGAAATCAGTGCCGGGTAAGGGAAGCAGGATATGCTAATTTTTACATTAAAAAGACATGTTTAACAATGTACTTCTGCCATTGTCAAGGTTTGCTCCTTTCTCTACTTCCATTGGAGACCTTAGGCTTTTTTACTTTTACTAGCTGTTTGTGAGAAAACACGAGCAATGTGACTTGAGCAACAGGTGAAAAATTACTGCAAAAATGTCACCCCAGTTCCTCCTGCAGTTTGTGCCTTAAAGTCCATTATTAGAGATTGATTTATTCATCTTATATGCTCCTTAGCTCTGTCTTATAAAATGCAAATACTTTGGGGAAATATAATATGCTAAGCCAATTGACAAAATGATGTCAGTAATAATAGAGTGTTAAATGAGCATTGGGAGTAGAGTTTAGTGGTTAAGGGATGGGAGTTCATAGTAAACAGATCTAAATCTTGTCTAACACTCACTAGCTGTTTGCCCTCTTTAAGCCAAATGAACATAAAAATTGTTAATCTGCCTACTTCATGAAATTGCTGACGTATTAATGAAACAATGCAAGTATCTAGAACAATGCTTCGCATGCATTAAGCTTTTAGTAGATATGTGATAGGTATAAACTATTATTAGAAATGAAAAAAATTAAGAAATATTCGTTGAACACACTGTGTGAAATAGACACGGTGCAGAATACACAGGCATATAGGATATGTTCTCTGTTTTCAAGGAGCTTATGATAACAGCAGATCTGTTTTTCTCCTAATTGTAAACTCAGAGCATAGAAAGACATGCTAAACACTGGCAGAGAGAAGAGCTACTAAAAGTGGGAGACAGCATGCAGAGAATAGAAATGGGGAGTCCAAAAAGACATTTCAGTCCTGCCTCATACATGAAGTTCAAACTTAACTCAGAAAAAGAGCCAGGTGTTAGAGAGGAATGAAAGTATATAGAGTTCTGATTTCTTTGTCCATTTTTTTTAAATGAAAGACAGCAAGGTGGGTTAGAGATAGCAAGACATGATTCCAGCTCACGACTTCCACAACATCAGTATGATTGCAATACAAATCTGTGACTTTTTTTCAGAGCTTACTTGTCATAGTCTTTATCTAAAGCTGTTAGCATTTAGAAGCAGATTATTCAGTTTCTTCCCTCTCAGTATGCAAAGTATTTCATATGGCAATTCCATCATCTCTACTGTGAGAAAATATGGTGTTCCTAATAATTATCTTTTAAACTTACAGACTAATATAAATTATAAATGTCTAATTTACACTGTGCCATTTGATATGGATTTATCTTTTCACTGATGATGAAGAACAAAGGTTTGCTTTAACAATATAGACAGGAACAGGTTTTTCTGCTTATAATTCTTTGCTCCCATTTAAGCCTTTTAATATTTTTATGTCAAGGCATGTGGCACCATCAATACATCAGTTTTACAGAAAGGTAGAAGAATATCTATGACCCATTTTTAATGTACTTGCACATACTCTCAGCTAGACACTGATCCATGTACATAAGAAATGAGAATGATGGAGATGGAGTTATCTGTAATCGGAATACTAAATCCAATGCTAAGAAGAATTATTTTCAGATGCTGAGATGGTGAGAATGGGGATGCTTCTGCTAGTATTAACTCAGTACTTGTAACAGTACTATGCCTAAACATAGAGCCCATCAGTGAGGCCAGTTTCAGGGACTAAGGGAAGACAAAGGCAGGGGAAAGTAGGAAGTTCCATAGTAAACGTTACCTCCTTTAGAAAGATTTCCCTCCTCCTCATAACCATATGTGAGCCCTATATCCTCTGAATCCCCATAAAATTGTGTTTATATAGCTAGATAGCAACTCTGATTACAAATTATGTGCCATTCGCTGAACTATGCATCATATGCTTTATCTAAATTAAGCCTCTTAGCAATAAGATAAGTACCACTTCTATTCCCACTTTGCAGATGGAGAAATTGAGGCTTAGAGCAGATTAGTAACTAGCCTACCCCCCTTCCACAAACTAAGAAATTACAAAGTGAGGGTTATGAATCCAAATCTGCCTATAGAGTTAGTACTTTTAACTCCTACAGCATAAGCTGCTTCCCAAAGTTAGTCTACTTGACCTTACACTACATTTATGTGTTTATTAGTTCCCTTCTTATAGGATTGTAAACACTTAAGGCAAGGATTACCATCAGACCTATTTATAATGTGAAGCTGGCTTGGAACTTTAAATATATTTAGGCCTGTATTAAAACATGGCATTTAGCGTAAATCCCTGAAAAGCAAGAATTATATCTCTTCATAGATCCAGATGAATACATATTCTTTGAATGGTTGAGTGAATGAGAACATTGGATAGTCAGCTAGTCTCAGCAAGAAAGCAGAAGCACAATGCTATACTGGCCAGTCGTCATAGCATTATGGGAAACTGGAATCAAATCAGCTTTCCCTCACCATTTGTTTTTTATTTCAGCCTAAAAATAAAACCAAATTGATTGTATTATGGAATTAATTTGTGCTAAAATAAGTCAGTACGATGAACAATGAAAAAAAACTTTAAAAAACAATTTATTTAGAGAGCAATGAGCTAAAATTGAGGTGAAGAATTTAGCTTATTTTAAATTTTTTACTAATGCACCAACCAATATATGTGTTGTCTCTTTTTAAAATATATACTTTATTTTATTATTTTTAATTTCAATAATTTTGGGGGTACAGATTTTTTTTGTTACATGGATAAGTTATTTAATGATTTCTGAGATTTTGGTGCACCCATCACCCAAATAGTGTACACTGTACCCAATATGTAGTCTTTTATCCTTCTCCCCCTTCCTATTCTTCCTCCCAAGTCCTCAAAGTCCATTATATCATTCTTATGACCTTGCATCCTCATAGCTTAGCTCCTACTTATAAGTGAGAACATATGACATTTGGTTTTCTATTCTGGAGTTACTTCACTTAGAATAATGGCCTCTGACTCCATCCAAGTTGCTGCAAAGGCCATTATTTCATTTCATTTTATGGCTGAGTAGTATTCCATGTTGTACATATACCATATTTTCTTTATCCACTTGTTGGCTGATGGACATTTAGGTTGGTTTCATACTTTTGAAATTGTGAATTGTGCTTGTATAAAAGTGCGTGCATGTGTCTTTTTCATATAATGACTTATTTTCATATGGGTAGATGCCCAGTAGTGGGATTGCTGGATCAAATGACAGTTCTACTTTTAGTTCTTTAAGGAATCTCCATACTGATTTCTATAGTGGATGTACTAATTTACATTACCAGAAGCAGTGTAAAAGTGTTTTTTCTAACTACATTCATGCCAACATCTATGATTTTTTGACTTTTTAGTTATGGTCATTGTTGTTGAAGTAAGGTGGCATCTCATTGTGGTTTTAATTTGCACTTCCCTGAAAATTAGTGATGTTGAGCATTTTTTCATGTGTTTGTTGGCTGTTTGTATATCTTCTTTTGAGAATTGTCTATTCATGTACTTTGCCCACTTTTTGATGGGATTATTTGTGTTTTTTTATTTTTCGTGTAGATTCTGGATATTAGTCATTGGTTAGATGTGTAGTTTGTGTATTTTTTTCTCCCACTCTGTGGGTTGTCTTTACTCTGCTTATTATTTCTTTTTCTGTGTGAAGATTTTTCATTTAATTAGGTTCCATTTATTTAGTTTTTGTTGCATCTGTTTTTAGTTTCTTGGTCATGAAATTTTGCCTAAGCCAATATCTGGAAGAGTTTTTCCAATGATATCTTCTAGAATTTTTATGGTTTCAGGTCTTAGATATAAGTCTTTGATCCATCTTGAGTTGATTTTTGCATAAGATGAGAGATGAGGATCCAGTTTCATTCTTCTACATGTGGCTTGCCAGTTTTCTCAGCACCATTTATTGAATAGGGTGTTTTTCCCCACTTTATATTTCTGTACACTGTGTCAAAGATTAGTTGGCTGTAAGAATGTGGCTTTATTTCTGGGTCCTTTATTCTGTTCCATTGATCTACATACACATTTGTATACCACTACCATGTTTTTTTGGTAACTATAGCTTTGTAGTATAATTTGAAGTCAGGTAATGTGATGTTTCCAGATTTGTTATTTTTGCTTAGTCTTGCTTTGGCTATGTGGGCTCTTTTTTGGTTCTATATGAATTTTAAGATTGCTTTTTCTAGTTCTGTGAAGAATGATGATGATATTTTGATGGAAATTGCATTGAATCTGTATATTGCTTTGGGCAGTATGGTCATTTTCACAATAATGATTCTACTCATCCATGAGCATGGAATGTGTTTTCATTTGTTTGTGTCATCTATGATTTCTTTCACTAGTGTTTTGTAGTTTTCCTTATACAGATCTTTCACCTCTTTGGATACATATATTCCTAAGTATTTTATTTTTTTGTAGCTGTTGTAAAAAGAATTGAGCTCTTGATTTGATTCTCAGCTTAGTTGTTGTTGATGTATAGTGGTGCTACTTATTTGTGTGCATTGATTTTTTATCCTAAGACATTACTGAATTTATTTGTCAGGTCTAGGAGCTTTTTAGATGAGTCTTTAGGGTTTCCCAGGTATATGAACATATCATTGGTGAACAGGGGCAGTTTGGCTTTCTCTTTTCCAATTTGGATGCCCTATATTTCTTTCTCTTGTCTGAGTGCTCTGGCTAGGACTTCCAGTACTATGTTGAATAGAAATGGTGAACATGGGCATTCTAGTCTTGTTCCAGTTCTCAGCGGGAATATTTTCAACTTTTCTCCACTCATTATTATGTTGGCTGTGGGTTTGTCATAGATGGCATTTATTAGAGCAGTTTTAGGTAAACAGCAACTAGAGTGAAAAGTACAGATTTCCTATCTATCCCCTGCTCCCACATACACAGTGCCTCCCCACTAACAAAATTCTCCAGCAGAATGGTACATTGTCACAATGAGCCTACATTGACACATCATTATCACCCAAAATCCATAGTTCACAGGGTTCGCTCTTGGTGTTGTACATTCCATGGGTTTTCATAAATGTATAATGACATGTGCCCACCATTATAGTATCATACAGAGTAGTTTCACTGCCCTAATAATCCTTTTTGCTCCACCTATTTATTACTCCCACTCCCATAACCTCTGGAAAATGCTAATCTTTTTACTGTCTTCATACTTTTGTCTTTTCCAAAATATCATATACTTGATATCAGATAGTATGTAGCCTTTTCAGATTGGCTTCTTTCACTTAGTAATATGCATATACGGTTTATCTATGTCATTTCCTGGCTTGATAGCTTGTTTCTTTCTAGCACTGAATAACGTTCCTTTGTCTGAATGTATCACAGTTTTTGTATCCATTTACCCACTGAAGGACGTCTTGGTTGCTTCCAGGTTTTGGTGATTATGTATAAAGCTGCTATAAAAACTTGTGTGTAGGCTTTTGTGTGGACATAAGTTTTCAACTCAGTTAAGCATGAAGGAACTCAATTGCTGAGTTATATGGTATGAGTATGTTTAGTTTTGTTAGAAACTGCTAGACTGTCTTCCAAAATGGCTGTACCATTTTGTATTCCCCACCAACAATGAATGAGAGTTTCTATTGCTCCCCATCCTTACCAGCATTTGTCAGTGTTTGGGATTTTGGCCATTTTAATAGGACTGTAGTGGTATTTTATTGCTGTTTTAATTTGCAATTCCCTAATGGCATATGATGTTGAACATCCTTTCATATGCTATTTGCTATCTGTATATTTTCTTTTGTGAGATGTATGTTAAGGTCTTTGACCCATTTTTAAAATTCAGGGTTTTTTTGTGCTCTTACTGCTGAATTTTAAGAGTCTTAGCATATTTTGAATAACAATCTTTTATCAGATATGATTTCCACAAATATTTTCTCCAAGTTTGTGTCTTGTCTTCTCATTATTTTGACATTGCTTTTTTGCTGAGAAGTTTTTCATTTTAATGAAGTCTAGTTTATCAATTATTTCTGTCACAGATCTTGCCTTTGGTGTTGCATCTAAAAAGTAGTCATTATACCAGTGGTTGCCTAAATTTTATTTTATGTTACCTTGTAGGAATTTTACAGTTTTGAATTTTGCATTTAGGTCTATGATCCATTTTGAATTAATTCTTGTGAAGGGTATAAGTTCTGTGTCTAGATTCACTTTTTTCTTTGGCATGTGTATTTCCAATTGTTCCAGCATCATTTGTTGAAAAGATCATCTTTTCTCCATTTTACTGTCTTTGCTGCTTTGTCAAAGATCGGTTGACTATATTTATGTGGTTCTATTTCTGGGCTCTCTATTTCATTAGTTTAATTGTTTATTATTTTGCCAATACCACACTTTCTTGATCACTGTAGTTTATAGTAAGTCTTGAAGTTGGATGGTGTCAGTCTTCTACTTTGTTCTTTCCTTTCAATATTGTGTTGGCTATTCCAGATATTTTGACACTCCACGTAAACTTTAGAATTTGTTTGCTGATATCCACAAAATAACTTGCTGGAATTTTGATTGGGATCAAATTGAATCAATATATCAAGTTGGGAAGAACTGACATCTTGATAATACTGAGTCTTCCTATCCATCAACGTGGAATATCCACATTTTTTAGTTCTTCTTGGACTTCTTTCATCAGAGATTTGTATTTTTCCCAATATAAATCTTGTACATATTTTGTTGGATTTATGCCTACGTATTTGAGTTTTTTGGGTGCTAAGGTAACTGGTATTGTGTTTTCAATTTTAAATTCCACTTGTTTTCTCCTGGTATATAGGAAAGTGATTTTTTTATATCTTAACCTTGGATCCTGCAACTTGCTATAATTGCTTATTACTTCTAGGTGGATTATTGTCAATTTTGGGGGGTTTTCTACAAAGACAATCATGTCATCTGTGAAAAAAAATGGTTTGATTTTATCATTCCCAATGTGTATAACTTTTATTCTCTGTCTCATCTCATTGCATTAGTACAGATTTTCAGTATAATGTTTAAAGGGAATGGTGAGAAGGGACATCCTTGCTTCTTTTCTGACCTTAGTGTTTCTAGTTACTCACCATTAAGCATAATTTTAGCTGTAGTATTTTTGGAGGTATTTATTATCAGGTTGAGGAAGTTCTCTTCTACTCCTAGTTTTCTGAGTGTTTTTTATCCCAAATGGGTGCTGGATTTTGTCAAATGCTTTCTCTGCATCTAATTATATGATCATGTAATTTTTCTTCCTTAGTTTGTTGATCTGATGGGTTGGTTATATTAATCACTTTTCAAATGTTGAAACTGCCTTGTATAACTTGGATAAATCCCACTTGGTCATGGAGTAATATTCTTTTTATAAATTGTTGGATTTGATTTGCTAATATTTTTCTGATGATTTTTGCATCCATGTTTATACAGACAATGGTCTGTAATTTTCTTTCCTTGTAATGACATTGTCTGGTTTTGGTATTTAGGTAATGCTGGCCTCATCAAATGAGTTAGCAGTATTTCCCTCTGCTTCTATCTCTGAAAGAGATGGTAGAGAATTGGTATGATTTAGTCCTTAAATATTTGGTAGAATTTCCCAGTGAACACAACTGGGCCTGGTGCTTTCTGTTTATGAAGATTATTATTCATTGGTTCAGTTTGTTTAATAGATATAGGCCCATTCAGATGGCCTATTTACTTTTGTATGAGTTATGAAAGATTGTGTCTTTCAAGGAATTGATCATTTAATCAAAGTTATCAAATTTGTGGCCATATAATTCTTCATAATGTTTCTTTATTAGCTTTTTAATGTTCATGGGATCTATAATAATGTCTCCTGTTCCATTTCTGACATTAATAATTTGTATCTTCTCTCTTTTATTCTCAGCTCTCCAGCCTAGAGGATTAAGGACTTTATGATCTTTTCAAAGAACCAGCTTTTGGGTTTATTGATTTTCTCTACTGATTTCCTGTTTTCAGTTTCATTCATTTCTGCTTTTATTTTTATTATTATTTTTCTTTTGCTTATTTTGAATTCAATTTGTTTTTTTTGTTTCATACATTATAAGCTTATATTATTGATTCTAGATTTCTTTTTTCTAACATATGCATTCATATATTAGAAATATATAAGTTTCTCTGTAAGCACTGATTTCATTGTGTTCCACATATTTTGACGAGGTGTAGTTTCATTTTCATTTAGTTGAAAATATTTTTGAAATTTCTTCTTTGACTCATGTACTATTTAGAAGTCTGTTGTCTAATTTTCAAGTGTTCAAGGGATTTTTAGCTATCTTTTTGTTTTTGATTTCTAGTTAAATTCCATTGTGGTCTGAGTACAGGCGTTATATAATTTCTATTCTTTTACATGTGTTGAGATATATTTTATGGGCCAGAATGTGTTGTATTTTGGTAAAGGTTCAAATGAACTTAAGAAGAATGTGTATTCTGCTGCTGTTGAATGAACAAGTCAATAGATGTGTTATATCCAGTTAACTGACAGTGTTATTGAGTTCAACTATGTCTTTACTGATTTTCTCCTTGCTGGATCTGTCCATTTTTGATAGAGGGGTGTTGCAATCTTCAACACTAGTATTGAATTCATCTATGTCTCTTATAGTTTTATTAGGTTTGCATCACATATTTTGACGCTCTGTTGTTAAGCACATATACATTAAGGATTGTTATATCTTATTAAGAATTGACCCCTTTATCGTGATGTAATGTTCCCCTTATCCTGGATAAAGTTCCTTGTTCTGAAGTCTGCTTTTTCTGAAATTAATATAATACTCCTGTTATTTGTAAAAATTGTGGATGGCATAGTATATCTTTCTATATCCCTTTACTTTTAATCCATATGTTTTTTTATATTTAAAGGGGGTTTTTTGTAGACAATATAAAGTTGGGTCTTATATTTTAATACACTCTAACAATTTCTGTTTTTTAATTGGTGAATTTAGACCATTGAAATTTAATGTGATTATTAATATACTTGAATTAATATCTACTAGAATGATTACTGCTTTCTATGTATTATCCTTCATCTTTATTCCTGTTTTTCTTCTACTCTTTTCTGTCTTTTTTTATTTTAATTGAACATTTTATATAATTTCATTTTATTTTTTTTCTTAGCATATCAGTTATACTTCATTTTTCACTTTTGTAGTGGTTGTCCTATAATTAGCATAAAACACAATTAATCAAATTCCACTTTCAAATAACACCATTACACAGGAAGTAAAAGTACCTTATAACAACCAAATAATCCTGATTCCTTTCTCCCGTCCTTCGTATTGTTGCTGTCATCCCTTTCACTTATGCATAAGCATATATATCCCTCTACCTATTTTTTATATGCATATGTCATTAATACAACATTGCTATTATTATTTTTGAACAAACTATCTGTTGGATCAATTAAGAATAACAAAAATAAATGTTTTAATTTTACCTTTAGTTATTCCTTCTCTTTATGTAGATCCAAGTTTCTGACCAATATCATGTTCCTTCTCTCTGAAGAATTTCTTTTAACATTTGTTGCAAGCCTGTGTACTGGCAACAAATTTCCTATCATTTGTCTGTATGAGAAAAGCTTTACTCACTTTCATAGGATAATTTAAGTCTACAGAAATCTAGGTTGGTGTTTTTTTCCCCTCAACAGTTTAAATATCTTACTCCATTTTCTTCTTGTTTAAATAATTTCTGAGGAGCAGTCAGATATAATCCTTATGTCTACTGCTCTATAAATAAGGTGTTTTATTCCTCTGATCTCTTTCAAAAATTTTTCTCTATCTTTAATTTCTGAAGTTTGAATATAATAGGCCTCGGTGTATTTCACTTGCTTGGTTTTCTCTGACCTTCTTGGATCTGTCATTTGGTGTCTGTATTAGTCCTTTCTCACATTGCTATAAACAACTACCTGAGACTTAGTAATATATGAAGAAAAGAGGTCTAATTAACTCACAATTCTGCAGGTTTAATGGGAAGCATGACTGGTAGGCCTCAGGACAGTTACAATCATGGTGGAAGGCAAAGGGGAAGCAAGCACCTTCTTCACATGGCAGCAGTAGAGAGAGCAAGCAAGGTGGGGAAGTGCTACACACTTTTAAACCATCAGATCTTGTGATAACTCACTCACTGTCATGAGAAAAACATGGACAAATCCACCCCTGTAATCCAATCACCTCCCACAGGCTCCTCACTCCAGCATTGGGAATTACAATTCAACATTAGATTTGGGTGGGGACACACAGCCAACCCGTATTATTCCCAAATCTCATGTCCTTCTCACATTTCAAAACACAATCATGCCTTCCCAGCAGTCCCCCAAAGTCTTAGCTCAATTTCAGCATTAACCCAAAAGTCCAAGTCCAAATCTCATCTGACACAAGGCAAGCCCGTTCTGCCTATGAGCCTGTAAAATAAAAAAACAAATTAGTTATTTCCAAGATACAGTGGGGACACAGGAATTGGGTAAATGCTCCCATTCCAAAAGAGAGAAGTTGGCCAAAACAAAGGGTCTACAGGCCCCATGCAAGTCTGAATCCCAGAAGGTCAGTCATTAAATCTTAAAGCTCCAAAATGATCTCCTTTAACTCCATGGCTCACATTGAGGCCACAGAGACACAGAGGGTGGGAACCCAAGGCCTTAGGAAGCTCTGTCCCTGTGGTTCTGCAGGGTACAGCCCCTGCAGCTGCTTTCATGAGCTGGCATTGAGTGCATGTGGGTTTTCCAGATGCATAAGCTGTCAGTGGTTCTACATTCTGAGATCTGGAGGACAGTGGCCCTCTTCTCACAGTTCCACTAGGCTGTGCCTCAGTGGGGACTCTGTGTGGGGGCTCCAACCCCCATTTCTCCTTTGCATTGCCCTAGTAGAGGTTCTCTCTGAGAGCTCTGTTCCTGCAGCAGCCTTCTGCCTGGACATCCAGGCATTTTCGTACATCCTGTGAAACTTAGGCAGAGGTTCCCGAACCCCAACTTTTGCCTTCTGTGCACCCGCAGGCCCAACACTACGTGGAAGCTGCCAATGCTTGGGGCTTGAACCATCTGAAGCAATGGCTTGAGCTGCACTTTGGCCCCTTTTAGCCACAGCTGGAGGTAGAGCTGCTGGGACCCAGGGCACCATGTCCCAATGCTGCACAGAGCAGCTGGGCACTGGGGCTGGCCCATGAAACCATTTTTCCATCCTAGGCCTCTGGGCTTGTGATGGGAGGGGCTGCTGTGAAGGTCTATGAAATGCCTTGAAGACATTTTCCTCATTGTCTTGGCTATTAACATTTGGCTCCTCTTTACTTATACATATTTCTACAGCCTTGAATTCCTCCCTAGAAAAAAAGTTTTTCTTTTCTACCACATGGTCAGGCTGTAAATTTTCCAAACTTTTATGTTCTGCTTCCCTTTTAAACATAAGTTATCTTTGTTTGTGCAAATGAGCATAGGCTTGTAGAAGCCAAGCCACATCTTGAATGCTTTACTGTTTAGAAATTTCTTCCACCAGATACCCTAAATTATCTCCCTCAAGTTCAAAGTTCCACACGTCTCTAGGGCAGGGGCAAAATGCTACCAGTCTCTTTTGTGCATTGATTTTGTATCCGAAAAACTTTACTGAAGTTGTTTATCTGTTCTAGGAGATTTTCTCTTGAGTCCTTAAGATTTTTCTAGGTATAGAATCATATCATTATCAAAGAGAGTGTATTAGTCTGTTCTTGAATTGCTATAAAGAAATACCTGAGACTGGGTAATTTATAAAGACAAGAGGTTTAATTGGCTCACAGCTCTGCAGTCTGTACAGGAAACATGTTGCTGGTATCTGCTAGGCTTCTGAGGAGGCCTCAGGAAACTTACAATCATGGCAGAAGGGAAAGGGGGAGAAGGCATATTACATGGTTGAAGCATGAGCAGGAGAAAGGGAAGGGAGAGGTGTTACACACTTTTACATTATCAGATCTCATGAGAACTCACTCACTGTCATAAGAACAGCACCAAGAAGATAGTGTTAAAACATTTATGGAAAATCCAGCCCCATGATTCAACCACCTCCTACCAGGCCCCACCTCAAACACTGGGGATTATAATTCAACATGAGATTTGGTGGGGTTCCAGATCCAAACCATATCAGAGAGATAGTTTGACTTCTTTTCTCATTTGGATGCATTTTATTTCTTTTCTTGCCTGATCGCTCTGGCTACAGCTTCCAGTACTATGTTGAACAGGAATGGTGGGAGTGGGCATTCTTGTCTTTTTCTGCTTCTCAAGGGTAATGCTTCTAGCTTTTGTCTGTTCAGTATTACATTGGTTGTTCATTTTTCATAGATGGCTCTTATTATTTTGAGGTATGCTCCTTTGATGCCTAGTCTATTGAGAGTCTTTATTATGAAAGGATGTTGGATTTTTTGAAAAATATTTTCTACATCTATTGAGATGATCAAATGTTTTTTCGCTCTTAATTCTGTTTATGTGGTGAATCACATTTGGTCATTTATATATGTTGAGCCAGCCTTGCATCCCAGGAATAAAGCCTACTCGATTGTGGTGTATTAACTTTTTGACGTACTGCTGAATTTTTTTGCTAGTATTTTGTCAAGGATTTTTGCATCTTTGTTAATGAAGAATATTGGTGTGTATTTTACTTTGGTAATTGTTTCTGCCAGATTTTGCTATCTGGTTGATGTAGAATGAGTTAGCAAGGAGCCTTTCCTCCTCAATTTTTTGGAATTGTTTCAGTAAGGTTGGTACCAGTTATTTGTACATCTGGTAGAATTTGGCTGTGAATCTATCCGGTCTAGGGCTTTTTTAGTTTGGTAAATTAATTTTTAAATTACTGATTCAATTTCAGAACTTGCTATTGATCTTTACAAGTTTCCATTTTCTTCCTGGTTAAATCTGGGTAGTTTGTGTTTCTAGGAATTTACTACTTCTAGATTTTCTAATTTTTGTCTATGAGGTGTCCATAATAAGGCTCTGAGGATCTTTATAATTTTTGTGGATAACTTGTAGTGTTATTTTTGTAATTCTGAGTGTAGTTATTTGAATCTTCTCTCTTTTGTTCTTGGTTAGTCTAGCCAGCAAACAATCTTATTTATTCTTCTGAATAAGAAACTCTTTGTTTCATTTATATAAGGATTTTTGCAACTGAATTTCACTCAATTCTTTTCTAATTTTAGTTATTTATTTTCCTCTGCTAGCTTTGGGATTGGTTTGTTCTTTTTTTCTAGTTCTTCTAGGTACAAAGTTAGATTGTTAGCTTGAGATCTAACTTCTTGATGAAGGTGTCTAGTGCCATAAACTTTCCTCTTAACACTGCTTTAGCTGCAGCCCAAGGATTTTGGTAAGCTGTGCCTCTGTTTTCATTAATTTCAAAGAATTTTGGGATTTCTACCTTAATTTCATTGTGCACCCAAGAGTTATTCAGAAGGAAGTTGTTTAATTTGCATGTATTATGGATTTGTGGAGTTTTGAGAGATCTTCTTGATATTTATTTCTCATTTTATTGTACGGTGGTCCAAGATTGTGCTTGGGATGATTTTGATTTTTAAAAAATTTAATGAGACCTGCTTTATGACTATGTGTTTGATTTTAGAATATGTTCCATCTGCAAATGATATAAATGCATACTCTGTAGTTTTGGATTGGAGACTCCTGTCTGTTAGTTCCCATTGATTAAGTGTCCAGTTTAAGTCCAGAATTTCTTTGTTAGTTTTTCAAGATCAATTGTTTTAAAAATCAAAATAAGCTGGGAAATGTCAGCTTACTTTCCAATTATTAAAGCACAAACTATGCTTTTGGATGTTTTGCCAAACTTCAACTAAAAATTGGCTGACTTAAAAAAATGCAATTTTTCTGGTTGCCAGGTAGTTATTTTTCCATGTGAAATACTGTCTTCAGGGGACATTTTGAATTAACAGAGTTGTTTAAACAAAATAGTCACTAAGCATAGCCAGTAATTACTTGCCACGATTTTATTTCCATTTCTTTTACAATCCTGACTTCCTGTGCAATTTAATCTGGAGTTGCCATCATGTTAACTGTCTCACAATTTATTCAATGGAAGTCTTCAGGGACCCCAATATGATGCCATTATAATGAGAGATTAGAATGCATAAGGATACAAGCCCAAAAAGGATCTATTATGATGCCAATTTGATGTCTCAATGAATATGATGGCAGAACTATTACAACACTGTCTTTGGAGAACCCACATTGAGGGATAGGATTATAAAGAGATGACAGACATATTATAATACATATTTGAGAGTTATGTCAAGTTATGAAAAAGTCAATCATGACTCCTATATTAATTCATGAAACACAGAGATGTCAAGGCCAGCCTCCTTCTAATGGTGTTAGTAAGCATCACTGAAGAATGATATGCTCAACAGAGACTGGTATGTGAGCTGATCAACAGTGCTACCGATGTCAGTTAGTCATTAACATAATGGCTGGTACATCCTTTATAGTGGCGTATCTCTATGCAACACAGATAGCATGTGGAAAGCAATGCCCTTTTCTTCACTGTTAAAGATCAAGAAATCATTTCAACATACAGTTCTTGAGGTAGTTCCCCTGTTTTACTGTTTTCTATAAATTCCTCAACCTATCAGTTCCTTCTATTTTCTAGGTATGGATAATTTACAAGTTAATTTTTAAAAACTGAATATTTTATTTAAATATTTTAAATTAGGCTGAAATGGGGGTATGGAATAATATTGAGGTTCACAATCTGGAGTTAAAATCTTGTATTTTAAAAGGTTCATGAACTTCCTGAAATTGTGTACTGAATTGTATGTAGAAATACAGCTAGACATTTGGAGTGATGGTGCAATTCTCAAAGGGTTTCTGATTCTAAAGGTTTACAGCAATGGTGCATGAGAACTTGTCTATTTTACAAGGTAAGCAATAAAACTCCTGGATATCTAGAGCAATAAGTACTCTCATTAATTATGTGCACATATCTAAAAGGAGGTGAAATTGTAAGATTAATGTGAATGCTAGGGTAGGAGCACATTTAAATAACAACATGCCATTTTTTTATGAACACTATTTCAAGGTTGTTTTTTTTTAAATATGGAGTATGAATTACCTTACAAATACCTCTTGATTTGTGATATGGTTTGGCTGTGTCCCCACCCAAATCTCAATTTGAACTGTATCTACCAGAGTTCCCACATGTGAGAGGGACCCAGAGGGGAGGTAATTGAATCATGGGGTCCAGTCTTTCCCATGTTATTCTTATGATAGTGAATAAGTCTCATGAGATCTGATGGCTTTATCAGGGGTTTTTGCTTTTGCTTCTTCCTCATTTTATCTTGCCACCTCCATGTAAGAAGTGCTTTTCGCCTCCCGCCATGATTATGAGGCCTCTCCAGCCATGTGGAACTGTAAGTCCAATTAAACCTCTTTTTCTTCCCAGTCTCAGGTATGTCATTATCAGCAGCATGAAAATGGACTAATACAGTAAATTAATACCAGTAGAGTGGGGCACTGCTGAAAAGATACCCAAAAATGAGGAAACAACTTTGGAACTGGGTAGCAGGCAGAGTTTGGAACAGTTTGGAGGGCTCAGAAGAAGGCAGGAAAGTTTGGATCCTCCTGGAGGCTTGTTGAATAAATTTGACAAAAATGCTGATAGCGATATGAACAATAAGGCCCAGGCGAGGTGGTCTCAGATGGAGATGAGAAACTTGTTGGGAACTGGAGCAAAGGTGACTCTTGTAATGTTTTAGCAAAGAGATTGGCAGCATTTTGTCCCTGCCCTAGAGATTTGTGGAACTTTGAACTTGACAGAGATGATTTAGGGTATCTGGTCAAAAAATTTCTAAGCAGCAAAGCATTCAAAAGGTGGCTTAGGTGCTGTTAAAGCATTGTTTTAAAAGAGAAATAGAGCATAAAAGTTCAGAAAATTTGCAGCCTGACAATGTAGTGGAAAAGAAAAACCCTTTTTCTAGGGAGGAACTCAAGCTAGCTGAAGAAATTTGCATAAATAGCAAGGAGCCTAATGTTAATCCCCAAGACCATGGGGGAAATGTCTCCAGGCCATGTCAGAGACGTTCACGGCAGCCCCTCTGATCACAGGCCCAGAGGCCCAGGAGTAAAAAGTGGTTTTGTGGGCTGGTCCCAGGTGCTGTGTGCAGCCTAGGGACTTGGTACTCTGTGTCCCAGCTGCTCCAGCTGTGACTGAAAGAGGCCAATGTACAGCTTGGGCTGCAGCTTCAGGGGGTGGATGCTCCAAGCCTTGGCCACTTACACATGGTGTTGAGCCTGCAGGTGCACAGAATTCAAGAATTGAGATTTGGGAAACTCCGCCTAGATTTCAGAAGATGCATGGAAATGACTGGATGCCCAGGCAAATGTTCTCCTCATGGAGAATCTCTGCTAGGGCCGTGTGGAAGGGAAATGTGGGGTCAGAGCCCCCACACAGAGTCTCTACTTGGGCACTGCCTAGCGGAGCTGTGAGAAGAGGGCCACTGTGCTCCAGACCCCAGAATGGTAGACCCACTGGCAGTTTGCACTGTGTTCCTGGAAAAGCCAGAAACGTTCAACACCAGTCTGTGAAAGCAGCTGGGAGGAAGGCTGTACCCTGCAAAGCCACAAGGGTGGAGCTTCCCAAGATCATGGGAACCCACCTTTTGCATCAGTGTGACCTTGATTGTGAGACATGGAGTCAAAGGAGATCATTATGGAACTTTAAAATTTGACTGTCCTGCTGGATTTTGGACTTGCATGGGCCCTGTAACCCCTTTGTTTTTGCCAATTTCTCCCATTTGGAATGGCTGTATTTACCCAATACCTGTACCTCCATTGTATCTAGGAAGTAACTAGCTTTCTTTTGATTTTACAGAGTCATAGGCAGAAGGGACTTGCCTTGTCTCAGATGAAACTTTGGACTGTGGACATTTGGGTTAATGCTGAAATGAATTAAGACTTTGGGGGACTGTTGGGAAGGCATGATTGGTTTTAAAATGTTAGGACATGAGACACTTTCTTGTTATGTCCTCAAAAGGGTTTTCCTTGGTGTGTAAACATGGAGAGAGAGAGAGAGAAATAGACAACTTCCTCTTCTTACAAGGCCACTAATCCCATCATTAGGGTCTTATCCTCAAGACCTTATCTAACCCTAATTATCTCCAAAGGCCCCATCTTCAAATTCCATCACCTTGGGGGATAGCATTTCAATATATGAATTTCAGAGGGGACACAATTCAGTCCAAAACAGAGGCCCAAGTTCATATAGCTAGTAAGGGAGACTTCCATCCTCAGTTATCTCTCTTTCCACTTTAACTCTTTACTTCTATCTCTACAGGGTCTTTGTTTCTAATAAAAATCCTCCTTATTGATGTTTCTCCTAATTTTGTTTGATCCTACTGCTATATTTATATTTGAAGTTGTTGATGCTTTTATTATTCAGTCAGTATCTGCAATAGAACAAATGTTTGTGTCCCTGCACTCCCAAATTCATATGTTGAATTCTATACTCAAGGTGATGGTATTAGGAGGTGCGACTTTTGGGAAGTGATTAGGATATGAGGGTGGAGCCCTCATGATAAAAGATCAGTGCCCTTATAAAAGAGACCCCAGAAAGTTCTCTCCTCCTCTTTCTACCACATGATGACATAGGAAGTTGGCAGTCTGCAACCTAGAAAGGGGCCCTCACCAGAACTCAACCATATGTAGTCCCCTGCTCTTGGGCTTCCAGATTCCAGAAGTGTGAGAAATAAGCTTTTATTGTTTATAAGCCACCCAGTCTATGATGCTTTGCTATAGCTGCCTGAATTAAGACAGTATCCTTTTAACATGTGCCAAACCTTAGGCTACGTTTGTTAAAGTTACCCAAATGAATGAGACACAGTTCTTACCAACAAAGTGGGGGGTGGATGGGGAGGAAGGAAATAAGAAAACTAGAAGAAATTGGGTACAATGTGTAAAGGGTGCATTCCCTCTGATCAAGGAACTCATCGTATTGCAAATGAAGTGCAGCAATTGACTCATGTATATGAGATTCCTGGTCTTATTTCATTTACCACTACCCTGAAGCAGCTGAGCTGATAGAACAAAGGAATGACCCTTTGAAGATTCAATTATGATACCATCTGGATAGTAATACTCTGTGAAGTAAGAATAGCACTCTCCAGTATGTAAATTATGTGCTACATCAGTGACCAATACATGGTCTTGTTTTTCCCATAGCCAAAATTAACTGGTCAAAAAACAAATTACTTCTAGTAATTTACTAGCAAAGATATTACTTATGTTCTTATTTTGGAGTCTATTTGAAATTTGTAGTCTACCAAATGTGCAATAGCATTATGTCTAAAAAATAAATACATATTTTAATTTAAAAATATTTTATTGTGAAAACTGCTAACAATCATCTGAGCCTTCAGTGACTCACAATCTTTTTGCTGATTGAGGGTCTTGCCACCATGTTGATGGCTGCTGACTGATCAGGATGGCTGTTGCTGAAGGTATGGGTAACTGTGTCCATTTTTTTTTTTTTTTTTTTTTTTTGAGACAGAGTCTCGCTCTGTCGCCCAGGCTGGAGTGCAGTGGCACAATCTCGGCTCACTGCAAGCTCCGCCTCCCGGGTTCACGCCATTCTCCTGCCTCAGCCTCCCAAGTAGCTGGGACTACAGGCGCCTGCCACTACGCCCGGCTAATTTTTTGTATTTTTAGTAGAGACAGGGTTTCACCGTTTTAGCCGGGATGGTCTCGATCTCCTGACCTCGTGATCCGCCCGCCTCGGCCTCCCAAAGTGCTGGGATTACAGGCGTGAGCCACCGCGCCCGGCCTGTGTCCATTTTTTAAAGTAAGTCTACAATGAAGTTTGCCACATTGATTGACTTTTTTTCACGAAAGATTTTCTCTGTAGCATGCAATGTTGTTTTACAGTATTTTACACACAGTAGAACTTCTTTCAAAATTGAAGTGAATTCTCTCAAACCTTGCCACTGCTTTATCAACTATGTTCATTTCATAGTCTAAATACTTTGTTGTTGTTTCAACAAACTTCAAAGCATCTTCACCAGGAGTAGATTTCATCTCAAGAAACCAACTTCTTTGCTTACCCATAAGAAGTGACTCATTCAAGTTTTATCATGAGATTGCAGCAATTCAGTCACATCTTTGGGCCCCACTTCCAACTCTAGTTCTCTTGCTCTTTCTACTACATCTGCAGTTACTTTCTCCACTAAAGCCTTGAACCTTTGAAAGTCATCTACTATGGTTGAAATCACCTTTTCTAAACTCCAGTCAATGTTAATATTTTGACATCCTCCCATGAATAACAAATATTCTTAATGGCATTTAGAATGGTGAAGCCTATCCAGAAGTATTTACAAATGACAATGGAATAATGTGCTATTGGTTTTGTGTGTGTGTGTGTGTGTTTTTTTTTTTTTTTTTTTGATGGAGTCTCGCTCTGTCACCAGGTTGGAGTGCAGTGGCACGATCTTGGCTCACTGCAACCTCCGCCTCCCTGGTTCAAGAGATTCTCCTGCCTCAGCCTCCCGAGTAGCTGGGACTACAGGTGTGCACCACCATGCCCAGCTAATTTTTGTATTTTTAGTAGAGATGGGGTTTCACCATGTTGGCCAGGATGCTCTCAATCTCTTGACCTCGTGATCTGCCCTCCTCAGCCTCCCAAAGTGTTGGAATTACAGGCATGAGCCTCCACGCCCAGCCTATTGTTTCCATATGAAAGACAAATATTGTTAACAGAGATGCCTATGGATGCTAAATTGACAAGGGTCAGAATTTGGTGATTTTGTATTGTATAAAGAAAAACCTACAATTTCTAGAATTATATTATGTGTCGGCTCTAAGTTAGAATTGGCCTCTTGGCAAATTTTGGGAGATTTTCAAGGTGGAAATGAAGCAGCAGCCATTATGCTTTAAAGATTTGTGTAGGTATTGTGGTCCAGGAATCATTGCAGTTCATGCACATCGTCACTGAGCTGCTGATTTGTCAGCTTAAAGCAGCAGCCAGGCACATAGGTTCCCCAGCTCCTACAAGTTATCTTTCAGCTTCTCTAAGTTCTGAGCTAGGCATATGTTCAGCTCCATGGCAAAAGTTGCCATCTTTTTCTAGAGGTCACCTACATTGATGGAGACCAAAGCTGTGATAGACAAGCATGGGTTCTAGTTGGTCATCTGGGATTTTGTTTTGTCTCTGTGGGTTACAGTCTACCCTGTCTCTCTTCTGCTTCAGGTCATAGTTTTCTTCTCTAATATTGATCCTGCTGACCCTTAGTGACTTTAGACTTATCACCTGGTGCAGAGGCAACAGCTTTTCAGTCTTCTTCATTGGCTACCACAATTGCATAAGATCCAACACCTATAAGTTTTTATATTTCATGTCACTCAGAGAGGTTCTGGTTCTCTGATAAAATCCTAATTGATATACTCTGCTTGGCTTCTCAGCCTCCTCACAGCCACTTTCTGCTAGGCATCTGTACCTGTGCCATTTATTATTTGGTGACTACCTCAGGAGGAAAACCTGCTTGAACTCTCAAGTTTACTCCTCTGCTCTTCAGTTTTCTTTGGGATCTTTGTTAGTCACTTATAGGCTCCTTTGGTAGCTGTGAACTTCATTTTTTGTTTTTTTCTTTCAGTTTCATGAAACTGACAAAAAGCTCTGCTCAACCTCTCTGACTCTTAGCAACCATTTCTACACAGCTGCTTAGCTTATCAGCCTCTCTGTTTAAGCCACATATGAGTTAGTAAATCCCTTGAGGGAAATGTATATTAAAATGTTTGCCAGATGCAGAGTACGTTTTCTCTTTTCTGTCAAAGCTTGGTTCCTCAAGTCCTGTCTTCTTCAATAGCTCTCTGATACTTTTAACCAGGCGTTTGTGGGTTTATTTGTATTTTTCAGTGTTTCTAGTTGTTCTCTTTCTCCGTTTTTCAAGATTTTGAACAAATAGCATTTCCGCTATCAAACTCTCCTTAACAACTTCCTTTCCAAGACTATAGGCAAACAGCAGTTCCATTGTTTATATATCAATAACACTTTGTACGCAGCTCTGTTGGCACTTACCTCACTCTAACGTTATTGTCAGTTAACATTTCTATATACCCTACTAGAATGTGTGTTGCTTGCAGGCAAAAACTGTTAATCCACATTCTATATCTTATGCACAGTACCTGGCGCATTGAGGGGCTCATTGTTTACTGAAGGAATGGGTAAATTATGTATAAATGCTCTATAAATGCTTACTCACTTATTCCAGAAGTTCAAATTTTTTGTCCTTTTTGATATTTATAATTGTTCTTGATAATATAATGTTTTTAAATACAGTGATGCTTGAGGGAGGCAGTATTTAAAATTACTTTTATATATCTATTAATACCTATTGATTCTTTGGTAGTTTACACAGTTTTGCAGTTAACCAACACAATGCTTATTCCAAAAAAAAATAGGATTTCAAGAAGTAAATGATAATGTTAATGCTTCATTATTCTTTTAATGATATCGCAAGAAGGACAGCAATCAACTTCGAGAATTGTTGAGAATAAAATAATCATCTAACCACTCCTTCCTCTATGAGGTCTCATGATCCATCTTCTATCTTCTGACTGTCTGCCTCCCCAGAGTGCCAGACGGAGTAATCTATTCACGTTAACTGTGAGGGTGAGCAATTCAGTCAATCATTTGAAATCTTTGTCTAACCAACACAAAGCATCTGGATATTTAGAAACCTCTAGACGACTGACTACATTTTTCACTTTACATCCAGATGTTTTGGTGTCATGAAGACACAGTCTATTGCTCAGAAAAATGGAATTGTGGTAAAAACATTAACACACGGTCTTTTCTCAAACAGTTCTGATTTACATTACTCATTTTCTTATGAGTAAATTTCTATTTATGCATGTTTCTAACATTGGCCAAACATTAGTAAACCAAAACCACACTATGTACAGAAAATAACAACTTTCTGAATATATAACCAGGAAAGAAAATTTTGTTTCCTTAGACACTTTTTATAAAGCAGACTACATACATCTTTGCCACATATGCATTGTCATACCTTGAACTTACGTAAAATATAGAAAATAACACAGTAGGGATGCATTTACTACAAAGAAGAAATCATCCAATGGGTGCAACATGCCTACAACCTCAAACAGAAAGGACCTGTAAGAATCTCAAGTTCATGGGAAAATGAGTCAATGCATTCTGGAAACATTATACTACTATGGTTCAACTTATCAATGGAAAAGAGTTAAATATCATTGAAGGAATAGCTTTAAGGTATTCATAAGGTCAAACACTTTCACAAACTAGCATGTTGTCTGTGCCTAATTCATGTACATTTTTAAAAGCAATATCCTTTCCAATTTATTTTTTAGATCTTCAAACCAGAAACATAATTTGTGATAACTCTGATTTCCAACTTTGTAACCTTTCCTTGGATTGACTTACTGTTAAAGTACTTACAGTAAGGCTGACCAAATCTGTCATGTAGGCAGTAGTAATAGCTGTATATAATGAAGTCCACTCATTCAAGTGTCTAGGTATATAAATTCATCCTTAATCATATGAAAAATGATCTCATAATTTACAGTGTTTGCAGCATACCATTTTAGATTAATTTCATAATTTTATATTGTTTAAAGGTCCTTTGTTCTCAGTGATTATGTATCTACCTAGTAAAATCTATAACATACGACTTTGTTCTACAAACCACTAATTTATAATCATTTTGCATATGTCAGTTCTGATAATTATGGTGCTGTACAATCTGTATGAGTTGACAGTATTTTGGCAGAAGCAGCCAGTTTTTATTATTATTATTTACATGGCAATTTCAGCTCTGTTTGAATTTTCATTGCATTTACAATTATCCTTCTGGGTTATTTTCATACCACTGAATAAAAATGGCTACCCTTACTTGATCTGTTTCAATACCAGTGACTCTAATATCCTTTAACAATTTAACTTTGTACATTTAAAATATTATTTTTTCACTGACTGGGAAGTTTTGTTGAATTCATATAAACCACTTAATATTGCGTTATACTATTTAACCGCCTTTGGCCATCCTCCTTTAAATTACATTTTGTCAGGATCTCCCTATTAGAAATTTCACTGCAAACTCTCATTGAAGTTAGGTTTTGAGATGCAAATGAGGATAAGGAAAAGACAAGCAAAACAAGCTGTTTGTCTTATTATTTTTCTACAAGTTCACATTCTGCTGATGAAATAATTCATGCATTTTAATGTTCATCATTACCTGAAGCATATTTTTATGTATTAGGTTATTACTGATTATTATTTATATAACACAGTTTACTAGATTCAAGCAGAAGTAGAAGACTATAAATTGAATACATAATTATTTTTGGTTAGAAAGATGATGGATTATTTTACATGCATAGTTGTCATATGCAATAGTGAAAATTAAATGTGAGTTGACTAATTCTTCCAAGGGTCAGAGTTTCCTATAAGTCCTCCAAATTTAGATTGTAATGTTGAAGGGCAAGTAGGCTGGGTGTGGTTTCTTCCTTGTAGGAAAAGGTGAACTCTTGACAGCTTCAAATTCACAAAAACTAATAGAATTTCAAAATTGGTTCTCAGAACAATCAAATCAAGAGGAAAGCCACAAGAGTCAGTCTAGTTATTTGTTATCAAGCAAACAAAATAACAGATGCCTTCAATTTTTTTTTTCAAATTGTTTTTTGGGATTGTAAAGGCACTGCATGGATCACGTGTTCCAGAGGATTCTGCTGTTCTGCTGTCAGGAATTATGTCTTAAACACACGTACACACACACACACACACACATGCCTATCTGACCATTACTTATAGACACACTGAACAGTGTGCCCAAGACTAGGGATGTCAAATAGTGGCTGTCTCCAATTCCTATTTTTTACTGCTAGATCTAAAGCTGATGTACTGTGCTGCCACAGTAGAACGTTTATCATGATCCAGCCCACAGACATCTTGGTTACACTAGTGGTTAGCAAAGTACTTCATGATCTTTATGCCTAAATGATGCCCGACAGTCAGGTTTCACTATCATTGCAGGAAGCAACTTCTTCCTACTTTTTTCATGACCTTGGATGATAAAAGGACATAAAGGGGAGTCTAACAACCTTCTTCATCTAAAAGGAAATGACATCTTTAAAAATGATCTCATCTCTTTCTGCAGAAAATAGAGTTATTATCCTCCCTTATCCTCCCTTCAGCTGCAGCCATTTTCTGCCCTCTAATATGTGAGGCCACCCATGACATGTAAAATTTAGTGAAGGTAAATTCAACTCACTTGGAGAATGACAAAAAGAAAAGGGGAGAAAAGAAAAGAAAAAAAAAAGAAAAGAAAAGAGGCTGAACGAGCCCACTGATTGCTGGTGCACTGAAGCTTATACAGCCAGGAGAAAGGACATCAAGCAGAGTGCATTTCCACATAAGTGACAGTGAGGAGTGAGACCTGCCAGTGGGCAGAGGGGAGAGGAAAAAGTGAGGCAATTTGGACTTCCAACCAGGGAAATGTGGCTATTAAAGCTAACTGTTGGATAAACAAAGGAAATGGAAATTTACTTCTAGATTAATCTGAATTAATTTAATTTGACAGCATGCATGGTTGAGGGGATAGAGCACTTGTCTGGTAGTCAGGAGCCTTGGATTTGCAGCTCTGCTACCAACTCTAGTAAATTGCTTTGCCTTTAGCCCTTCACAGAGATAATGGCAACTGTCCTTTGCTTTGTTTTCAAGATGTGCAATAATGTCCATAGAGTGTTTGAAGCTCTATAGAGCAAAGCTCCACATATAAGCATTTGATCCATTTGGAATTAAGCATATATTTTGCAAGTATTTTTGAGCTGTTACTAAGTATACAGTACTGTGCTAGGTGTGGGGAAATAGGAATGAGTAAGTCTAAATTCTAAATTCATGTATTCATGGAGCTAACAATTGAGTAGCAGGACCACTCACAAATGCAGGTGACTTAGGCAATATGGAGCATATGCAATAAAAAGAGATAAGAATAGAATTCTGGGGCCCTATGTAAAGTAATAATCACTTCCTGCCAAAGGGAAACAGGGAAGACATTTCAGAGAAAGGGAACTTTATGTGAAATATGAACGCTGTCTAGGCTATTGAAAAACAAAGATGTGAGAAGGGCCTTTTCATAGGAGAAGAAAGCATAGGTAGAAAAATAGTGCCTGATTTGAGGAATGCCAAGTAGCCTAGTTTGGCTATAGCAGAATGTGTATACAGGAAAGTAGCTGGGAATTAAGTTAGAAAATCTAAGTTCGGATGAGACTACAAGAACTTCCATACCAGGATAAGAAATTTGTGTTTCATTTATGGTAAGGAAAAGCCACATAGGGTATCTCATGGTACTGAGCAAAATGGCTGGAGCTTAATTTTGTAACAGAACAGATTGGAGTGGGGACACATTAGAAGTTCAGGCATCTAAGGTATTGGAATAAGTCCAAATGTGAGATATTAGAAAGCTGAATAAGATAGTAGCAGCAAGAATGAAAATAAGAAATCAGAAAGGAGTAAGTAGAGAAAGGAAGGGTGGGGGAGAAAGATAAAGAAAGAGAGAGAATGAGAGAGAGAGAGAGAGAGAGAGATTTGTTTTACAGATTGAATTGATAATAAATTCTGACAAATTGCATGGTTTGAGGGGAAATGAGTATTTAAAGATGACTCCTATATTTATGAATCAAGGGGATTTGTAATATGTAAATAAGCAGAACATTTCTGAAAATAACAATAATGGGTAAAATTTTGAATGTGTTAAGTTTCAGATATCAGTACTTATCTAGGTGAAAATATTTAAATATTAATTCAACATTTGAAACTGTAGTCCTGGGAGCTAAGGAGGGAAGTTGTTTCTGAAGATACAGATTAGGAAAAATCATTTGAATAGAAATGATATTTGAAATCATACATATGAATGAAACCACTATAGTGGAGATTATTAAAAGAGAATTGAAGACAACAAAAGACAGAATCTCAGGTAATACTTACAATATAGAAAACAGAAAAAATAAATTAGGTCAGCAGAAGAGACAAAGACAAATGATCATATAGTAGGAATATCCAAAAGGCTGAGGAATCATGCAAGCCAAGACAGCAGACCATTTCAATAGAGAGAGGTCAGTATAATGAATTGTGTTAAATGTTATGGAGAGGTCAACAGAGTGATGGCTATGAAAAAGCTGAAATTTAGCAGTTAAGAGGGTCATTAGTGACCTTCAAAAAACAGTTTCAATAGAGGAGTGGGGAGAAGCTGCTTGACTGCAAGTGGGTCAAAAAGTGGGTGGTGATAAGTAGGAGGTGACTGCAGACTATATTTTTGGAATGGTTGGTGGTGAAAGAAAGGCTAGATATATGCCATAATCTTCAGTGAATAGCTGTTCACAGAAAAAAAATTATTAGTTTAATTATTTGTCTTCCTTTTGGTGTCTCCTAGAGCAGAGTATATTAATGGGCATAAGGAAACATTAGAGATGCAAGAGAGATGGGGCTAATGGATGAAATAATCATACCAAAAGAGAGCAGAAGAAAAAGGTATTAGCTGTGGAAAAGAGGAGGGACATATTTTTCTCACAGACAAAAGAAGGAAAAGATAATGAAGAGAAATACAGAGAAACTTTGAGATGGATAGAAGGTAAGTCAAGGGGGTTCATGCAGGGTAGTCTTTTACTCGACAAAATAAGAAATTAAGTTATTTACTGAACACAGAGATAGAATTTTGGCTGAAAGCTTAAGGAGAGTGGAAATGATTTAGAATAACTATTGTAGAGATTACAGAATAGCCCCAAGAAAATATAAATTAAAGAATTGCTGAGCAGCAGCAAAGGACCAAATGAAGGTAAACTTAATCAGTACAGTTTCTTGATTTTCATCAGCAATATTCAGCAGCCTGTATAAGAGTGTGGAGAAAACAGAAATTGGGAATTTATTCAGGATTTAGGACTGGATGTGGAAAAAAGCCAAAGAGGCTAAGAATTCTAAGAGGCTATGAAAAAAATCACAATTAAATATTTGACCATGGCTTTTAGACTAGGGATAGTAGCAATTAAAACCAGTCATAATGATGGCAACTGTTGGTTTCGTAAATATGTGGAAGTTAAACATAAGGCGGTATTAATATAAAAGGGAGAATTTCAGAGATAAGCACTTAGAGGTCACAACATTCTAAATCATGACTGGTAATGAATTTTACTGACTTGATGAATAGCTTACCAGTCATGAATTATATATGTATCATCATTATTACCCCTTAAAACATAGAATTATTGATACATAAGTCCAAAGTTAGCATTTTATAAACAATGACATTATAAATCTAGTGGTATGGTAGTCAGAAAGAAATCATTCGTGGAAGTCTCATGATGTACCAAGTGCTATGCTAGAATATATATATATATACACACACACACACATGCATATATATGTGTGTGTATATGTATATATGTGTGTGTGTGTATATATATATATATATATAATGGGCATAAGAAAACATTAGAGATGCAAGAGAGATGGGGTTAATGGATGAAATAATGGTACCAAAAAAGAGCAGAAGGTGTTAGTCTTGGAAAGAAGGAGGAACACATTTTCCTCACAGACAAAAAAAGGAAAAGATAATGAGGAGAAATTCAGAGAAACTTTGAGTTCATGCAGAATAGTCTTTTACTCAACAAAGGAAGAAGTTAAGTTATTTACTGAACACGGAGGTAGAATTTTAGCCAAAGGCTTAAGGAGAGTGAAAATGATTTAGAGTAACAATTGTAGAGATTACAAAATGACTCCAAGGGAAAACAAATATACATATATATATATATATATATTAAATACCTTTTACTCTTTCACATACTCCTATGAGATTATTTCATGATTTTCCCAATCCTGCCCCCTTTTGAAAATTAATGAACTTAATTTCATTAATTACAGTTGTTGAGTGGAAAATGAACAGCTGAAATAGTTTTGAGCAAGAACAAAGATGGTGACATCACACTTTCTGATTTCAAAATGCATTACAAAGTGAAAGTAATCAAAACAGTGTGGCACTGTCATAAAAGTAGACACATAGGCCAATAGAACAGAATAGAGGTATAAACCCACAGATATAGAGTCAAGAATATACAGTGGAAAAAGTATAGTTTCTTCAATAAATGGTATTGGAAAAACTGGATATCTACACCTAAAAGAATGAAATTAGACCCTTATCTTACACCATACACAAAAATTAACCCAAAATGCATTAAATACTTAAATGTAAGTTCTGGAACCATAAAACTCCTGAAAGAAAACATTAGGGAAAAGCTTATTGGCATTGGTCTCAGCAAGGAGTTCTTGATTATGGCACACACACACACAAAAACACAGGCATAAAACTCAGTAGTAAACAAATAAATAAAAACAAAAACACCTAATAATCAGATTTTGTACAATTGTGAAGTACCTGAATAGACATTTCTCTAAAGAAAATATACAAACGGCCAACAGACATACAAAAAGATGTTCAATGCTAATCATTGAGGAAATGCAAATCAAAACCACAATGAGATGTCATCTCACACCTGTTATGATAGCCATTATCAAAATAACCCCCAAAATGCAAACAAACAAACAAAACAAAAAATAACAAGTGCTGGGAGGTTTTGAAAAAATTGGAATCCTTGTACACTGTTGGTAGAAATGTAAAATGATGCAGCCACTATGGATAAGAGTATACAGTTTTCTCAAAAAATTACAAATAGAACTAACATATGACCCAGCAATCTCACTTCTGGCTATATATCTAAAACAATTGAAATTTGTATGTCAAAGGGATATCTGCACTCCCATGTTCATAGCAGCACTATTCACAACAGCTAAGATATGGAAACAACTTAAATACCCATGGATAGATGAATGGATAAAGAAAACGTAGTATCTACATACAAGGAACATTGTGTATACATAGAAGGAAATGAAGGAAATCCTACTATTTGTGACAACATGGCTGGACCTGGAAGATTATGCTAAGTGAAATGTCAGCAACAGAAGGATAAATACTACATGCTTCATTTTATATGAGGCATCTAAAATATCAAATGCATAGAAGGAGAAAATAGAATGATGGCTAAGAGGAGATGAGGGATGGAAATAGGAGGAGTTGTTGTTCAATGGGCAAAAGTTAGTTATATAAGATGAGTAAGTTCCGGAAGTCTTCTGTAAAACATAGTGCTTATAGTTAAAAATAAGGCTTGTGCAATTAAACATTTGTTAAAAGGATAGAACTCATGGTAAGTATATTTAACACACACACACACAACCACACACACACTCACCCCCACCCCCCACACACACACACGCACCAAACAAACAGAACCCAAAGAAACACAAGAAAATTTTGGAGATGATGGATATGTATATTACCTTGATTGTGGTGATGGTAAGAAGAGTGTATACATATGTTCAAACTCATCAAATTATGTGAAGTTTTTTTATATGTTAATTATACCTCAAAAAAGCTGGGAAAAAGATAGGCAGAAATTAAAAATTAAATAAATAATGAAGATAAGTAACTTGACCAAATCCTATAGCTATTGAGTGGACAATGCGATTTGAGGTCAGGTTGGAATTTATGTCATTTTCTGGTCACTAGGATATGTTTTCTCCAAGAATTTACCTTGGCATATAGTGGTTACAAATAGTCTAATGAGACCGTTATGGTTTCTCTTCCCAATGTACTGGTTTATACAGTAGCTGAAGGATCTATGGTCAATATTTCATTTCCTTGCCTCACTAGGAGACACATGATAACCTAATGTAACCTGTAAATATGAGCTTCACCATGCTTGCAGGTCATGGAGATGGATACTAGTGAATTGAACTTGGCAAATAAGTGATTCTCCAGAGAATTACTTTGAACTTTGAAAGTGGATTTAGATTATGACTTAGGTAGATGCTCATTTTCATTCTTTGTCTCACCCTATTTAAATTTATCCTGCATCTACACAGCCCCAGAGACAAGAGAAATCTGAAAAGTTGTCCAAACACAGTATTTTATAAACCAAGCAGCTCAATTCATCAGCATGTTAGCATGGCAGAAAAAGCAAATATTTCTGGATTTTCAGCTGATTTGCACTAAGACAGAAGGCCATGCTGATTGATTTGACAAAAGTATATGATCAAAAATCCTAAACCTACAATGCTTCATTGTCACATGAACAATCACAGATTTAAATTCATAGAACTGCATTAATTTTCACCTGATGTGGTCTCAATAACATGTCAGATTTTAATGCAATTGACATATGTTATATATATATATTATATATACACACATATGTATGTATGGTCACAAATAAAAATGGTTCAATGTTAGCCTTGTTTTATTTTATCAGAAAGCATTACACTAGATCGACTCTATCTTGTGCTTTTAGAGCAACATCTCTGATTCAACTGGTCAATTCAACTATTCCATCATTACTGTAAAATTATTGGCTTAAAGATGTTTTCTTTCCCCATTTAACTGACTTGTTATTTGACTGGAGTCATTAAATCAATTGGTATTTCAACATTGGTTGGACAAATTTGTGATGATTATCTAGGCAGAGCAAGAAAACTACCCTGATATTTATGTAAAAATGTTATTTATCAGAAGCAGCTAAATAAATGCTAATACTAGTCCCTTAAACGTATCATTGTAGGAATAACCTTTGTTTCAGTTTATACTATTTAAATTCATTATCACTTTTAACTTTGATAACTTTACATTTTTCAACTATATATTTGGCAGCCAGAAGAAATGGCATATTTTATGAGCATTTACACAGTCATAAATTATGGGCATTAAACACATGCAATGATGCCAAATTACAGAAAGTCAAAGAACACCACAATTTGCATATTTATCTGAAGTTTTTGCACCAATAGTGAAAAGTAAAGTTATTTGCACACATGAAAGATTTATTTTAAACTTAGGAATAAACCAGTGCTTTTATTCATTCTGGTGACTGTTCCATTCATTGAATGCCTTCTAAATGGTCTGTGTTTCTGGTTGCAAAGTCATCATGTACCATTAAGCATTATGAAAAATGTCAGCATGCAATGAATCAACAACATTAAAAATGCTAAAAACAAGGACAAGTAGAAAGATAGATTAAATTTGAAAGAAAGCATGTGCTATACACTTGAGATTCTAACTTTAATTAACGTTAACCGAATGACATGAAGAAGATTTAGGTTTGTGGGCACTATGTTGAAATTCCAGTCTTTGAGAAAATGTAGTGATTCTTCCTGGATTTGACCAATTTAAATGGCTTCTTGAATACCAGAATGTTGAGATAATAGTATTCTTCATTCACAATGCCAGATACATGTTTTGTGGCTTATCTAACTTCCAGATCTTTCGTTCCTTTCAGACTTTGTTGTTGACATGTATTATCTATCCAACTCAAATTGCCCCTGAACCAGAAATGGACTTGTGAGCATTACAGAGCAGTCCTTGAAGTCCTCCTTATTGCTTTGTATTTTATCTTTTTCCTCTTTTTGGTGTTCTTTTCTCTCTAGAACTGCACTGTGCAGTATAGTAGTGACTAGCTACATGGGACTATTTAAAGTAAAACTAATTAAATTGAAATAAAAGTAAAAACTTAGTTCCTCAAATGCACTAGCCATGTTACTATTATTACAAAAGTTCTACTAGAACTATTATTACAAAAGTTCTACTAGAACTATTATTACAAAAGTTCTACTAGTGTTGCCCTAGAATCTTTATGTTGCATGCGCATTGTTCAGGGCTGCTATATTCTCTACTAAGGTGGAAATGGGGTATGTTAACATATTATTTGCACCCAGATATATTTGCACCATCACTAAAAAGCTATTGAAATGCCAAATGGTCTTTATAAGTAAAATAAATTTGGATTGCAAATGGTGGAAATTCAGATCCTAATCAAAGTAGGCGAGAGAATTATTTTAGGGAAGAGATTTCTTCTACCACCATTCAAATCATATCATAAACAAAGGTAGCCTTGCAGTCACTGATTCACTGATATGTGGAACTGTTTGTTTATTCACTCTGTCATTTTTTTTCCATTTGATTCATTCCATTTACTGTGTGACTGTCCCTTTCTGTGTGCTGAGTATACAGTATGATCAAAACAGATACGCTTCTATCCTCAATGGGTTTATACTCTAGTAAGGGATAGCAACAATTAAAGAGGCAATTGTACTCTATGGTAAGTGCCATGACAGCAATAGTAAAAGGAACACATAAATGCAACCAGCACGGACTTGGAGCAACAGGAGATGAAGGCAGCCAGTGAAAGATGTTTTCTTGTTGCTGTTGTTACTGTTGTCATTGTCGTCATTCTTTGAAAGTGAAACCTAATCTGAGACTTGAAGGATGTGCAAGAGTTAGTAATGGCAGAAGAGAAATGGTGTTTTAGACAGAGTATATACAAAGTCTTAGAGGCAAGGCGACACTCAATCTATCAGTTTGTGGCTAAGTTGTGTTGGGAAAGCTCACTAGGAATATGGGGGAAAAGGCACCAGATATTGCTTTATTTCCTTCTATTTGATGGTAAGGTGACATGTCCCTTTCCATTTATTTTGACATCTAGGAATACTGTGTCTAGCAGACTTCAGAGTCATACATTTATTATTTATCTCTAATGTATGTATTATGCCTATAATGGTCCTATATTATCTATTATAGAAATCGCTTCTACGAGCTGACTGCTGAAAGTTGGAACTTTTTAAAAGTTTGAAGAAACCTTGGAATAATCTGCCACCAGCTCTTTCTCCCTACTTATTGAGATGTTGCCATTTCCCCATTTCCTGACCTGATCAAATCTAAGAAGGCGTTCTTTTTCTTCATGTTTGCTCTTTTCATGCCCTTTGAATATATTTTTGTTTTATGAAATAAGCCAAACACATGATTTCATCATAAGCCACTTCAGAGTTCTTTTTTTGTGATGCCATTAAATAAAGAAAAAATAAATTTTCTTTCTTCATGAAGTTACCAGAAGAAAAGTTATGTGGTTGCAAATTATTTGGGAGACTTTAAATATCCTTTTCTCACTCTATTTGCATTTCTCTCCTGCCTAGAACATCCATTCTACTCCTAGCTTCTCCACATTGGAGTCCTTCTACACCTGTCCTCCTAGACCATGCCAACATTTTTCAAACTTGCCTGATGCCTTTTCCCTTCCTAATCAAAATTTGCCATTATTTTGTCTTGTTTTTCACAGCAACTTTGTGGAACAGTTAAATAATGCAATTATGGATACAGGGATTGAAAATAGCCTACTTGATTATGCGTCTACTATAATGTATGCTTCTAAAAGTGTACCTGTGTTATAGACTGAAGAGGGAATCATAAAATGGGATTTTATGCAAATCATCTTTATAACAGACTAGATAAGTGGTTTTCAAGCAGTGTTTCATAAAACTTAGGGTCAGTGGAGGTGCCAATGGGCATCCTGAGATGAATGGGGGAAAGTGTATATGGTTTAATGTTCCCTCATTTCCTGTTTAACTAGAGATGGTCCTCTTTTTTTCTGTTTCTGATCAGGAGTCTATGCGAGATTTTATGAAATTCACAAACCCCCGGACCATAACACTCTTAAGTGTACAGAATTTTGTTTATATTATGTTCTTTCCATGCTATCACAGTCCCTTGAGCATTGCAAGTACTCAAGGAACATATATTTAAAGAGTGATTGAATGAGTAAATGAATAAAGTAAATGTATAAGAATTTCAGTTTCCTTCCTGCTTATTTCAAGCACTGGATTTCCACTATAGTTTCTATGAACTTTAGGCAACATATTTCTTCTTTGATTTCATTTTCTTGACTTTTTTTCTATCAACATTTTAGCGACTTTAATTTATTTTTCTGTAGCATTTCAGATCTTAATAAATTTGGAGATAATCAATTTCATTATCATACATTTTAATTTATCATTAGTAGTCTTTCTACTCATACATTAATAAAAATATATTATTGAATGCTTATTTTACACACTCTACCTCAAATTATTTTCATCAGAAATCAATTGGGTCATGGATATGTCCATTTTATAAAGAAAAAATAAAGATCAAATAATACGCCCCAAGGTACCCATAGCTAGTAAGAGAAGGAACTGGGATACACACCCAGACTGATGTAATTCCAAGTGGCATGCTTTAAACTATTGCAGTAAACTAGCAGTCTTCCTCTAAACTTTTTAGATTTCTTTTCCTCATGTCTCTGCTTAAATAAACTGGCATAATCAATAACGATATTCACAAAGCTCTTTGTGTGAGAGGAAATCTACACTCCCTGACCTCGTGGTCTCTGCCTTGCTGAACCATGATGCCTAATGTTATAGGCAAAAGAAAAGCTTCTTCAGTTCTAAATGACTGCATTTCTTAACCCCAAGGTTCATTTCAGCAAGCTTGGCTGAGTACCACTTTAAGTAAGACAAAGGTGGGAATGATGAAAGTTCACAGTTAAGTTTATCAGGCAATGCCATATACAGCCATGGATGCTACAATTTTGATGCTAAAATATCTAACAGTTCCTTCATAGTTTCACCTTCTGATAATTGGTTACATTCATTCAAAAAAATAAGTTGTGTGCTTTTTCAGGTGGACTATGCAGTTGCATGGCATAAGATGATCCAAAATTGACAATGGAAGCCATTTATTCACCAGTAAACTGAATTTACTATGACTGTGTGTATGCCTGTAGATAATGAAGGTTAGGTCAGTACACTTTAAATAAAACATTAGCAGTAGCTTCAGTCAACTAAGATACTGCAAAGGGTAGTCTGTAAACTTAGAAATCAAACCCGTATTATATAAAGAAGCTCTAGACAAATGGGGAGCTGGATAAGCTCAAATAAAAGAATCACTAATAAGGCAAAATATAGCAAAACAAGAGGCAAAATTCTAAGAGAAAGTGACCAGAATGCTAAATATTAACTTGAACCACGAGAGACTACCATTTTTTAAGTCTAAACTGGTTTAATATCGGCAATTTCATATGGTTCAACATAATTACAGTTTCGTCAGAGATAAAGAAGAAGAAAATAAACACAGTGGAACCTAGAAAGGCTTCAAAATGTGAAACTGAAGATTACAAGAGGGAAGGAGAACAAAGAGTTTGTAATTTGTTTTCTGACCCTTAGACCTACTCTAAACATTATACACTTTTCCTGAGAAAAATATCCCGGTGGTTTCTGAAAAAAGAATCTCTTCTTTTGGTCTCTGTGGTCAGAGAATTGTATATAGTTGATTGGAATGGAAAGTGGATAAAGCAAATTGTTCCTGGATGAATTCAGTCACTGTCAGATTTTTCTGAAAGTCATTTTGATTTTGCTTAGCTATACTATGTGTGTGGTCTCAGTGTCGTGTTTTAATCTGGGATCTACAAATGTTTTATGTAGAAGGCCAGATAGTAAATATTTTAGATTTTGTGGGCCATGTATGGTCTTTGTCACATTTTTTTAAACAACTCTTTAAAAATTTATAAACTGTTTGTAGCTCAAGGGCTGTACAAAAACAAGCTACAGGCTGAATTTGGTTAGTAGATTGCAGTTTGTTGAGCCCTGTCTCAGATTTTCAAATTTGTACATATTAAGTTTTTTTTTCTGATTCACAATTTCCCTTTGTTTCCTCATGTTTCATTCTACTTCCCTCTCTCTTTGTCATTTTTCACATTTCATGTTATTTTCTAACCTTATCTCTGCTAACAAAAACCGAAAGAACCTGGGTAAGTCAATTCTGTAGATAGGACATCCTCATCTGGAAAATAGTTTGGACTCTCTGATCGCTAAGGTTTTTTCCCAGCTCTGACACCGTTTGATTATATTTTTAACCAATGATGGAAAAAATAAACATAAACATTGTGGAGACATCTGCTGGGAAAGCCAAAGTTTCTAAAGGGGAAAATAGATTTTACTAAAGATTTAACCCCTCTATTGTGTTTCTTTCCTCACACATGGGATTCAAAAATATTTGCTCTGCTAAAGCAAAAAGGAAGACAATATATTACTTTATTCTTTGAGTAGACTACTCCATATACCCTTATCTTAAGCATGTTGCTTTCTTTCAATATTTAGTGGAAGTCTTCCAGCTGGACTCTTTCCATTTTCCATTTACCATGACATCCAAAAAGAAGGAGAAAATTAGGTCATATGTCTCTCTCCTCCATCTGAAAGCAAAACAAAATGCACTTCTAATGATTTTGGGCAGATATCCCAACACCCATTTTTTGCATTTGGAACTATGTTACTTGATCAGAATGTAAAATTAGATCCTATTTAATCAGTCGTATCTTCAGTTATTATCCTTGAAGCAATTACTTCTTTCTATTTGGCTTCTAGGCTATTGTTCCCAATTTTAATCATCTCACTAGTTGATTTCTGCAATATTTGACTTCAAAAGTGGTTATATCCTATACTGTAGAGTAAATTATGAAGACATTGATAATATAAGATAGAACAAAGAAACAGACATTTCCTTTCCTTTTACTGACCCTCTGATCACTGACAAGTCCCATATGGTGGTTACTTCACATGTAATCCTATGGAATATTAAAACTGAAAAGTATTTAACTCCAGTTTCTTAATTTTGAGACAATACTAAAGTCCAAATGTGAAACCACTTGTTCTAATTAACTAGCTATTTAGGGTCTGAGCCAAGAATAAAATCCAGTCCTTCTAACTTTTAGTCTGAGCTCTTCCCATCGTACAATACCTCATGACCACTTAAAGTAATTTAATAATGTTTCTAAAAGACTCATAAGTCTGTAACTGTGAGTAGCAAAGAGCCTATCTATGTTTATCACTTGGGTTTTAATAGAGGTGAAGAAATTTGCTTCAAAGATTGTGGGGTTATACACACAGGGTGAAGCTGCCTTTTCAGGCAATCAGCCCTAGGCCTCCACAAAAATGTACTTCTCTTATTTTTTGATTATGGCAATTCTTTCAGGACTAAGATGGTATTGCATATGCTGAAAAGGGAACACTGCTGGTGGGAATGTAAAATAGTACAACCACTGTGGAAAACAGTGTGGAAATTTCTTAAACAAATAAAAATAGAACTACCATTTGATCCAGCAATCTCACTACTTGGTATCTACCCAGAGGAAAAGAAATCATTATATGAAAAAGGTACTTGCACATGTATGTTTATAGCAACACAATTAGCAATTGCAAAAATATGGAACTAGCCCAAATGCCCATCAATCAATGAGTGGATAAAGAAATTGTGGTATCTATATATACCATGGAACACTATTCAGCCATAAAAAGAAATAATGGCATTCGCTGCAACCTGGATGGAATTGGAGATCATTACTCTAAGTGGAGTAACTCAGGAATGGAAAACCAAACAGCGTATGTTCTCATTCGTAAGTGGGATCTAAGCTATGAGGATGCCAAGGCATAAGAATGATACAACGGACTTTGGGGACTTAGGAGAAAGGGTAGGAAGGGTGTGAGGGATAAAAAACTACAAATTGGGTATAGTGTATGCTGCTTGGGTGATGGGTGCACCAAAATCTTACAAATCACCACTAAAGAACTTACTCATGTAACCAAACACCACCTGTTCCCCAAAAACCTATGGAAATAAATGAAGGACTTCTCTTAGCTGCTGATGCTAACCAGAAACAATGTATAGAATTTCTAGTTCAAGCTTCAGATGCTTAGATACTTTTGCAACTAGTTAGCAGAAGAAAGGCACAAAGAGTGCACTTAGCACTTCTCCAGTGTCTCCTGCCCAGTCCAGCATGTAAAGAGAAATCTCAATTACCAATCCTTGAGGGAGACAGATAGAACTTCATGATCTGATTTTGCTGTTTTAAGCACTCTGCTATAGCATCTGAATTGAAGGAAGATGTAAACTGGCAGAAGCAGGGACCACATCTATTTAATTTGTATTGTATAGTACTTAGCATGGCGCCATGTATATATGAGCACTTGATAAACATCACTAGAGGAGAAATGCATTCCAAATGTATTTCTTGGCAATAAGCTTAGTTTTCATCCCCTTACGTGTTGGGGAACTAAATGTCACATTTTTCTCACTTTATGCTTCTTTAACAAAGACTTCATTCTTCCCCTTGGTAAAAGAGAAATTTTTAAATAAGAGTAGACCAGACTTCCAAGTGAGAGACCCTCACAAACAGGCAGAATGAGAATAAATCCTAAAAAATCTGTTTCAACTACAGACCACCCAAAACAGAAGATTTACAGACCCTAGCTAAGATCTGTGAGGATGATAACATTTTCTTCCTACTTTCTCAGCAAGACATTTTCCCAGTTTCAACGTATAGAACATGACTTATTGAATCAAATTTTATTCTCAAAGGAGAGATTTACCAATTCTACTGAGCTCCTTTCTTTCTTTGTCTTAGGTACCTACATCCATTAGTTTGAATGGGGACTCTGAACTGTAAGCAAGTACAGAATAGGTTATATAAGTGAATAAAAATCTTTTCATGATAGTTTATTCTTAAAGCTCAACAAGTCAGTGTGGGTCAGTATGGAGAGACAAAAATGTAATGGCATCATACTAAATGGACCCTGAAATCTAAAAAGAAAAAGTAAAATGAATAATTAATCTCATTTCATTATTCAACCCCAAAAGAGAACAAAATAGTCACAAGTTATTTTGATTTAAAGTACACCTGCCCTAGTAATATAGGCAGGAACACTTTTAAATATAGGCTTTTCATCTTATTTGTATCTGTTTAAGTAGCTTTTGAAAAAAATAAGTGAAATAACTTTATCAGTTTTGAACAAATAGTTCTTAATCCCAAGCCAATGCTTGCAGAGGCCTCAAGTCATGCCTTCCATTACATTCATAGGAGTAATCTAGATATATACAACATTATGTTGTTCTCTGTAATATTTCTGTATTTATTATTAATTTAAAGTTCTTTTGCAATCAGTAGCTGACACAAAAATTATCTATCTTACATAGAATATAAATCAGTAGCCCCATGTGTTGGTTAGACATACAGTTCAACAAGCATTACGGATGATGTACCAAAGAAGTTTAGAGGTAGAGAAGAGCAGAGGACAGCTTACCCATGGGAGAATTTCTCATTCTAAGAGTCTGTAGAATGGAGAGGCAGTTTTCAAAGCCTTTTGTCCAGAGTCATCTATTCCCCAGTTTACGTATGAAACACATTCTAATAGCCTATTTTATAAATGAACCAACCTCACTCATTGTATGGCTAGAAATGAAACCACATGGGTGATACTATTTATCAAAGCCTTTTTTTCTTCTAGGAATAAATAGTGGGTCCCCCTTGCAACTCATGGGGGAAAATTAATCCTAAAAGGATGCATGTGCCAGTGAACAGACTAAAGAAAACAGTGAAATGTGTCAAAAATCCAAAAGGAAAAGTATAAAAGTTAAGTCTACTTTAGCTGAGTGCACAGCTTTAATTGGCAATTTGAGCCAAATATTGTCCATTGAGAATATATTTAAAGTATCTCAGCAGTATGGCATGGTACACAGTCATGGGATGTGTTCCTTAAGACATATTTCCAGCTTTGTGAATTTCTGCATTTGCAGTGCAGGATGCGCCTTCCATCTCTAGGCTCAAGTTTCCAAATCCCGTGCAATAAAGCTTAGAAAGCTGCAGTTCCAAAAAGCCAACTCAGGAGGCAATGTTTGAGAATCAGACACAGGGAAAATAGTACCTGGCTCTATCTCACCAGTAGAAAATTTACTAGAATAATTAATAGAGTGCCTTCCTGACATCCCTGTCTGTCAGAGGTACAACTGATATCCTATTCGTTACTAAGACTCAGAACCATGACCTAACTCTGCCTCTATTTCATCTTTCCTACTGAGGTTATTTAACAATTTCTGTTGATTTTTTTCTTTATTTTTTTTTTCCTGAAATTTTTTTCTTTATTTCCACTAACTCTTTAATCCAGAGTCTTGCTATCTTATGCCTGGATTACAAAAAAAGAATTTATCTTCCTTCTCTGACTAAACTTTCCCCACCACTGTTTCCATTAAACAGTGTCCTCTACTATTCATCCTATATCTCACTGGTAGACAGAATTTTCTAAAACTCTGCTGTTCACCATGACATTCCCCCACTCAAAAAAAAAATTTTTTTTTAATGCTCAAATAGTTTTTTTTATTATTATACTTTAAGTTCTAGGGTACATGTGAACAACGTCAGGTTTGTTACATATGTATACATGCGCCATGTTGGTTTGCTGCACCCATCAACTCGTCATTTACATTAGGTATTTCTCCTAAGGCTACCCTCCCCCATACCCCCACCCCGTGACAGGCCCCAGTGTTTGATGTTCCCCACCCTGTGTCCAAGTGTTCTCATTGTTCAATTCCCACCTATGAGTGAGAACATGTGGTGTTTGGTTTTCTGTCCTTGTGATAGTTTGCTCAGAATGATGGTTTCCAGCTTCATCCATGTCTCTACAAAGTACATGAACTCATCCTTTTTTATGGCTGCATAGTATTCCATGGTATATATGTGCCACATTTTCTTAATCCAGTCTATCACTGATGGACATTTGGGTTGGTTCCAAGTCTTGGCTATTGTGAATAGTGCTGCAATCGAAATTTTTTTTTTCCAAATGGTTGACCCAAACCTCTCTGCATAACTTTTAAAGTCCTTGATAGTATGTTTCTGTAAAACTTTATTCTCACTAGTGTATATATGGTGCATCTAGTCAGGCTTACATTCATAGTTAAGAAAAATATGTAACTTCATTTCATTTCAGGTCCTAGGTCAAGCTTTCACTTCAGCTCCTAATAGGTCCTGGGCCAAGCTGAGCAGCCCCTGTGAATCATCACTTCATCTCCTGATTAGTCCCAGGTCAAGGTCCCGGACCAAGCTGAGTCACAGTTTCCCTGATTAGTCCCAGGTCAAGGTCCCGGACCAAGCTGAGTCACAGTTTCTCCAAGACAGGCCACAGACTAAGCACATTCCTCCCCCTTCCCAGTTCATAAAAACCGCAGACTCTAGCCTCATAGTGGGCAACACATTCAGCACCCCCCTGCCACCGGCACCTCAGCTGCAGAGAGCTTTCTTTTTTTGCTTATTAAACTTTCACTCCAGCCTCACTCTTGTGTCCATGCTCCTTAATTCTCTTGGATGTGAGACAAAGAACTCTGGGTACTATCTCAGAAAATGAGAGACTACTACATTTTGGTGCATTGGCAGGACTACAACACTACCTAAGGTAATAATACAATTTATTAATGGCTAATAAATTATGTATAGCTAATTTAATTGTGTGTCTTCTATTGTTATTACAAAAAGTCCTTGTTGCTATTTTTGTAAAATTCTCAGTTAAAGAGATTTTGGTGAAAAAAAGAATAACTGAATCAGGTAGACTCAACTGATAGGGGCACCCTAGATTCTAGTACCCTAAGGAGCCCATCTAGGTAAGCAGTATACCTCAAGAATAGTGCCTAAAGACAGCCTGTTTCTCTTGGATGAGCCATAAGTGACATTTCCACAGGATCATTCCCTATCTTATATCTTTAGAATAACAAAGAAATCAGTTTTACTCTATCTTAGATATTTGATCTGTGACAAAAGCAAAATATGCTTATTTCTCATTAAAAAGTGTATGTCAGGCTGGGGGTTAGCATAAAGGCAAGCAGATTGAAAAGGCTCAGTCATGTGCTGCCTGCTTGTTTTAATACTTTTGCTCCAAATAAGCTCATGCATTTCCACAGTTTAAAATTCCACATGTGTCTTTGGATGGGTGTTTCCCTTAAGATAAAATCAAATAGAATCAGAAAGAATGTACCCCCCCGACACACACATGCACATGTATTACTCCTTTTTTAGTCTCAGTTGTATACTATGGCTATTACTGGATGGCTGCCAGTATTCATATTGGTGAGATGCAATGTTTGAAAAAAAATTGAAAAGATATTTCTCCATATTGCTAGAGGAAATACATGATCTAATGATAAGCAATGGGTAAAGATCTTTCCAGGAGTATATATACCAACTTATAAAACATTAGGCACCCCATATCTATAACAAACTTGATCTCACACTGAGACAAAGAAGGAGAGTTGCAGGAGTTTCAGTCCTAATATAGTCCTTGTCATGCTTATGTCTCCACACCAGGTCACTGTTGGGAATCATTTTCCCTTTTGTGATAATGATTGGGTAGTGATTTTCTGTCTTATGTCAGTTTTTTTTTTTTGTCTTATATCAGAAAACTCAATAAGCCATTCTGCTATTCAAAAGGGGGCTTCAGAGAAAGCAGTTATTTCCTCACCAAAAGTTAATAGGACTCATTTAAGAATATTATTGACTAGACTTTGATAACAAATTACACTTAGGATAAGTTTCAAATATGTCCAAAACATAAATGTTAGAAAATTGAACCATTCAATTTTATACACAAGAACCATAATCCATCCACAGAAGTGGCCTGCTCAAGTAATTTTCTCAGGAGATATAGCAGACAAGAAATTTCTTAGTTAAATTTCATTTCTAGTCTACAAATCTTTTATATAAATATAGATAGTACAGTAATCTTTGGCATAGTCTTTGGTATTTAAGAAGGCCCTTCCTAGAAATAAATATAGTACTTCTTCACGTTTGGTCTATTTACATGCCTGGAGAGTTTATGTTATGGTGGACCGGTCTCAGCCTTTTTCTGAACACCAAGAAATTTCAGTACCATTATAAAAAAAGTTGCTCATCTCTGGGCTCAGCTTTATGATTATCATGTTTGTTTATATGCTGCTTTTCTGCCAAATATATGTAAGAAGGTATGCACAAATATGAGCAGTGCAATAAGATTTTCATTAAGTAAATGAAAAAATCATGGTGAAGAATTAGAAAGGTTAGTAAAATAAGATTAATCCAAAGGTGAATATCAAAAAAATTACGTGCTATGAGGTACAGAATGAAATGTAACATGTAACATTAGCTGCAGCACATAATTTTTTTAAATGTTCAAGAGAATTAAAATTATTTTCAGAAACACAACCAGAGAGAAATTTCTATTGCAATTCCTTGTATATTGTAGTCAATAATATCTTCAACAACTTGAAGTATATAATGTAGTCAATAATATCTTCAACAACTTTATAGAAAACAACCAACATCTTAAGGCTGTTTTACAATATCGGTCAATGTATGTCAATGGTATTATGCCATTATGACTAATCTTAGTGCCATTAAAGAAATTTTACATGTGTTTAGGACCAGATGAGGTGTGTCATGCGGCAAGCTAGGTCTGGCTTAAACCAAAGTCAAATTGAAGATTATCTAGAGGAATAAATTTTCTTTAGGTATTTCAGGTAATCTTCCAGAGATAATCTCTCACCTAAATTTTGATATGTATTTTGTGGCAGACTTTTAAGTAATACTCTTTGTCAAATCTGGGAGTGCAGCTAATCTATATTGCTTCTTAGGTGCAGACAGATGTACTTTAATAAGCGGATCACGAGGTCAGGGGTTCGAGACCAGCCTGGCCAACATGGTGAAACCCCATCTCTACTAAACATACAAAAAATAGCCAGGCGTGGTGGCAGGTGGCTGTAATCTTAGCTACTCAGGAGGCTGAGGCAGGAGAATTGCTTGAACCTGGGAGGCAGAGGTGGCAGTGAGCCGAGATCATGCCACTGCACTGCAGCCTGGGCAACAGAGCAAGACTCATCTTGAGAAAACAAACAAACAAACAAAAACTGAAATAAGATTGAGTTTATGCCTTCTCAGTAACATTGAGGACACTTACCTAAGGAGGTGTTCACTGAATTTATTTATGAAAATGAGCCAAGAGACTACCCGCAGAAAGGAGCAAGATTTATCCCCCAAATAGTTAAAGTCAGCTTCATCTCATAAATGAACAAGAATTCAAGTTCCCAGAGTTTTGTATCATAATGTATTTCCTCATAATTTTTAACTCAGATTATTTTTAACAGAATATAATCAAATATCCTACTTATCTTTAAAATAAAACTCATTAAAAACACTCATAAAACTCAAGCAATGTAATTCTCTAGTGACCTCTCTATGACTAGCTGCTTGAAAAACATAATCCTAGTTGACTGAAGAAATCTGCCAGTTGTGTAGGGTGATTATCAATATACTAGTCAAATATTGCAAAATGCCTACCAAGAATTATGACTTTTGCAATAGTGGATCTTAAGCCACCTTTTCTGGAAGTAATTGGATAGTAAGACTAGTCATTAATCACAGCCACAATTATATTATTACATTAAAACTCTTTAATCTGCATATTAGAGCACATTTATCAGCTTGGCCTCTTTAGGGGTAAGAGGGTATACATTTAAGTATTATGAGCAAGTATAATTTGTATGCCTAACATAGTACTTTGATTGTCATATGGATGAAATGTCACAGATGATTAAATAATTTTTTGAGATAATCTACTTCCATAAAATATTTAGTTCCCCATTTTGGGCCATGTTATCTGTAAATCTATCATAGGGGTTGGCTCCCTTAGGTCCTTATTACCTAGGGAAAGAGAATACCATATGACTGTAGTTCACAGACTGTATTTTGAATTAAGATTTCCTGGAGCTCATTACAAAGGCAGATTCTGTACCACATTCTCAGATCTTCTGCTTTAGAAATTCTTGGGTTAGAACCAGGGAGTTCCATTTTAACAATAACCTTAGAGATAATTCTGATGCAAAGTATCAGCAGATCTCACTGTGAGAAACACTTCTTAGGACATTATCCTCCAGCACCATAATTAAGAGGATTATTTGATGGCTATGCCCTGAAATAATAGGACACAGAACACCCCTAGAGTATGAGAGTAGTGAACACTCACAACAGATATGGAAAGGTGCAAACGGTGTCATCTACTTGGTAATGTAGCTCAGGGCCTTCCCTGGTTGCCTGCCCATCCAAGGTTTTACCATTACCAAGAACTATAGGAATTTGAAGCATAGTCTTTCTGGGAATTTCCATACACTTTGAAATTAAAGAGCACAGGCATAAATAGAATAGTAGCACCAAAAATTAAAGACCAGAAATTTCTGTACTTCACAATAAGCAGTGCTGTAAGAAAGAGTTGGTGATGATAGTGATTTCTAAAAAAGTACCTTTTCCCCTTTACCTTCTAGAATGCAAATCAGTTCACTTATCCTTTAATCAGAGGATAGTCTTATGTTTTCATTTTCTTCAGTGTAGTAAAAATATTTAATGACATATCCTATTAGATGTTTCTTTTGGAATTCACATGACAGAAATCAATGCAGCTAAAATATTGTCACAGCAGGTCTATCTACAATACGTATTCACTCTTTAATCCTTGGACTATAATGTGAGACATAAATACACAATAAAAGAGAGGAGTGGCATTATCATTTGTCATAGCAAAAACACATTTAGCGATCAAGTAGTTGGTGTAATATACCTAGTGATTTGGAAAATTAGATGTTAAAAAAGAATAGAGTATAACAGAAAGAAGAGAGAAAGAATTCTTAGATGTTTTCAGATAAAGTGCATTTTAACAGGAACAAAGACTACATAGAAGCAGATGCACATTTGACAAGATCAGAGTCCTTAGGCTATAGCATCTTGGGGAGAACCGAAGAAAGAGAAAACACAAAACATAAGTAATAATAATAAAAATGAACAATACTTTCTTTAAACAATTACCAAGTTACTACTGTTTTTCAGGTGCAGCCATCGGTCTTAGGGTTACAATAAACGAAGAAACAAACAAACAGGACTTTTGCTGCCAAACAGCACACAATCCAGTGGAAGAGACAAAAAGCTGGCAAATAATCACAGTACAGTGAATTTAGTACAATAATAGATATTCAGAACTTGTTTAAGAGCTCAGAATAGGGAGATAATAATCTCGTCTGTGAAGGGAGAGGTTAAGGAAGACTTCATGGAGCACCTGGCTTTTCAATGTTGAACAGGAATTTTTAAAGTGTACAATATTCCCCTGTAGCATTATAATGGAGAATAACTGAAGAATAGGACACAGAACACTCGTAGATTTTGATAGAAAATGAGCACTTGTAGGTTAAATGAGAAAGTGCAAATGGCATCACCTACTTCATAAAGTGGCCCAGGCTTACAGTATTCAGAGACTTTATCGCATTGCCAAAAGAAGCTGTATTATTATTTTTTAGAGTTAGTATATATTATATAGCTTCCCAGAAGTAGTAAATGACTAAATCTAGATTTCCACCACCCCAAAGCATCAGTTTTTAACTTGGTAACTGTGTGTGTGTGTGTGTGTGTGTGTGTGTGTGTGTGTGTGTGTGTTGAAAGGCTTTTTATTCTTCTATTTTCTGGATAGAATATTCTATTCTTCTATACTCTTGGAATTCCTTTCTGTACTCTGTAGGAGCCTTGTGTTTTATCTTCTCTGACATTACCATAATCCTCTTTATAATATTTTGTCCATGTCCTTCCTTTTTTCCTTAATTGTCCATCGCCAGCCAAATTAATTCTCCCTGAGGAAACTTCCAAAATCTCTGCCTTTCCAAAAATCACAAGAACATCAGCAATGGAGGAGGAGAATAGGCTTTTTTTGAGGGGAGAAAGGTAGGAAGCAGGGCAGGCTGGCTAGAAGGGGGAAGATTCCATTAGAATGGGTTCTAAGGGGCTAAGTGGGAAAAAGGTTCTCAGGGGAATTCATGCAGCAAGTACATCCAGAGCATACCAGATTATTTCACCAATGCAGCAAAGGGATGCTCTCTTAGTGGTGTCTATTACCACTAAATTAAATCCTTTAGATACCTGGTGTTTTCCTCTCTATGGGGAAAAATCTTTTATATGAAATATCCCTGCCTCTCTCCAAATGCTCTTCTCCTCCTCTACACTCCAAATATTGACCATTGACCATTTTCCATTCGTTTTTCTGTCTTGATTTAATCCAGTTACAAACTTTTCTTACCTACTTAATTTGCTGGCCCTCAAATAATCAAGAAACATTGTAAAAACTTCACATAATCTTTAGAAGGACAGATGCTTTAATTCTTATCCTGGTATTGCATGTGCCTAGAGGAAACAGGAAAATGCTTAAAATGGTTCCAGCTAATTTCAAAGAGAAAGGCGTAAACTGCTGCCTGAAGCAGAAGGCTGGAGAAGACTGCCTATGTCATCACAAGCAGCTGTTCCTATCCCAAACAGGGGAATGAGGAAGGACTTGGATACCAGCTGGGTAACGGAAGTGGAGAGAGATGAAATACATAATTTTGATTAAAATCTTTCTTCTGTAACTTTCACACATATTTCTGCATAAACATTTTCCTTTTTTAGCCTCAAATAAGAGTCAATGTGGCTCAGTGAGGAAACACATACATATATACACACACATAATAACTGAGACTATGGGTTTTAGCCTCATGCAAGATTCTTCTTATGACCTTGGACAAGCATCTTCACCTACATGTGTTACATTATTCTCATTTGAAAAAACATTGTAAAACAAATTCTGAATAAATTTTGGAATTGCTTTGTGAAGGAAAAAATATGATTTTCATTATTCTGATAAAGGTGGGTTTTATAAATTCATAAAGAATATTATACTTTTACTTTTAGATAAACATGGACTATTAACTAAAAGTAGAGCAGTAGCATGTGACATTTAACAGATTAGAAATGATATAATTAGGGAGTGGCCAAGATGGCCGACTAGAAGAAGCTAGGTTGTGTCGCTCTCACGGAGAGGAATGGAAGGGGTAAGTAAAAACAGCAACTTCAACAGAAACAACCAGTTACTGGCATTGGGGACCAATTGAGGAGAATGTACTGGCATTGGGACCAATCAAGAAAACAATGCAACCCACAGAGAATGGACAAAAGCAAGGCAGGACAATGGCTCACCCAGGAGTGACACAGAGCCAAGAGAACCTTCCCTACCCAGGGGAGCAGTGAGTAAATGTGCAACCCTGGGAAACCATGGTTCTCCCACAGATCTTTGCAACTCTTGAGTCAAGAGATCCCCTCATGAACTTACTCCTTCAGTCTGACACACAAAGCTATGAGAAATCTCAGCAGAACAGCCACTCAGGCATGTGCAGAGACCTGGGAGCTTTAGATACTCCATCTCTGGGCTTCCTGTCGAATATAACTGCAACTCCAGCAAAGTGGGACATTAGACCCCCATGCATATCCCTAGGAAAGAGGCTGAATCTAGGGGGTCACCTAGCAATGGTCTGTAGGCCCCACTTCCATGAAACCTCACAGAATAAGACTCACTGGCTTAGAATTCCAGCCAGCCACCTATAGCAATGTTGCAACTACCTGGGCTGGAGCTCCCATGAGAAGGGGCAGGCTGTCATTTTTGTGGTTTGTGCATTTAAACCAGTCCAGTCTGTGGGCTTTGGAGAATCCAAACCAACCAGAGGTGGAAGGAATTCCCCAGTGCAGCATAGCTGGTCTACCAAAACATGGCCAAACTACTGCTTTAAGTCAGTCTCTGGTCTCTTCCTCCTCACTGAGTGGGACCTCCAAATGAGGGCCTCCAGCCACCCCTGCCAGTGTTGTTCAGCCTGCAGAGATTTGAAAACTCCCTGGGATGGAACTCCCAGACACAGGGGCAGACAGCTATCTTTACTGTTTGGATGACTTAGCAGTTCCAGCCTTTGGGCTTTGGGAAGCCCAAGCCAAACAGGGGTGGAAGTGGTACACATGCACAGCACAGCAGCCCTACAGAAAATGTGGCCAGACTGCCACATTTTTAAACCAGGTCCCTGACCACATTCCCCATCACTGGGTGGAGCCTCCCAACCAGCATCTCTGGCCACCCTCATCAGTGATCTTTGACTGACAGAGGTTTCAGGTCTTCCTGAGATGGAGCTCCTAAGTGGAGGGGTGGTCCACCATCTTTGCTATTTGGGCAACTCAGCCACTCTGGCCTTTGGGCTTTGGAATGTCTGAGGCAACCAGGGGCTAAAGTGGACCCCTAGTACAGCACAGCTGCACTACAGAAACATGGCCAAACTACTTGTTTAAGTGGGTCCCTGATCCTGTTCCTCCTTACTGGGCAAAACCTCCCATCCAGGGACTCCAGCCACCTCCTACAGGTGCGTTTGGACCAACAACATGTCTGTATCTCCCTGTCATGGAACTACCAGAGGAAGGGGCAGGCTGCCATCTTTGTTGTTTTTCAGCCTTCACTGGTGAATACCTCCGAGTACTGGAAAATCTGAGGTGACTAGGGACTGGAGCAGACCCCCAGCATACCACAGCAGCCCTATGGAAAAGTGGCCAGGCTGTTAAAAAAAAATGCAAAGGTCAGCACCCTCAAAGATTGAAGGTAGATAAGCCCATAAAGATGAGAAATAATCACCACAAGAATGCTGTAAACTCAAAAAGCCAGAATGTCCTCTTTCCTCCTAATGTCAGCATCACCTATCCAGCAAGAGTTCGAAGCCAGGCTGAGGCTAAAATGCCTGAAATGACAGAAGTAGAATTCAGAATATAGATAGAAAAAAGTTTACTGAGCTAAAGGAGTACATTGTAACCCAATTCAAGGAAGCTAAAAATCAAGATAAACCATCGCAGGAGCTGACAGACAAAATAGCTAGTTTAGAGGAGAATGTAACCAACCTGATAGAGCTGAAAAACACACTACAAGGATATCATAAGGCAGTCACAAGTATTAATAGCAGAATAGACCAAGTGGATGATAGAATCTAAGATTCTGAAGATGGAATTTATTAAATAGGACAGACAGAAAAGAATACAGAAAAAATGCAAATGAATAAACAAAATATAGAATTATGTAAAGAGACTAAATCTGAGAAATATGAGATTATGTAAAGAAAATGAATCTATGACAGGTTGCTGTATCTGAAAGAGATGGGGAGAATGGAATCAATTTAGAAAACATAGTTAGGATATCATCCATGAGAACTTGCCCAACCTAGCTAGAGAGGCCAACATACAAATTCAGGAAATGCAGAGAACCTCAGTAAGATACTCCATGAGAAGATAATCCCAAAGACACATAGTCATCAGATTCTCCAAGGTTGAAATGAAAGAAAAATTGTTAAAGGCAGCAAGAGAGAAAGGCCAGGTCACCTACAAAGGGAAGCACATCAGACTAACACTGGACCTCTCAGAAGAAAACCTACAAGCCAGAAGAGATTGGGGGCCAATATACAACAATCTTAAAAGAAATTCCAACCCAGAATTTCATATCCGGTCAAACTAAGCTTCATAAGCAAAGAAGAAATAAGATCTTTCTCAGACAAGCAAATGCTGAGGAAATTTTCACCACCAGACTTGCCTTACAAGAGCTCTTGAAGGAAGTGCTAAATATGAAAAGGAAAGACCATTACAAGCCACTACAAAAACATACTGAAGTTCACAGACCAGTGATGCTGTAAAGCAACCACATAAACAAGTCTACAAAATAGCCAGCTAACATCATGATGACAGGATCAAATACACACATATCAATACTAACCTTACATGTAAATGAGCTAAATGCCCCAGTTGAAAGACACAGAGTGGCAAGCTGGATAAAGAACCACGACCACTGGTATGCTGTCTTCAGGGACCCATATCACATGCAATGACACACATAGGTTCAAAACAAAGGGATGGAAGAAACTGTACCAAACAAATAGAACATAGAAAAATGCAGGGGTTGTAATCCCAGTTTCTGACAAAACAGGCTTTAAACCAACAAAGATAAAATAAGACAAAGTAGGTCATTATATAATGGTAAAGAGCTCAATTCAACAAGAAGATTTAACTGTTATAAATATATATACACCCAACTCAGGAGCACCAAGATTCATAAAGCAAGTTCTTAGAGACCTTCAAAGAGACTTAGACTCCCACACAATAGTAGTGGAAGACTTTAACACCCCAGTGACAATATTAAACAGACCATCAAGACAGAAAATTTAAAAAGATATTTAGGTCCTGAACTTAGCACTGGATAAAATGGACCTGATAAATATCTACAGATCTCCCCACCCCCAAAAAACAGAATATACATTCTTCTCATCGCTGCACAGCACATACTCTAAAATCAATCATATAATCAGAAGTAAAACACTCTTCAGCAAATGCAAAATAATTGAAATAATAACAATCTCTCAGACCACAATGCAATCAAATTAGAAACAAAGACTAAGAAATTCACCCAAAACCATACATGACTTTTGGGTAAATAATGAAATTAAAGCAGAAATCAAGAAATTCTTTAAAACTAATGAGAACAACGATACAACGTACCAGAATCTATGGGACATAGCTAAGATAGCGATAAGAGGAAAATTTATAGCACTAAATGCCCACATCAAAAAGTTTAAAAGATCTCCAGTTATCAACCTACTATCACAACTAAAAGAACTAGAGAACCAAGAGGAAACAAATCCCACAGCTAGCAGAAGACAATAAGTAACCAAAATCAGAGTTGAACTGAGGGAGCTAGAGACATGAAAAACCATTCAAAAGATCAACAAATCCAGAGGGGTTTTTTTTGAAAATAATAAAATAGATAGACAGCTAGCTACACTAATAAAGAAGAAAAGAGGGAAGATTCAAATAAACACAATCAGAAATCACAAGGGGAATATCACCACTGACATCCACAGAAATACAAACAGCCATCAGAAAATATTATGCAAATAAACTAGAAAATCTAGAGGAAATGGATAAATTCCTGGGCACATACACCCTTCCAAGACTGAATCAGGAAATAGTTGAATCTCTGAACAGACCGATAATGAGTTCTGACATTGAGGCAGTAATAAATGGCCTATCAACCAAAAACAGGCCAAGACCAGACAAATTCACAGCTGAATTCTATAGATGTACAAAGAGGAGTTGGGACTCCTCACAGCTGAATTCTATAGATGTACAAAGAGGAGTTGAGGAGGAGGGACTCCTCTCCAACGCATTCTATTAGGCCAGAATCATCCTGAAACCAAAACCTGGCAGAGATACAACAAAAAAAGAAAACTTCAGGCCAATGTCCTTGATGTCCATTGATGCAAAAATTCTGAACAAAATACTGGCAACCAAGTCCAGCAACACATTATAAAGCTTACCCCACACTATCAAGTAGGCTTCATCACTGGGATGCAAATTTGGCTCCACATATACAAATCAATAAATGTGATTCATCACATAAACAATCATCACATAAACAAACCTGAAGACAAAAACCACATCATGATCTCAATATAAGAAGAAAAGGCTTTTGATAAAATTCAAAATCCATTCATGTTAAAAACTCTCAATAAACTAGGTATTGAAAGAATATTGCTCAAAATAATAATGGCCCTATATGACAAACCCACAGTCAACATCATACTGAGTGGACAAAAGCTGTAGGCATTCCCCTTGAAAACCAGCACAAGAGAAGGATGCCCTCTCTCACCACTCCAATTCATCATAGTATTGGAAGTCTTGGCCAGGGCAATCAGGAAAGAGAAAGAAAAAAAACGGCATCCAAATAGGAAGACAGAAAGTGAAACTATCCCTTCTTGCAAATGACATAATTATATATCTAGAAAACCACATAGTCTTAGCCCAAAAGCTTTGTAAGCTGAAAAACAACTTCAGCGAAGTCTCAAGATACAAAATTAATGTGCAAAAATCACTAGCATTCCTATACACCAACAACAGTCAAGCCACAAGCCAAATCAGGAACGAACTCCCATTCACAAATGCTACCAAAAGAATAAAATACCTAGGGATACAACTTACTAGGAAGGTGAATGGTCACTACAAGGATAACTACGAACCACTGCTCAAAGAAATCAGAGATGACGCAAACAAGTGGAAAAACATTCCGTGCTCATTGATTGGAAAAATCAATATCATGATAATGGCCATACTGCCCAAATCAAGTCATACATTCAATCACATTCCCGTTAAAATAACATTGACATTTCTTTACAGAGCTAGATAAAGAATATTTTAAAATTCACACAAAACTAAAAAGGAGCCTGAATAGCCAAGGCCATCCTAAACAAAGAGAACAAAGCTGGAGGCATCATGCTACCCAACTTCAAACTATTCTACAGGGCTACCATAACCAAAAGAGCATGGTACTGGTACAAAAACAGACATATAGACCAATGCAACAGTATAGAGAACCCAGAAATAAGACAGCATACCTACAACTATCTGAACTTTGGCAAACCTGACAAAAACAAGCAACGGAGAAAGGATTCCCTATTCAATAAATGATGCTGAGATTACTGGCTAGCCACATGCAGAAGATTGAAACTGGACATCTTCCTTCCACCATATACAAAAATTCACTCAAGATGGATTAAAGACTTAAATGTAAACCTCCAAACTATAAAAACCTGGAAGACAACCTAGGCAATACCACTCAGGACATAGGCATGAACAAACATTTTATGATGAAGATGCCAAAAGGAGTAGCTATAAAAGCAAAAATTGACAAAGGGGATCTAATTAAACTAAAGAGTTTTTGCACAGCAAAAGAAACTATCAACAGAGTAAACAGATAACCTAGAGAATAGAAGAAAATTTTTGCAAACTATGCATTCGGCAAAGGTCTAATATCCAGCATCTATAAGAAACTTAAAATTACAAAAACAACATAAAAAAGTAGGCAAAGGGCATGAACACTTTTCAGAAGAAAACATACATGTGGTCAACAACCATATGAGAAAAAGCTCAACATCACCGATCATTAGAGAAATACAAATCAAAACCACAATGAAATAGCATTTCACAACAGTCAGAATGGCTGTTCTTAAAAAGTCAAAAAATAATAGATGCTGTCAAGGTTGAGGAGAAAAGGGAACCCTTATACACTGTTGCTGGGAGTGTAAATCAGTTTGGTCATTGTGGGAGACAGTGTGGCAAAATACCATTCAACCAAACAATCCCATTGCTGGATATATATCCAAAGGAATAGAAATCATTCTATTATAAAGACACATGCACATATATGTTCATTCCAGCATGATTCACAGTAGCAAAGACATGGAATCAACATAAATGCTCATCAATGATAGACTGAATAGAGAAAATGTGGTAAATATACACCATGGAATACTATGCAGCCATGAAAAAGAATGAGATCATGTTCTTTGCAGGGACATGGATAGAGCTGGATGAGATTATCTTTAGCAAACTAGCACAGGAACAGAAAACCCAATACTGCATGTTCTCACTTATAAGTGGGAGCTAACTGATGAGAACACATGGACAGATAGAGGAGAACAACACACACCGGGTCTTTTCAGAAGGTGAAGGGTGGGAGGAGGAAGAACATCAGGAAGAATAACTAATGGGTACTAGGCTTAATACATGAATGATGAAATAATCTATATAACAAACCCCATCATACAAGTTAACCTATGTAACAAACCTGCACTTGTACCCTGGGACTTAAAAGTTAAAAAAGAAATGATATAATTTTTAGTGTATAATTATTATAAAATTAAATCCTCACAGAGAAGTTTTTCACAGACAATATGCAGTTGTGGGCTGCTGTAATAAATGACCAGTTTCAAAAAACTAAAAGAAATTAGAATAATAGAAGAAATTCGAATGACATATAGGAGAATAAACTTAGAATAACAAAGTCATTCCTAAGCAAGAGAGAAAATCTATAAGCCATAAAAGTTGACTAATCTGATTATAAAATTTTTAAATTTCTGTGTGACTTAAACACTATTAGCATAGTTCAATGAGAAGTGGTATAACTGGCAACTACAGTTTCATAATATACAACAAAGGGAAACAAAGTTCCTATATATATAAAGAGTTTTTTATAATTCAATAAAAATAAATTACCTGAAAGAAAATGTATCATGTACAAGAAAAGAACATTTACAGAAGAAATACAGTCAAGAAGCATGACAAGGTAATCAGTCTCACCAGTAGTCCAGAAATTAATATTAAAACAAGATAACGTTTTTCAACTATAGGCAAAGTGTTATTCTCATAACGTAGTGACAGATGTGTAAATGATTACACCTTTTTTGGCCCATAAATGAGTGTATCTAATAAGGAGCATTTCTATCACCAAAAAGTCTCTGTCCTACAGAAACACTCTCATATGTGCACAAAGATATATGGATACGGATATCTATGTCTCTGTTGTTTCTCAGGGGGAATACTTTCAACATTTTCTTGTTCAGTATAATGTTGGCTGTAGTTTTGTCAGAGATGGCTTTTATTAACCTGAGGTATGTTCCTTCCATGCCAATTTTGCAGAGGGTTTTAATCATAAAGGGATGCTGGATCTTGTCAAATGCTTTTTCTGCATCTATTGAGATGATCATATGATTTTCGTTTTTAATTCTGTTTATGTATCACACTTACTGACTTGCATATGTTAAACCAGCCCTGCATCCCTAGAATGAAACCCCCTTGATCATGGTGGATTATCTTTTTTATATGCTGTTGGATTCAGCTAGTATTTTGTTGAGGATTTTTGCATCTATGTTCATCAGGAATATTGTCTGTAGTTTTCTTTTTCTGTTACATCCTTTCCTGAATTTCATATTATGGTGATACTATCTTCATAAAATAATTTAGGGAGGATTTACAATTTCTCTATCTTTTGGAATTGTTTCAGTAAGAGTGCTACCAATTCTTCTTTGAATGCCTGACAGAATTCAGCTGCAAATCCATTCTGTCCTGGACTTTGTTTTGTTGTTGGAAATTTTTTAAATTACTGTTTCAATCTTGCTACTTGTTATTGGTCTGTTTAGAGTTTCTATTTCTTCCTGATTTAATCTAGGAGGGTTGTACATTTTCAGGAATTTATCTATCTCCTCTAGGTTTCCTACTTTGTTTGCATAAAGGTGTTCATAGCAGCCTTGAATGATCTTTTGTATTTCTGTGGTATTGGTTGTAATATATCTTGTTTTATTTCTAATGGAACTTATTTGACTCTTCTCTCTTCTTTTCTTGGCTAACGTAGCTAATGGCCTATAAATTTTGCTTATCTTTTCATATAGCCATCTTTTTGTTTCATTTATCTTCTGTATTTTTTTGTTTCAATTTTATTTAGTTCTGCTCTGATTTTTGTTTTTTCTTTTCTTCTGCTGGTTTGGTGTGTTTTTTTTTCTCCAATTCCTTGAGGTGTTACCTTAGATTGTCTATTTGTGCTCTTTCAAACTTTTTGATGTAGGCATTTAATTCTATGCACTTTTCTCTTAGTACCACTTTTCTGTGTTCCAGAGGTTTTGATAAGTTGTGTCATTATTATTGTTCACTTCAGATAATTTTTTAATTTCCATCTTTCATTGTTGACCCAAGGATCATTCAGTAGCAGAGTATTTAATTTCCATGTATTTGTATCATTTTGAAGTTTCCTTTTTGAGTTAATTTTCAATTTTATTCTTCTGTGGAGAATATTTCATTTGCTGTTGGAAAGAATGCATATTCTGCAGTTGTTGGGTAGAATGTTTTGTAAATATGTTAAGTCCATTTGTTCTAGGGTATAGTTTAAGTCCATTGTTCCTTGGTTTAGTTTCTGTCTTGATAGCCTGTGTAGAGCTGTCAGTGGAGTATTGAAGTCCCCCACTATTATTGTGCTGCTGTCCATCTCATTTATGTGTCATAATAATTGTTTTATAAATTTGGAAGCTTCCATGTTAGGTGCATATATATTTACAACTGTGATATTTTCCTGAACTGTTCCTGTTATCATTATATAATACCCTCCTTTGTCTTTCTTATTTATTATTGCTTTAAAGTCTGTGTTGTCTGGTATAAGAATAACTACTCCTTCTCACTTTTGGTTTACATTTGTATGGAATATATTTTTCCACCCTTTACCTTAAGTTTATGTGAGTCCTGATACATTAGGTGAGTCTCTTGAAGACAGCAGATACTTGGTTGGTGTATTTTTATCCATTCTGTCATTCTGTATGTTTTAAGTTGAGCATTTAGGCCATTTACACTGAACGTTAGTATTGAGATGTGAGGTACTGTTTTATTCATTATTCTAGTTGTTGCCTGAATACCTTTTTAAATTTGTGTTACTGTTTTATAGGTCTTGTGAGATTTATGCTTTAAGGAGGTTCTATTTTGGTGTATTTTGAGGTTTTGTTTCAAGATTTAGAGCTCCTTTTAGCATTTCATGTAGTGCAGGCTTGGTAGAGGCAAATTCTTTTAGCATTTGTTTGTCTGAAAAATACTTTAACTCTTCTCCATTTATTAATCTTAGTTTTGATGGGTACAAAAATTTATGGCTGGCAATTATTTTGTTGGAGGAGGGTAAAGACAGGACCCCAGTCCCTTTAGGCTTCTAGGGTTTCTGCTGAGAAATCTCCTGTTAATCTGATAGGTTTTCCTTTATAGGTTAGAATTACTTCATTTTCACAGTCATACTCTTATGATCATTTTTCTAATTAGCTCTCTAGTTTTCTATATTATTTCCCTTATATTAACAATATTAACAACAAAATTAACACACACCAGCACTGTAGATGTCCAAGAAGTAGAGACAGCATGAACTATTTTACCTGACTTTAGATAAACTGATGACTGTGATGATGAATTTCTCAGGTGTTGAGCTTTTTCTATTTGGATGTCTAGATCTCTAGCAAGTTTTCCTCAATTATTCCCTCAAATATGTTTTCCAAATTTTTATATTTCTCTTCTTTCTAAGGAACACCAATTATTCTTATGTTTGGTCATTTAACATAATTCCAAATTTCTTGGAGGCTTTGTTCAGTTTTTAAATTTTCTTGTCTTTGTCATATGGGGTTCATTCAAAAGTCTTGTCTTCAAGCTCTGATATTCTTTGTTCTACTTGTTCAGTTCTAGGTTTGAAATTTTCCAATGTATTTTGCATTTCTCTAAGTGTGTCTTTCATTTCCAGAAGTTGAGACTGTCTTTTTTCACGATATTTATTTCTCTGGAGACTTTAAAATTAATATCCTGTATTTTTTAAAAATTTCTTTAAGTCGGTTTTTATATTTCTCTGGTATCTCCTTGAGTAGCTTGATAATCAACCATCTGAATTCGTTTTCTGGCAATTCAGATATTTTTTCTTGGTTTGGATGTATTGCTGGGGAGCTAGTGTGGTTTTGGGGGGTGTTATAAAACCTTGTTTTGTCGGCCAGTGCAGTGGCTCATGCCTGTAATCTCAGCACTTTAGGAGGCCGAGGCAGGTGGATCACGAGATCAGGAGATCAAGACCATCCTGGCTAACGTGGTGAAACCCTGTCTCTTCTAAAAATACAAAAAAATAGCCAGGCGTGGTTGCGAGTGCCTGTAGTCCTAGCTACTTGGGAGGCTGAAGCAGGAGAATGGTGTGAACCCAGAAGGCAGAGCTTGCAGTGAGCCAAGATTGCGCCACTGCACTCCAGCCTGGGTGACAGTGTGAGAATCTGTCTCAGAAAAAAGCTTGTTTTCTCATATTACCAGAATTACTTTTCTGATTCCTTCTAATTTGGGTAAACTATTTCAGTGGAAAAATCTGGAACTCAAGGGCTTCTGTTCAGATTATTTTGTCCCACTGAGTGATCCCTTGATGTGGTGCACTCCCTGTTCCCCTAGGGATGGGGTTTCCTGCAAGCCAGACTGCAGTAATTGTTATTGCTTTTCTCGGTCCAGCCACCCAGTGGGGCTATCAGGCTCTGGGTTTGTGCTGGGGAATGTCTGCAAAGAGTCCTGTGATGTGATCTGTCTTCAGGTCTCCCAGCTGTGGATATCAGCACCTGCTCTGTTGGAGGTGGCAAGAGAATAAAGTAGACTCTGTTAGAATCCTTGGTTTTAGAGATGTTTTCTGGCTTTCTCAGATGCTGGTTATGCTAGCAGTAAAGTTGTCATGTAGACAGACTCAAGATCACTGGCCAGGATGTTGCAGGCAAAGAGATTAGCTGTTGTTTTTTTTTTTCCTTCCTTGGAGCAGGGCTGTTCTGTCAAAAGTTGCTGTAACGGCCTGAGTTGGTTGGCCTCCAGCTAGGATGTGGCACATTCAAGAGAGCACCAGAGCTTTTTGCCCGTCTCATGGAATTTGTAGCAGCCTGCTGCTTCTTTCAGAGGATCTGTGATTTTTTTTTTTTTCTGGTACACTCCTGTGTGGGTTCCCGGAGCAAAAGTCAACAGTGTGTCTCCACACACTCTTCTGTCTGTCCAAGTGGAAGTTACACATCATCCCTGTCTCCTGTCTGCCATATTCCCTTTACCTCCCCAAGACTGTTTTCCTTATGAACATTTTAAAAGGGGTAATCCTGAACAAAAGTCCCATTAGTGCTACTGCTCCTAAGTTTTGTAAAACAAGAGACTTATGGAAAATTTTCTACCAACTATGTACACCCTTTGTTTCCACACCATTTTGGTATCTGTCAAATTTTCCCATGAGTATGCCGCTACATCAGTGACTCTGATTAATCTGATCAACAGGGTTAAGATTAAATATATTTACTTTGTTTCATATGTCATTTAATTAAGTTTACTATCAAAGGGTTCCAAGTCTGAGCAATTGAATAAATACTATAAACCATCAGGGCCTAACTTTGAAAGTGGCTCAGTCAGCTTGCACTGCCATGACAGACTGGATGGCTTAAGCCACAGAAGTTTATTTTCTCACAGTTATCTAGTCTGGAAGTCCAAGATCGAGGTTCCAGCAGATTCAGAACACTAATCTTATCAGATCAGGGCCCCATCTTAATGACTTCATCTAACTTTAATTAAGTATTTCCCTAAAGTCCCTATCTCCAAAGACAATCACATTAGGGGTTAGGGCTTCAACATACACATTTGGGAGGTTGGAGCAGGGCAAACATCATGTTCATAATGGAAAGCCAAGTGGATTTATCCTTTTTTTTTTTTTTTTTTTGCTTTTTAAAAAATTGCCAGATATGCTGGTTACCTGGGTGACAAAATTGTATGTACACCAAACACCCGAGACAAACAATTTACCCATGTATAAAACCTGCACAGGTACCCCCTGAATGTAAAATAAAAATTAGGGCCGGGCACAGTGGCTCATGCCTGTAATCCCAGCACTTTGGGAGGCTGAGGCGGGTGGATCACGAGTTAAGGAGATCGAGACCATCCTGGCTAGCACAGTGAAACACCGTCTCTACTAAAAGCACAAAAAATTAGCCGTACGTGGTTGCATGCACCTGTAATCCCCGCTACTGGGAAGGGTGAGGTAGGAGAATCGCTTGAGCCTGGGAGGGGGAGGTTGCAGCAAGCCGAGATTGCACCACTGCACTCCAGCCTGGGTGATAGAGTGAGACTCTGTCTCAAAAAAAAAAAAAATTGGAAAGAAAAAAAAGGCAAAATTGTATTACTTCTCATGTACAACATTTTATGTTGAAAAAAATATATATATAAACATATTATGGAATGGCTAAATCTAGCTAATTAACATATGCATTACCTCACAAAGTTATTTTGTGGTGAGAACATTTAAAATCTACTTTATCAGCATTTGTCTACACTTAAATTGTTGTTTTTAACTGACTTCTCCACCTGCCTCAAGGTATTAATACAGGTATAAGAGGATGTATTAGTGATTGAATAGAATCTACCATGATATATAAACAAGAACCTAGTACAATTCTATATTCTATAATAACCCTGGCTTGTGAGTCAAGACTGAACTGAATACCTTCCGGAGCCAAGGCAGTGGTTCCTTAAAATACTTGAAAGCTTCTTATAGCCATCCCTAAGGTACAAATCACCATGTTTTCTGCAGGGAGGCAAGTTAGTGCCTGGCTTTCACACAAGAAGTACAGTCCCAGAGTGTACACGGTGCTCAAGGAAAGAAAATGTTATTTACAATGGTTGGGGGCCTATCAGCAGAACTTGTCATTAGTCAGAAGGCACGGGTTTATAGTGCCTACAATGTGGCCTCTTGGGTAGCTGGCAGACCTTAACATTCTTCGTTCAGTTTAATAATCTAATATCATTTTTGATTTTGGAGAGACTGCCTGTGGGCAATCAATTAAACTTGTGTTTTTTGTTGGCCATCAACAAGGCAGTATTCATCCACCCCACAGAAAAGAAAAGTGAGAATGGGAGAATATCTGAAGGTTATGCACAAGAGGTGCAGGAGCTTGAGCCATCTCTCATTGTTTCTAATAGACTTATGAAGGTTAAGGAGAATAATGGCTAATTCACAGTTGGTGCTAGTTAGTGGGGGATGACAGACTTGGTAGTAAGTTGAATTTAAGGTTCTGTCAAGGCTATGGGAGAGCCACACCAGGGCATTTACATTTGGAAGAAAGATTCCAAGGTGGTTTTGAAAGATGAAGATTCATTAATGTCCCTTCCTCTCCCACATCTCCCAAAATGTAAAGTGTTCCTTTCCACCTTCACAAATCAGTAGCCATAATGTTATATTTCTCCCCAGTCATCTCCTGTTTACATCCACATCTTACATATGGAAGAGTCAGGTGCAACAAGCACAAAATCATTTTTATAAAACTTAACCAGAACTATATATTTGGATTCTCTAGTCTCCCTTTTGGTCAGGCTGTCACCTTGAGAGTGTATCGACCACATCAGCCTAGGGCTACCATTGGGGGGAAAATGACATATCATGCCCAGGAATGGTCGGGCAGAATCCTGAATATTCAGTATAGGGCCTTATAACCAGCCCCACTCCTTTTGTCCTGATTATTATTCAGAAAGCTGCTGAGAGGAAATGATCCCATTCTGAAGAAAGCTAAATCCAATGAAAAAGTCATCTTACTGATGTGTGTGGATCAAGAGAAGATAAGAAAATTAGAATGAAAAATTATTTGAGATAATTTTTTAGAAGATACCCAATAACAATAACAGATACTTTTGAATGGAGAAAACTTGAGGTGCCATAATACCTGGACTATCAGCTTACTCTTGAGTCACTTTTGTGATAAAAAAAAAAATGTTCCATTTTCAGACTGCAAATGGTCCAGAAAGCTGAATACGTGACACCTGCTAGTTTTAAAGGCCATACTGACATGACCAGAATCAGCTAATAAGACTAGAACAGAAACTCTGTAACCTGAAAAAGTGTCATCAGCAGTGAAATAAAACCCTTAGCTTTGAGAAGGATTCAAATATCCAACATAGGCATTCTACCAGAAGTGGACAGGGCAATATGACCTGTGCTATGTGGCTTTCCTCCATCACGAAAAAATCAAGTAAATTTTGGCAGGGGTGACAAGCATGGCATGCATTGATGGCCTCTGCATCAGAAACATAGACTCCTTTACTTTGTTTCCCCTCTCTGATGATGGATGTATTGTCTGTGGCAGTACTATGAGAGACTCATACAGTATTGGTGGGTAATCTGATCAGTATAGACTTGAACAGAAGCTTTATTCACATCAGTCTTATCAGAGGATGGGCCCTTACCTGGCATCTACACACATGACTCTTGACAGTTTGGTCAGTAGCCAGAACTGCTTTCAACAGCCTATAGTCCCAAAAAGTAAGGTTTTCAATCTGTCAGTCTCTAGATTTCCAAATAGCGAAGAACTAGGCCATTACCAACAGTAATAACAAAACAAGATTCATTAGGAAGAATAGTAGTCAGATCTATGAGAATAGGCTTGAGTTCTGTCTTTGAGCAGAGTGGCTATGTCCATTTTTGTTTCTGTATAGCTGGAGCTAAGGTTGAACAGCTGCCATAGACCAGTGGACAACACAAGTTTAAGATTATCCTATGAGTGAACCAGGACAAGGAATTTAAGAGAAAATTTTTGAGTTGAGGGTCCCATTGTATCAGCACCTTTGCTTCAGGTGGCAGAGTGAGTGATACATTTTCTCCCAAAAGGATAGCTGCCACTTTTCATGTAAAATCAAGATACTAGTGGGGCAAGGATGGCTGCATTCTAAAATAAACTATTTTCATTTAAAAAGTGAGGCTTAGTAGGTCTTTCCCACCTTATTAGTCATTGAGTCTTACTTGATCCATACCAAAATAGAAATAACAAGTTAACAGTCACAAGGTATTTTTAGGTCTGGTGTCCATTTCATAAGAGCCCAATAGCAAGCTAATAGCTGATTTACAAAAAGAAGGATAAACACTACTGACCATTAGAGAAATGAAAATCAAAACCACAGTAACATCTCACATAAGTCAGAATAGTGATTATTATAAAGTCCAGAAACAACAGATGCTGGCGAGGTTGTGAGAAATCGGATCGCTTTTACATTGTTGGGGGGAATCTAAATTAGTTCAACCATTGTGGAAGACAGTGTGGAGATTCCTCAATGATCCAGAACCAGAAATATCATTTGACCCAGGAATCCCATTCCTAGGTATATACCCAAAGGAATATAAATCATTCCATTATAAAGATACATGTAAGCATATGTTCATTATAGCACTATTAACAATAGCAAAGACAGGGAATCAACCCAAATGCCCATCAATGATAGACTGGATAAAGAAAATGTGGCACATATATACCATGGAATACTATGCAGTCATAAAAAGGAATGAGATCATGTCTTTTGCAGGAGCTTGGTTGGAGCTGGAAGCTGTTATCCTCAGCAAACGAATGCAGGAACAGAAAACCAAATGCTGCATGTTTTCTCTTACAAGTGGGAGCTGAGCGATGAGGATATATGGATACAGGGAGGGGAACAACACACACTGGGGCCTGTTGGTGGGAGCAGAAGGAGGGAGAGCATCAGGAAAAATAGCTAATGTGTGCTGGGCTTAATACCTAGGTGACGGGTTGGTAGGTGCAGCAAACCACCATGGCATACATTTACCTGTGTAACAAACCTGCACATCATGTACCCCAAAACTTAAAACTTTAAAAAAGGGCAGGATAAGTTCAAAACCCCAAGGTTGCCTCCATGTGAAGGCTGCCTCCCTGTTCCAAAATACCTAATTGGAAAAAAATCATCAGTTATAGAGACTTGTAGATCAAAGTTGTGAATAGGGTTTTGAGTTTTAAAGGTACTAGCACTTCTCTATATGTGGCTTCTTTCCAATTGGGATAATCTTCTTCAGTATAAACAGATAAGAAAGTACAGGCATATAAGATCAATTTCTACTATAAATTCAAATGTAGAAGCAAGAGCAATAATAAGTATGCGAAAAACGTCACTCACAAGATTGCATTAGACTTTGCTTTCCTACTTTGAACTCAGTCCAAAGTCCATCAGTTTAAACAGGTCTCACCCCCTCCTCCAATGGGATTAGATAGGATGGTGATGTAAGAACTATATCCAACAGTCTTCAAAGTTTCAATTCTTTTTCTTCCTAAAATTCTCTAGCATATTCATTTAAGTATATATTAGCCCTTGGCCCCTGTATTAGTCCGTTTTCACACTGCTGACAAAGACATACCAAAGACTGGGAAGAAAAAGAGGTTTAATTGGACTTACAGTTTCACATGGCTTGGGGGGGGCGCCTCAGAATCATGGTGAGAGGTGAAAGGCACTTCTTACATGGCAGCAGCAAGAGAAAATGAGGAGGAAGCAACAGTGGAAGCCCCTGACAAACCCATCAGATCTTGTGAGACTTACTCACTATCACAAGAATAGCATGGAAAGACCAGCCCCCATGATTCAATTACCTCCCCTGGGTCCCTCCCACAACACGTGAGGATTCTGGAAGATACAATTCAAGTTGAGATTTGGGTGGGGGCACAGCCAAACCATATCAGTCCCTCCTGAGGACAAGCTCCACATCTAATCATCTTTGTATTTAAAGTAGATGAAGTCAGAATAACAGAGGGGGTGTGGAGAGGACCTGGAGGGAAGGTGTGGCTCCATTCCAGTAAACAAGACACTATCAGCTTTGAGAAGCCTGGCAGCTACTCATGGCTTAACTAAATGAACTTTAATGTTGTAGATCCACCAAAAGTTCTATATATTCATGCTGACACCATTTATTTCAGCTTTGGGGACACCTTGACTCAGTTCTTGCATTCACATTGCCTTTTAGCTGAAGCTTAGGGGTATGGCTCCATTGTCATGACTAAAACCTTCCTTTCTCCCTCCTCCAGCAGAGTAGAAACAATCAAAACACCATTTGAGTGCCTTGTTTAATCCTTTCACTCACTGCTCAGCTTTTTAACATTCAGTAACAGGTAGGACAGCCAGAGCCCTTTACTTCTTGCCCCCCATCACTTTTGCAACAGCATGCACTAATGGATCTCAGATAGTCATTTTATATTCCTAGCCTGGCTTGTAAGGCCCTCATCCTCTCTCCTCTAGAGAGCCATGTCTCTGTCAGCACCCTATCCTCATAATCAATAGCTGTCAAGAACTGTGAAGGGTCAGATATTATATTCTACTGGCCAAATAACAAGTTAGCCTGCTACAGTTTCACGGATGCTGGTTGGAGACATGAGACTCGCAATCAGAGACAAATAAATCTATTACTCACAAGGCAGCAAGCAGCATACCTTCATGTTTATGTCTGTTTTTCTTGACCCCAAGGCTCACAACTGTAATACAAAGAAGCACAAGTGGATGCTGTGCACAGTAGGTTTGTGTCACACCTGAGGAAGCTCAAGTTTGGGGAACCATTATCTTTTCTAATGAGCTGTAAACAAAACTGATTGAAATTTGCTTTGGAGGGAGACATCTGCATTATATTGGGGGGTAAAAATACCAATCCTTTGCTCTGGAAAATGATAGTTTCAATATATTTCAATGCTGTTTGTTTTATAAACATCCTTAAAAAGATAGTCCAGAACAAATGGCAGTTAATGTCCCCTCTTTTCACAGAAACGTAAGATACCCGTGGAAACACGTCTCCCAACAAGTATATGTGTTGTAATGTAACAATATACAAGTCATAATGTTAAGTAATGAAGTCTCAAAGGAATATGCATAATATGATTTTGCTTATGTAAAGACATATGATGTTTGGGTTGTGTTCCTCTACATGTTTCTACAAAATCTTAAACAACAAAAATATTCTCAGGTATTATTTATATATTAACAAACAAAAAAATTGAATAGAATAAAGAACCTATCAAATACTAAGGATATATTAAAAATGTAGGAATGTTTCTATTATGTTATTATAATAAATGTTATTAATACATTAAATTATTTGAAAACCATGCTCATAAAAATCTAGGTGTTCAAATGAGTTCTGTTTCAAGTTATAATAATATGTATTTTGCTGAACCATGCTTTGAAAAGTTGCTATATTTCTAGAAAGTCTGGGAGCTTAAATTTTAAGGAATCCAATAGATACAATGCAAATATCTGCTGTTAAGGTTTCTTTTTTTCCCTCTTCTTTAAATAAGAGGGAAGTCCATGTTCTGCTGATAGGAAAAAAAGTAATACAGATATACATATATATATATATATATATATATATATATATATATATGTGTGTGTGTGTGAGTATATATATATATGCACAGACATACACATATATGAATTTATGTGTTTGTATACATATATATATATATATATATATGTGGGGGGGGTATGCTTTGTACCCACACACAGAGACATGTAATGTGTTTTATATACTTTCAGTCTTTTTGTCTTTCTGTGTCCACTTTTATTTATGTGAAAAATAACAAAGAACTTTGATAAATCTGAAATTTTTGTAAAATGACTTCAAAGTTTCTTCACTGTTTTTCATTCATTCATTGATGAAGTATTTATTCAGTACTTAAAATATGACAAGCACTCTTCTACATGCTAGCCATACAGAGGTTAACACAACAATATGTCATCATGAAACTAATATTCTAATGGGAAACAAACAGTAAACAGAAAAATAAACGTTCTAATGTGCTACAAAAAATAAAAAGTAGAATAAGGGAATAGAGCTTTATAAATATGTTCCTTTAGGTAGAATAGTAATGGAACGGCTCTGTTTGGAACAAACACATGAAAAAAGTGACAGAATGAACCATGCAAAGTTGATAGTGAAAGAAGGCAGTCACGTAAAAAAATAACATCTTAAACTTAAATTTTTACAGTTGACAGGTGTAAAAAAAACACAGAGGTTTTAAATGTTCAGTAGTTTTAAGTTGTATATAAACATATCAACCTAATAATTATCTCTCCCACATAGGGTTGAGACAGTTAGACAAGAATATTAAAATAACTAGTAAAGATAAAAAAGGAATATGTTAAGCCATGATAATTTGAAAGGAAATAATCTATAAAAAGTTGTTTACCTTTTTAAACATTACTGACTCTGTTTTTAAATTTTATATTGAAATATCTCATATTGAATATCATAGAAAATATTATTAGAATAGTATAAGAAATACTTATTTATGTACCACTCAGCTTTTGCATTTTTTAACTTTTTTTAACATTTTGCAATTTTTAACATTTTATTTGCAACTCATTTCCCCTGTATTCTTTAGATGTAATCATTATCCTGCATTCTGTATTTGGATATAAGGGGAAGACTCTATGCAACACCCATGATGGATTCCTCTTGGCCTCACCTTTTTCTTATTTCTGCCATTGCTGTGAATACCATTATTGTGCCAGTTCTGACCGGTTTCATGCAGATGCAATTTCACAGCATCGTACCTCAGACACAAACAGTGTACTTCTTGCTCCCATCCCAGGGCTCTTTTATTGCTGTTGTGGCCATGAGACACTACAAGAACCTATTCAAGTTTCCTGCAAATTTCATACAATATCGAAGTGCAAAAGAGTGAATATCCCATAGGGCAAAATTTTGACCTTGATTATGGAAGCTAGCATAAAAATCCCATTCCTTTATTATCCCTAAATAGAATCCTGGGATGTGCTTCATATGGCTAATCAGATGGTCCCGTGAGATAGAGGAACCAGTGGCTTGTAGAGGTTTCCAATTTGATAATGTATCATTTTCTTGGCTCCCCCACCTTTCCTGCTTTGTTTTCCCTGTCCCGCAGTCCTGCTCCCTGAGACCATACACCCTGATAAATTATTTACACATAAATGTTTGTATCATGCTTTACTTTCTGAGGAATTCAGATGTCTTTTGATGTAACAGAGCTTTTCATTTCAATATTTTAATATAGTCAGTTTGTACTTCTTTCATGTGTTTTGTGGTTTGCAAAAAGTTTAAGACCTTCTCTCCTGCTCTAAAGGCACAAATATATTCTATATTTTCTTCTAAATGTTTATGGTAAAGCAAGAATCTACTTTATTTTTTTCCAAGTGGACAATAAATTAACTCAGTAACATTTACTAAATGAATAATCTATACTTTATCAACTTTCTATTATGAAAATTTTCAAACATACAGAGAAGTTGAATAAGTAGTATTCTGTTTGCTACAAGGTAAATGTTTATGTCCTCCCCAAATTCATATTTTAAAACTGAATCCCCAATATTATGGTATATGGAAACAGGGCCTTTGGGAGGTGATTAGTGCTCTGACAAAAGAGACCCCACAGAGCTTTCTTGTTCCTTCTGTCTTGTTGAGGACACAGTGAGAAGACGGTCATCCGTGAACCAGGAAGCATGCCCTCATCCGACATCAAATCTTCTGGTGCCTTGACATTGTACTTCCTGGCCTCCAGAAGTGTGAGCAATAAATTTCCATTGTTTAACAGTCACCAAGTCTATGGTATTCTGTTATAGTCACCTGAAAAGACTATGACAGTGTGCAATCATATAATTATTACCCATTGCTAATATATTGGTATACTGGATTGATCTGTAACTCTCTGTATGCATAAATGTCTTTCATAACTGCTTTTTAAAAACCAGAGTCCAATCAAAGTTAATGCATTTTAAAGCTTTAAATCTAAGGAATTTCTATCATCTTTTTCTTTCTTATGACAATGATATTTTGAAAACATCAAGCCAATTTTTGTGTAGAATAACTCCATTCTGGATTTGATTGTATCCTCTAGATGTTGTTTAACATGGTCTTTTACCCATTGTATTATTTCTAAACTGGAAGTTAGATATAAAGGCTTTATTTTAAACAAGTTAAATATTTTTGTCAAAAAATTGTAAGGGACACTGTGTGCTTCATATTGTATCACATCAGTATGTCTGCAATGTTAGGTTTTGCTACTATTCATGATACTAATTTTGATTACTTGGTTGAAGTGATGACTACCATTTCTAACAATTGTAAAGGTAATTTTTTCCTGTCATGATTATCAATGTAACTTTCTCTTTGTGAATTACCTTCCTTACTCTTAGAGAATGACGATTATCTTGTATATGCTGTATATTATTTTCATGTGTTTCCCCAAATATTTACTATTTCTTCATCTTTTTAAACAATGGGTAGTATTATACACATTGTAATAAATAGTATTTAAAATTTTACACAAATTTTATTATCCTTTATATTTTCTTCTGTAATATGCTTTTTGAATTGAATAGTTATGAGATTAATCAATATTGAAATATAAAAGCTTTCATTTATTCATTTTTACTGTTGTATAAGATTCTACTATAGAGATCATTAGCAAATTGAATGTTTATTGCGGCACTATTCACAATAGCAAAGACTTGGAACCAATCTAAATGTCTATCAATGATAGACTGGATTAAGAAAATGTGGCATATATACACCATGAAATACTATGCAGCCATAAAAAAGGATGAGTTCATGTCCTTTGTAGGGACATGGATGAAGCTGGAAACCATCATTCTCAGCAAACTATCACAAAGACAGAAAACCAAACACTGCATGTTCTCACTCATAGGTGGGAATTGAACAATGAGAACACATGGACACAGGGTGGGAAACATCACACACTGGGGCCTGTTGGGGGTGCAGGGCTGGAGGAGGGATAGCATTGGAAGAAATGCCTAGTGTAAAGGACGAGTTGATGGGTGCAGCAAACCAACATGGCACATGTATACCTATGTAACAAATCTACATGTTGTGCACATGTACCCTACAAAGGAAAGTATAATAATAATAATACAAAAAGAAACTGCCAAAAAAAAAAAAAAAGAAAGGAAGAAAGAAAATTACCTAGGAATGATAATGTATTAGGGCTGGGCATGGTGGCACACGCCTTTAATCCCAGCACTTTGGGAGGCTGAGGCAGGTGGATCACTTGAGTCTAAGAGTTCAAGAACAGCCTGGACAACATGATGACACCTCATCTCTAAAAAAAAAATGCAAAATATTAGCTGAGCATGCTGGCGCATGCCTGCAGTCCCAGCTACTTGACAGGCTGAGTTGTGAGGATTGCTTGAGGCTTAGATCTTGAGACTGCAGCGAGCCGGGATCGCACCACTGAACTACAGCCTGGGTGAAAGAACAAGAGCCTGCCTTATTTATAATAATAATAATGTAAAGAAATTGATCATTTTTCTTGTCCCCAGAGGCAAGTCCAAAAGAGAAGGCTTTGAGGATTCCTGTTTTAGTCTTGTTACTGCTTACTGTCTTTGAGTAAACTTTTGGCATCCAATATGCAAGGGTAAGATAAGAGACAGAGCTTTTCTTCTCCAAAGACAACATACATGAGTTACAAATTTCCTATTCACTCTCCTGTGTGATATAGATTTCTCTGTCTCATCCATTTTAATTCTAATATTTACAGTCTGTTCCATGATGATCCTTGTTTTGGGGATTCAAATTACATCAAATGTTAAAGAAGACAACCCCAGCACTTTGGGAGGCTGAGGTGGGCGGATCAAGAGGTCAGGAGATAAAGACCATCCTGGCTAACATGGTGAAACCTGTCTCTACTAAAAATACAAAAAAAAAAAAAATTAGCCAGGCGTGGTGGTGGGCACCTGTAGTCCCAGCTACTCGGGAGGCTGAGGCAGGAGAATGGTGTGAATGGCGTGAACCTGGGAGGCAGAGCTTGCAGTGAGCTGAGATTGAGCCACTGCACTCCAGCCTGGGTGCTGGGCAACAGAGTGAGACTCTGTCTCAAAAAAAAAAAAAAAAACAAACGAAAACAGGACAACCATTTTTTTGTACACTAAAAACTGTAAAACATTGAAATATATTGAAAAAGATACAAATAAATTGAAAGAAGTCCTATGTAAATGAATTTGAAGAATTAAAATTATTAATACATTCATACTTCCCAAAGCAATCTACAGACTTAATGCAATCCCTGTGAATATTTCAATATAGTTTTTCCTAGAAGCAGAAAAAACAAACTTAAAATTTGTATGGAACCATAAAATACCCCAAATAGCCAAAGCAATCTTGAGCAAAAACAACAAAGCCAAAGGCATCACAGTACCTAATTTAAAAATATACTGCAAAGCTATAGTAATCAAAATAGCATGATTCTGGCATAAAAACAGACACATAGACCAAAGGAACAGAACAGAAGTCTCAAAAATAAATCTATGCATTTATGGTCAATAGATTCTCAACAAAATCACCAATAACACACAATGGAGAAACAAAAATCTCTTCAATAAATAGTGCTAGGAAAACTGGGTATACACATGCAGAAGAATTAAATTAGAACCTCATCTCACACCACATACAAAAATCAACTTAAAATGGATTAATGAGTAAAATGTGACTATAAAATTACTAGAAGAAAACGTCATAGAAAACTTCATGACATTGATCTGAGCAATGATTTTTTTTTTTTTTTGGACATGACCCCAAAAGCATAGGCAACAAAAGCAAAACTAGACAAATGGGATTACATGAAACTTAAAAGCTTCTGTACAGCCAAGAAACTGGTTAATACAGTGAAGAGTCAACCCTTAGATTAGGAGAATATATTTGCAAAACATACAATTGATAAGGGGCTAATGTCAAAAATATATAAGAAACACAAACAATTCAATAGTAATAAAACAAAAATGGGAAAGCACATAAAATAGACATTTCTTAAAAGAAGCCATAGGGAAAGTGGGCAAAAGGCATGAACATACACTTTCAAAAGAAGACATACATGTGGCCAACAAACATGTGAAAAAATGTTCAACATCACTAATCATGAGATAAATGCAAATCAAAGGGACAATGAGATACTATCTCACACCAGACAGAATGGCTATTAGTAAAATGTCAAAAAATAATAGATGCAGGCAAGGCTGTAGAGAAATGGGAATGATTATACACTATTGATGGGAATGTAAATTAGCTCAACCACTGTGGAACACAGTTTGGAGCATTCTCAAAGAACTTAAAACAGAACTACCATTTGGCCCAGCAATCTCATTACTGGATATACACCAAAAGGAAAATAAATCATTCTACCAAAAAGACATATGCACTCATACGTTCATTGTGGCACTATTCAGAATAGCAAAGACATGGAATCAACTTAGGTGCCCATCAACAGTGGATTGGATGAAGAAAGTGTAGTACATATACATTATGGAATAGGATGCAGCTATAAAAATTAAGAAATCATGTTCTTTGCAGCAACATGGTTGCAGCTGGAGGCCATTATCCTAAGTGAACTAGTGCAAGAACAGAAGACCAGTTACCACACATTCTCACTTAGAAGTGGGAGCTACATATTGGGTACACATGGACACAAATATGATAACAATAGACACTGGGATCTCCAAAAGGAGGGAGTGAGGGAGGCTGGAGTGTGGGAGTATTTGGGAGGTATTGGTCAAAAAAGACAAAATTTCAATTAGACAGGAAGAATAAGTTCAAGAGCTCTATTGTAGAACATAGTGACTACAGTAAATAACAATATATTGTATATTTGAAAGTTTCTAAGAGAGTACATTTTAAGCATTACCAGCACAAAAGAATGGTAACGGAGGCAATGCCTATGTTAAATAGCTTAATTTAGCTACTCCACAATGTGTACATAGATCCAAACATCATATTGTGCATCATAAATGTGTACAAACTCTACTTGTTAATTAAAATAAGACAACTACCATTTATCTCAGATTAGAATTATCTTTATATTTTTATTTAATCAACATTGCAGATTTATACTACTCCATTTTTATCATTGGGTCACCCTTTAATCACAATTGTCTTTTGGAAAATATTTGGGTGAAATAAAACCTAAAATGCTTTAAAGTATCAGAAAATACTTATATCAACTAACTATTGCTGTGAAACAAATTATCCCAAGACTTCACAGCTTAACAGAAAAAATGTTTATAGTTTGGGGTGGGGATCAGAAGTCCAGGTGAAGATTTTCTGGGTCTTCCATTTTAGTCTATCATGATGGGGAAATCAAGGTGTCTACATGGGCTGGGCTTTCATCTGAAACCTTGACTGGAGAAGGTGCTGCCTCCAAACTCACTTATGAGATTGTTGTAAGTATTCAGTTTCTCACAGGATGTTCAACTCAAAGCTTCCTCTTCTCATTGGCTGTCAGTTGGATATCACCCTCAAATCCTTGTTTTATAGATCTCTCTATAGAGCAGATTACAACACGACACTTAGCTTCATCAGACTGAGCAAGCAAGAGAGAGCCAGAGGGAGAACAAGACAAAAGCCCTAGTTTTTTTAACTGAATCTTGCAAGTGATATCCCATACCTTTTACCATAGTCTGTTTATTTGATGCAACTCACTTGACTCAGCATACATTCAAGGGGAAGGGGTTACACAGTGACACAAATATCAGGAGTCTGGAACCATTGGGAGCCAGTTTAGAAGCTACTTACCACAATGTTCTATGGTAAACAAATAATTTTGTGATTTGATATGTATAATTCTAAAGCCTTGACCAGTAAAGTCTATATTTAGAGAGGATAGTTAAAAATATTAAATTTTATTAAAAATGTGTTCATTTTCTAAAGTTGGAAAATACAGTACAGGGAAATAGAAAAAAAATCACCTCTGTAGTTCCACTACCCAGAAATAGTCACTGCTCCTTTCACATATTTACTTCCAATATTTTTTGTAAGTAGGGTGTTTATTTTTGTTTTAGTAATAATATTGAATATTAAATATTAAATCATATAGCTTGCCTTTTCTACTTAACATTATAGCGTAAGCATCTACACTGTTTTTATAAACTCTTTGCAATTATCATTTTAATAACTGTAACACAATGAGTAAACATTTCATTATTTATTTAAACCAACATCTATATCTTATATTCATATCATTTTCAGATTTGCTACTATAAATCAACCTATGATAGAAGCAACAATTTTCAGATAAAGATATACTTCTTAGTGGTAGAGGATTCTATATATTAAAAACAAATAAGTCCAGCAAGAAGGCAAGAAAGAAGGAGAACTTTTAATTGGTTAAAATATATATGTAAGGAAATAAAATACAAATAGGAAAGCCACAGAAAATAGGAAACAAATCATTAGCAGAAGTACAAGAAACACCTCTCACATCTGTAATCCCAGCACTTTGGGAGGCTGAGGCAGGTGGATTGCTTGAGGCCAGGAGTTAGAAACCAGCTCTGTCAACATAGCAAGACTCTGTCTCTACAAAAATAAAAATAAATAGTCAGGCCTGGTGGTGTGTACCTGTAGTCCCACCTACTCAGGAGGCTAAGATAGAGGATCACTTAAGCCCAGGAGTTCAAGGCTGCCATGATCACACCAATGCACTTCAGCCTGGGTGACAGAGCAAGACCTTGTCTCAAGAAAAACAAACAAACAAACAAAAAACTCACCTAATCATGTAGATTTGAGCAGTCAAAGTAAGACACATTACTAGTGATACATAAGATGAGTATCTAATGCTTACTGAATGTGAGAAATAAAAAATTGAGTCTTTGACAGGCCTATCAGGGAAAACTAAATTAAGAATGGCTAGAGCTTGATGGAAAAATCACTTAAATAAACCAGATTAATTTAAATATGTAGGCACTCATTGATTATATCTGTGGCTATTTAAGAAACTGACTATTACAGTCCCATTCTTGATGGGACTTCTTGTTTACAAGATGGGAAACTTCTTGTTTTCAAACATGCATCTTCAAGAGTCAAAAAAATACAAAATGATTATCTTCTGAAAAAATTATAGGTTATTTCATAAGACCTTTGTTCCTGTATCTGAAAAGGTTTTTATAAAATTAATTTTTAAAATGACGTTTTTAAAAAATAATACTGATTTATATCAGGCATAATATTATATAGTGACAAAAAAAATCTAACTTGTATTATTTCACATACATAGGGAGACAGAGAAGACAAATATCTTTGGAAATAACAGAACAAAGATTTACACATATCAGGAAAAACAAGATGTTCCTAATACATTAACGTGTATCAGGAAAAATAATTAAATATAATTATTTTTATTTGTTTGCTTCTGTGAACCAGATATATTATTGTGATATTCTAGGTCTAGACAATAAAAAATAACTATTGGTTTTTACTAAGGTTGTATCTTAGTAAGATAAAGAGACACGGAGAGAAAGAGAAAGAACACTAAACTCTAAATGCTTGAAAGACCTATTTTAGACATAAAAGTTATCTTTTGATGAGAAGCATAAATTGATTATTCCTTTATTTTCTCCTTTACACTCTGAAATTATTGTGTGAGGAAGGGTGCATTTTGAGTCAGAAATAAGCTCTGTCGGGGAAGTGTCTTTGGCTTTCTAGACCTTGGAAGAAAAACTAGGATGAAAGAATGTCAATGCAGGCAGTTTAAGGCTAGCTCTGGCTCTGGAAGGAGCTTCAGAACAGGCGGGTAAAGAAGATTATTAAGCTTCCTGCCTCGTCCATCTCAGTTTGCAGACTATGAATGCAGACTGGTATATAAAATAGAAAGAAATTCCAGAAACATTTTTCTCTGCCTTTCACTGTTGATACTTCATCTTTGCTCAGTTGTCACATCAGGGATGTCTTTCCTAATCTTTCTAAGTTAAATTCACCTATTATATAACAGGAGTAAGTAAGTAAGAGGTATTACATGCTGTCATAGCAGAATATACCTCTTACTTTCAGCACTTACCACATTTGCTAATTTGCATGTATTATAATTTTTCACTCCCACTAGCCTGAAAGCTCCATGAGGGCAGGAGTCTTGCCTTTTCTTTCTCTTCCTCTCTCATTTTCTTCATTCCTCCTTTCCTTTTTCCCTCACTTCCTTCTATCCTCGTTTTTTTCCTATTTTCTCTTTTATCATTAGCACAATGCTTGTTACATAGCAGAGAGTTCATGTTTTTTGAATGAATGAATGCTTGTGAGCTGTACTTGGGCCCCTTCTATTATTGGATCTCCACAATGTAACAGAAAAAGAAATCACAAGGAGTAACAAATAGCCAGGGAAAAGGTGGGACACCTACAGTAATTATCCCAGGTTAAGTGAACACATGGCCAGTTTGTAGATAGTACTGTGATTATAATTATCAGTGATTTGCCAGCCTGATGGATTTTAATCACTAGTGTTTTGTTTTATTTTGTTTTGCAAAGATTAGTTCCAGGTTCATGTTTTTTTCTGTAGTGGAGATACAGAATAAAGAGCACATTCATTTCAGTTGGATTGGAAATCTGATTCCCATCTCCCTCAAACACAACTTATTGTTGCCCAGTATAAAAGAACTACATTTTGAAGTCCCATCCAAATATAGACATGTTTCAGGAGGCATGGATGAGTCCAGATTTTGGTTTTTTCTTTGCACTTATCCTAGATACGCGGTTGATGTGGTCTTGCCATAAGTCAAAACATTTATGAGAAAAATATAGGCCCATCGAGAATTCCTAGGTTCCTCCTTCTCCTTTGGTATAATGTAATTGTTTTCTCTATCAGCTCTTAATGTTTTCTCTCCTACATGCGAAAAACTCACCTTTAGGCTGAACTTCCCAATTATAGTATTTTGCAAATAGCTTACATTTTCCTACATAGAAAAAGGACAAGCCATCCTCTGTCATCCTTTGTGATCATCAGGGATTTCTTTTTTCCTTTGAAAGTAACCTTTGCTGAGAAAACAAGATTGCCAGAAAAAATTTCTTTGGGGAAAAAAAGGAGGGAGGAGAGGTTTTGAACTTCTGTATAAGGAACTAAATCAATATAAGGTCAAATATAAACAGAGGCCTTTTTCCTCCTGCAAACTAATGAATAAAAGCCAATGTAATCCTTGCTCCATTGCCCTCTTGGCTTTCTTTAACTTAAGAGAATAAAGTAATAATGTATTTTATGTTTAAAGCATTCATTTTATTCATTGAATTTATTTTCATTTTTATTTTCATGTTTACTTCACAATTAAAGTGGGTTTTACATTCTCTTTATTTTGTTCTTTATTCAGCTGAGTATCTAAAATCAATCACAGCTATCTGGGTTTTTATGAAAATATAAAATTCTTGTGATTCAGATAGGTTATTTGCCCTTATAGGAACTTAATAATATATGGTCTCATCCTTGCACAATAATGTAACATTTCAGATGTAAATACCAATACTAAAAGCAAAATAAAAATATATGAAAAAGTTTCTACTAATTTAAATAGCTTTATTTTTGCAATGTTTATATTTTATTAAATTTTAAAACCTCCAAAAATATTGTCAGGTTTTGCTTTTGTTTTTATGGTCTGTGATATATGGAGCCTCTCTGGCTCACATAGTTTCATGGGCCTCTTCATTGGCCCGTTTTCCCATGTAGACTTTAACTGCTTCTCATTGGAACTTCACAGAGCCTAACTGATATGTTTGTCCTGTCCACTTTATCAATTCAACATGTACAGTCATTGAAGTAAAAAATTAAAGAAGGATAAAGAAAAGGGAGGGAAGTGGTAATTTATTCAATACAGCTCCAAATCCCTTTAATTTATTTTAAATCAGCAATCTGGCTACCAAATAATAGCATGGCTTAAAATGTTTCTTGTCAAGTGCAGAGCATTTAATTGTACTTAACAAAATATCTTATTGATCAGAAATGTTTTTGTATTCCCAGAAACTTCACTATTAAATGCCAGTGAGGAAGACTCATTTAGAGACATGTAAATGTCAGATATAAGAATGGAGTTCTGGAGATATATACAAAGTGGATTGGTATCTGATCTCTTCTGTGAGATTAACCTCTAGCTCACTATCATTTATACCACTTTTTCTGGCTCTGGGGTTTGGAGACTGCTGTGGCTGGCTAGAAAGCCCTAAGCAAATTTTTCTATCATTTTACATAATTCCCAGGAAGCAAGGTGATCATATTTCCCAGTCTAAAATAAGGTCTAGGGATCTGATAAAAGATAGTTTGGTCTACTTTCTGAAAATATTGTTAATACACAAATATATTGTAATTTATGTGATTTTCAATGAAATATGGTGACAGTCCCCATTTCAAATATTCTATCTTGGAAAATTCATAATAAATGACCTTATTACCAGTAGTACTTCTGTTAATCTGCATAAAATGCATTCAATGAACACACAATAAATGTCACACATGATGAAAGTTTGCCTGTGATAGCTTGTTCAATCCTTTCCAACCACAGAGTACATTTTACGACTTCCACTCTACTCTTGATTTTATAGAGAATGTTCTCATGTAGAGAGGCTAAGTAATTAATTATGTCAATTACCAGTTTTAAGGGCAACTTTACTGAGTGCCTGCCATGACTGGTGGTCCTCTTTCACATACACTATGCTGCAGGAATTCTGAGTCTAATTTTACAGATGAAAAAAATGAGGCTTCAATAGGTTAAGAATCACATGTAAGGTCACATTGCTGCTTGTTTAGCCAGAATGTAAACCCAGGTTTATTTGTCTTAATAGCATATGTAGTTGTTGTTACACCTCACTGTCTTCATAAAAGGCATAGTATAGTATAGTTCTGTATGCAGAAAAATGAACTAGCTTAGGTTATAAGTAATGTTGTTGGATTTAATTGGACACCCATGGCAGTCAGAAAAGGAAGAAAGAAAATAAAAAAAAGAATGGTCTGGGTAAAAAGGGGATTGAGAAATAGACGGGAAAAAGAGAATAAAAGCATATGTGGACAATTATCACTATAAGTTGTTTCAGGGACACATAACATAGCTGGTAATTTCCTAGTATACCTTTAAGTCCTATAATTCCGTGATATAATTTTCTTTCACTGAACACTAGCATAACAGATGAACTAAATTTCTAATAGATAACTTCTTTTATTGTGTATACTATGTATAACATGGATGTCTTTTGCATTTCAAAGAGATATTCAAAGGTTGAACAGCAGTGCTCAGAATCAGGAAAACTTAGATAAACGCCATAAACATGTTACTCCTATGGCATTTAATGATTCATCCATAACCCTGTAATGGAGAAAGTTAGCTTCTCACACCTGGACAAGTTATCTAGTGGAATGAACATTTCTCTCTAAGGGTGATAAGGTTGCACTGATTAACTGAATAGTTGATGGAGATAAAAGAGCTAGTGGAATAAAATCGTTCAATACAATTCCCTCTCCAGTTCTTCCTGTTAAAATAAAGTGAATCGGCTGAGCGTGGTGGCTCACACCTGTAATCCCAGCAATTTGGTAGGCCTCAGCCTCAGGTGGATAACCTGAGGTCAGGAGTTGGCTAGGACCAGCCTAGCCAATGTGGTGAAACCCTGTCTCTACTAAACATACAAAAAATTAGCCAGGCATGGTGGCACATGCCTGTAATCCCAGCTACTCGGGAGGCTGAGGCAGGAGAATCACTTGATGCCCGGAGGGGGAGATTGCAGTGAGCCGAGATCTCGTCATTGCACTCCAACCTGGGCAACAAGAGTGAAACTCCGTCTCAAAAAACAAACAAACAAAAAAATAAAGTAACTCACAAGCATAATGGCAGCCAACCTCTTTTGGAAAGCAAACGACATATTTTTGAAATCAATAAGTGACCCTGCAGCTAGCAGCACACAATCACCCTCTCATGAACCAAGTTCAGGTGGAACTATTCTTAAAGCACAACTAGGAGACCAGGTGGCAGGATTCTCATGCAAAGGTGGAGCACTTCCCACTGAGCAGGCTCTCTGAGTCTCACCACAGGGTGATGGAATAGTATTGTTTGGTTACTTAATAAGGAGGCTGTAACTGATCCAAACTTGAAATGGCAAAGATATAAACTTCTTTTAAAACCTAAAGAAATAAACCTGAATTGTTAACAAAGTAAACAATTGCAAGGTGAGGGGAAAAAAAGCCTTTGCCACTGCTTTACTCAACAAATCAGCTTTACTTTCTGAGATGCTCTCAATGCCTAGAGCAGTGGTTTTTAAACAATGCTTTATGTTAGAATTATCTAGTTGTACCTGTTCACACAACAGGTTGTATCAGAAACATCTGGGGATATCTAAGAAATTGATGGAGGGGTGGTAAGTCTAGTTAATCTACATTTTAAACAACTTTTTTAGGTAATCCTGAGCTAAGCACTGTGAATACCATCCTCTGGAAATACTATCTTATAGAAAAAAAATCACTTTGCTGGGTTTTTTTATGCCAATTTCCCTCAACCAATAAAACAAAAAAATATGAGGGAGAATTATTTTACTCAACAAACTTATTTCATTTCCATAAGTAATTTTCCTGACAGTGCATTGTTGGTAGTTTACTCTTTAGGGAGTGTAGACCTGACTATCTTCAGCTTAAAACAAGAATTAGAGAGCCACATTGGATAGCATGATTATTACTGAACTTCTGACATTAAGGTCATTGCACAAACTCAAGTCTTCCCCTGTGTTATTAAATAATGCTGTGTTATAGAAAGACAAGCTTTTATTCAACCTGTGCTTAGTTTATAATCAAATTTTTGAGTGCTCATTGTGATGAGTTTGCAACCTCATGTAGTGTACTGGAAAGCCTTGGATATTTCTAGTAAAACTGAGCAAGGAGGACAACATCTCATATATCCTCTGGAAAGAGCACCACATTGAGAATAATTGTGAAATTGTAATAAATTAAATTTCCACAGAGCAGAATTCCCGCTAGGTCTGTCTCGGGTGCCTTGTATGTTTTCATCAATACTGACATAAACTGAGAACTAAAGTTAAAAGATGGAGGCTATTGCCACTGTTCAAGGCATGATTTCTCTGGAATGACCCAGCTTTGCTATGCAGCATGGATGAATCTGGGTAGAACATTTAGGAGTAGATTATAAAGTTTGCTCAAAAGGCATAAATAGAACACAGCTATAATTATTTTAGGGAAATGCAATGTTTGAGAGCTACATACTAACTCTCAGGGAGTCCACCTCAGCAAGGTTCCCTCTTGTGTTGGAACAGATTGCTGTGTCTTCTGCTGAGCAGCAGATTAAATAGTTGGATTGCAGTTAGGGACCATACTGCATGGAAAATACATACTGTGAAAAGCAAGAAACACATGGAGCATGGTGAGATGTTTGCATTATAAGAAGCATGTTGAAACTTAGACTAACTAAGAGGACAGCAGATCATATGCACCATCTCACAGTCACTCCAAGAAATATATTCATTGAGTAGAATGCAAGCAGAATTGTTCATTCAATTTAAAGTCTCTATTTTCTAAGTCCAACTCTTCAACAAGGAGCAAATTGCATTTGTATAGGCACGTAAAAGATTCAACTCCAATATAGAAATGAGGTTATAAATTGAGAAGTTCCTATATGAATGAAATGTTATCTAGTTGAAATTGTATAAAATATACATTTATATATTATACAGTAGAGGTGAGGTCAGTTTGATAAAGGGACATGTCCAAGAAGTACGTGGATAATAGAAATCTGAAAGTGCTTTAGTAGGAAGTCTCTAGTAGAGTCCTATAGAATATTGCCAATTTGCACCTTCTTAAGGTAAATCAAATAGTTTAATTAATGATTGGGATAAAGACATTTAGGGCATATCTGAATGATATGATGCAATCAACATATAAAAATAATTCAATAGGCTACAATAATAAGATGAATATAACAAGATGGAACAAAAAAAGTATAATACTTTGTCTTTAAAATCTAGCTGAGAGGCATGACTTTTAGAATGATGGAGTGAGGACCCACAGAAATCTACTGCCTCATAAAAGCCATGAGAACATTTATAGCATTATAAAAATTAACATTTTTAGAAGTTTGGAAATTAACCAAAGTCTTAGAACAATCTGAAGGAAGTTTACACAAGAAAAACCAATTAAGCCCAGTAAAAACAAAAAAGTTTGTGGTATTTTTAAAAAAATTATACTTTAAGTTCTGGGGTACATGTGCAGAATGTGCAGTTTTGTTACATAGTTATACATGTGCCATAGTGGTTTGCTGCACCCATCAACCCGTCACCTACTATCCCTCCCCTAGCCCCCCATCCCCAAACAGGCTCCTGTGTTCCATAAGCCTAGTGGACTTATGGAATACCATAAAGTAAGCAAATATATGCATTATGAAAGTCCCAGGAGGTGAAGAGAGAAATAAAGGAAAGAAAAAGTCATTTGAAGAAATAATAACTGAAAACTAGGGAAGGAAGTAGACATTCAGGTTCAAGTAGCCCCAATAAATGTCTAATTAGGATGAATACAAAGTCTAAACAGTGACACATTATCATAAAATTGTTAAAAGTCAACAACAAGGAGAGGATTTTGAAAGCAGCAAGAGAAGAGTGAATAGTTACATACAAGGGAGATATCAGCAGATGCCTCAGCAGAACCTTGCTACTTAGAAGAGACTTGGATGATATCATCAAAATGCTGAAAGAACAAAACTGCCAAACAAGATCAAAATACTTAGCAAAATTGTCCTTCAAAAGTGAAGAAGAAATAAAAACTTTCCAAAATAAACAAAAGCTGAGAGAATTTATTCTAGACCAGCTACACAAGACATGTTAAAGAAAGTTATTCAAGGTGAAACAAAAGGAGACTAAACAGGACATCAAAAGCATGGGAAAGTATAAAATTACTGCTAAAGGTAAATATGTAGCAATTACAGAATAGTATAATGCTCTAATGGTGGTATTTAAATCACTTTTATTTCTAGTATAAAAGACAAAAAGTATTAAAATAACTAGCTATAAAAGCGTGTTAATGTATACACAATGTAAAAACATGCAAGTTGTGACATCAATAATATATACTGTGTTTATGGTAGACATAAAAGTGTAGAATATTTATATATAATGGAAGTTAACTTGTTATAAGCTTAAAATAGACATATCTATTGTAGAATTAAAAAAGACTTAACATCTTATAAGATGGTTTATATAAGGCTAATGGCAACCAAAAAGAAAATACATATTAGAAGATAAACACTCAAAAAAGAAAAAGAATCAAAGCATATTAGTACAAAAGAATCAACATAAAGGAAAGCAGTAAGAGAAGAAAAAAGAGAGAAAAGAGAGCTAAAAGACAGAAAATTAACAAAATGGCAACTGTAAGTCCTTCCCTATCAATAATTAGTTTATATGTTAAAAAATGAAATTCCACAATTAAAAGATATAAAGTGGGTGAAAGGGTAAAAAAAAAGATTCAACTATATACTGTCTAAACAGACTTACTTTAGATTTAAGGACACGCATAAGCCAAAAAAAGGAATAGAAATAAATATTTCATGTCAGTGGTAACCAAAAGAGACAAGATTTTCTGCACTTATTTCCAGACGAGAAAGACTTTAACACAAAAACTGTCACAAGAGACAAGAAAGGACATTATATAAAGATAAAATGTTTATTTCATCAGGAAACTATAACAATTACAATACATATGCACTCAACATTAGAGGACCTAAATATATAAAGCAAGCATTAACTGAACTGACAAGATAAATATAGAAAGCAATATAATAATTGTATAAAACTTCAATATCCTACTTACAATAATGGATAAAATATCCAGACAGAATATCAATAAGAAAACAGTAGGCTTAAAGTGCTGTAGATAAAATGGACCTAATAGACATGTCTGTAATATGTTGTTTTCTGTCTTATAGCTTTTCTCTCTTTTTTTCCTTCTTTTTCTGTCTTCCTTTATGTTTTGTCAATTTTTTTTGGTACTAATATACTTTGATTCTTTTTTTTGAATGTTTATCTTCTAATATATATTTTATTTTTGGTTGCCATGAGGCTTATATAAACCAACAGTAGAATACATATTCTTTCCAAGTGCACACAGATCATTCTCCAAGTAGATTACATGTTAGGCTGCAAAGCAAATCCTACAAAGTTAAGAAGATTGAGATCATATCAAGTATATTTTTGGAACACAATGAAATAGAACTAAAAATAAATAACCAAAGGAAAGCTTTAAAATTTACAGGTATGAGAAATTAAACAACACACTGCTAACCAACCAATGTCTCAAAGAAAACTTTAAAAAAGAAATTGGAAAATATCTTGAAATCATTGCAAATGAAGCACCAGAAACCAAAACTTAAGAGGCGAGCAAAAGCAGAACTATCAGGGAAGGTCAAAGGGGTAAACATCTATATGAGTAGAGAAAACTTAACTTTACACCTCAAGGAACAAGACAAAGAGAACAAACTAAGCCCAAAATTAGCAGAAAGAAAAAAAAAAGAGATTAACAGATTGGAGCAGAAACAAATGAAATAGGTAACAGAAAAACAATAGATACAAATCAACAAATGTAAGAATGAGAAAAAATGAACAAAATTGACAAGAATTTAGCTGAACTAAGTGAAAAAGGGAATTTTCAAATAAATAAAGGAATGAAAAAGGAAACATTACAATTAGTATCACAGAAATAGAAAGGATCATAAGCAAATATTATGAATAATTATACACCGACAAACTGGAAAATCTAGAAGATGTGGAAAAATTCTTAGAAATATATGACCTATGAAAACTAAATTATGAAGAAACAGAAAAGCTGAACAGAAAAATAATGAAGAAAGATTAAATCAGTAATAAAAAACCTCAAAACAAATAGTCCAGGATATGATCTTCTCAATGGAGAATTTGACCACACATATTTAAAGAACTAATATTAATTCTTCTCAAATTATTCCAAAAAATGAAGAAAAGGTAAAACTTTCAACCTTATTTTATAAGGGGAGCACTACACTGATATCAAAGCCAGACAATGACACTGCAAGAAGACTGCAGACTAATATCCCTTATGAATATAGATGCAAAAATCCCCAACAAATACTAGCAAACAAAATCCACTAGCATATTAAAAGAATCATACACCATGACTAACTGGAATTTTTTTCTGGGATGCAAGAATGGTTCGACATAATCAAAATCAATTAATGTGAGACAACATGTTAACAGAACAAAGGATCAAAGTCACATGATTATCTCAATAGTTGCAGAAAAAAAATTTGACAAAAGTCAACACCTTTCATGATTTAAAAAAATTCCAAAAAACTTCCAAAAAGAATGAAATTAACCTGATAAAGGCAATATATAAAAAGCCCATAACTAAAATACTCAATAATGAGAAGCTGAAAGGTTTTTCTCTAAGATCAGGAGCAAGGCAAGGATGCCTATGCTTGCTATCTCTATTTAACATAGCACTGGAAGTCCTAGCTAGAGCAATTAGTCAAGAGAAAGAAATAGAAGGCATACAAATCAGAAAGGAAGAAGTAAAATTTTCTCTATTTGCAGAAGACATAATTTTATATGCAGAAAATCCTAAAAATTCAACAGAAAAAATCTTAGAAGTAATAAATTTAGCAAAGTTGAAGATACAAAAACAACAGAAAAATTAGTATCATTTTCATATACTAACAGTGAACACTACAAAAAAGAAATTTAAAAATCAAATTTAAAATATCATAAAATAGAAATAAAACATTTAAGAATAAACTTAACCAAGAATATTAAAGACTGGTGCTATGAAAACTACAAAACATTGCTGAAAAAAATTGAAGAGGCTACAAATACATAGAAAGACATCCCATGTTCATGGATTGGAAAACTTAATATTGCTAAAATGCCCATATTATCCAAAACAACATACAGATTCAATACCATTGCCATAAAAACGTCAAGTTAATTTTTTACAGAAATTTTTAAAATCCTAAAATTTGTATGGGACCACAAAAGACCCTGAATATTCAAAGCTCCTTTGAGAAAAAACAACAAAGATGGAGGCATTACACTTTTATTTCAAAAAATATTACAAAGCTACAAAAATTAAGATAGTATGGTACTGGCATAAATGCAGACATGTAGACCAATGGAAAGGAATAGATAGCCCAGAAATAAACCTAGTCATATATGGTCAAATGAGTTTTGACAAGGATACCCAGAATATGTTATGGAGAAAGGATAATCTCTTCAATAGGTGGTGCTGGAAAACCTGAATATCCACATGCAAAAGAGTGAAATTGGAACCTTTTCTTACAAAATACACAAAAAACAACTCAAAATAAACTAAAGACTTAAACATGAGACTTGAAACTTCAAAACTCTTAGAAGAAAACAGGAGAAAGACTTGTTGCTATTGATATTAGCAATGGTTTCTTTGATATGAGCCCAAAAGCATAGGCAGAAAAAGCAAATATAAAGTAAGACTACATCAAACTAAGAAGTTTCTGCATAGCAAAGAAAATAGTCCACAAAATAAAAAGGCAAACTATAAAAAGGAAGAAAACATATTTATATTTCTTTTTTTGTAGTTTTCAACTTAATAATTTTATTTTTAAAAAACAGATTTAAAATACAATTTATGTACAAGTAACTGCACATATTTAAAATATCCAATTTGATAAGTTTTCACATATGTAAACAGTAAAAAAAACACAATGGAATTAAAATGGTACACTAGAAAATTTCCAATTAACACAAAAGAAGGCAGTCATAGAATAGCAGTGAGAAACAAGATCTAAGACATACAGAAAATAAATAGCAAAATGATGAACACCTTAAAATAATCACATTAAATGTAAATTGATTTAACATATTGATATGGTTTGGCTGTGTCCCTGCCCAAATCTCACCTTGAATTGTAGCTCCCATAATCCCCACATGTCATGGGAGGGACCCAGTGGGAGGTAACTGAATCATGGGGGCAGGTTTTCCTGTGCTGTTTTCATGATAGTGAATAAGTCTCATGAGATCTGATGATTTTATAAAGGGCAGTTCCCCTGCACATACTCTCTTGCCTGCCACCATAGAAGACACGACTTTGCTCCTCATTCACCTTCTGCCATGATTGTGAGGCCTCCCCAGCCATGTGGAACTCTAAGTCAATTAAACCTCTTTCCTTTATAAATTACCCAGTCTCAAGTATGTCTTTATTAACAGCATGAGAACAGACTAATAGACATATTAATCAAAAGATTGAGATTGGAGAAGAATTTAAAAACAAGCAAACAATTTGGCTGGGAGTGGTGGCTGATGTCAGTAATTCCAGCACTTTGGGAGGCTGAGGCAGGTGGGTCACTTCAGATCAGGAGTTTGAGACCAGCCTGGCCAACATGGTGAAACCCTGTCTCTACTAAAAATACAAAAAATAGCTGGGCATGGTGGCAGGCACCTGTAATCCTAGCTACTCAGGAGGCTGAGGCAGCAGAATCACTTGAACCCAAGAGGCAGAGGTTGCAGTGAGCTGAGATCGCACCATTGCACTCCAGCCTGGGCAACAGAGCAAGACTCCATCCCCCAAAGTAATAAATAAATAAATAAATAATACAACATAATCCAATTATATGCTATTTGTAAAGAGACCGGGACTTGCATCATTGGTAATCCCTAGTTCCTAGGCCTTCAGATTTAGACTGAATTACATCATCAGCTTTCCCAGTTCTCCAGCTTGCAGACAATAGATCATGAAACTTCTCAGCCTCTATAATTGTGCAAGCCAATTCCCACTGTGTGTTTGTGTGTGTGTGTGTGCATACACACATATACACATATATATATATATACACACACACATACACAATACACTTTTGGTTTTGTTTATCTGGAGAACCTTGACTGATACAGATTTTGATATCAACAGTGGTTTTAGATGAACAGAATTTTAAGGATGAGTTTTCTGAATTGGTTGTGGGGTTTGTGGCATTGTCTCTCTAGTCTGATTAGATTTAAAGTTGCTATTGTCTCTATTTTCAGTAGTAAAGGGGGAACTGATAGCCCATAGTGTGAAGTATTTATAGATATATGCAAAAATCTGTATTGGATACTTCTAATCAATCACTTATAAGAAGCAAGGAACTAAGTAACTCTATATATGACCATTTTTGGAAAACTAAGGAACATAATGACATTGGACCTTGGTTGGTTGCTTCTAATGCCTCTGGATAAAGTGATGAAAAGAAAGATGAGTTCAGGCATTTGAATTCCCAGCTCAAGCACTGCACAAATGACCTAAGATCTTCTAAGTATGCACTGGAGGAGAGCCTTATCTCTTGTAGCTGCAAGGCTAAAATTGCCAGAAATCAAACGCAGAAGTTAATTCTGTGATTGGCTGACTTACAACACAATTTGAACTCTCAGTCTCAAGGGGTGTCTACTATTAAATTGAGAGCATTAGTTGGGAAAAAAATGAGATCCTGTAAGATGAACTGGGGATGTGTAGGAAGAACCCGATGAAGCTAGGGACATTAAATCCCTAAATTCTGAGGAGTCTTCTTTGCTAATGACAGAGGTCTCCTCACCCCTATTGAAAGTGGTCTTCCCATTGTCTGTGCAATTGGTGTCCCCATGCTTAGAAAAGTAGCCTCTTCAACTGGCAGAAGTGGCCTCCCCACCTTCAGAGGCAGCTGCATCCCCACCCACAGTGGTATTGGCCTCTTCACCTCCATCTGAAGGTATTAATCTTGCATTGTCTAAGGAAACAATAATAGCTTTCTCTGAGGCAGTTACCATGCAAGACAATGCTAATTCTCCTAAGGACCTACCTCTATCACTCCTCTTTGCTTCTATGTCCATAACTGGACTCAAGTCTCAGCAGGCTCCTAAAGGTGAGGAGGTGTAGTTACTGTAAGGCAGGACATAGTCAAAGCAGCAAGGTGAATATCCTGACTTGGGAAGGTCCATAGCATTTTCCAATTAATCATGGTGTTTCTGGAAGTGAAAGAAATAGGAAGTTTACTATATTTTTACTTAATTTGTATAAACAAGAAAGTTCCAGGTCAAATGAAGAGATGTCTAACTTGAATTATAAAAACAGAGAGTAAAGGCTTCTTAATCAACTCCCACATTGGAACCAGTTTATGTACCTCAAACTCCTTGAATGAAGGGTAGGCTACATTCTCTAGAGGAATAACTCTGGTACACTAATGAAAATTTATATTACAAATATTTCTCTCAGCCTTATTCAAAGGGAATTACAGCCTTTTACCAGGGCAACTCTGCACTGGGAAAATGAAAATAATCAGATCTTTTAGGGACTACTGGACACTCACGCTGAACTGACACTGACTCCAGGAGACCCAACATATCACTGTGGCCTTTCAATCAGAATAAGGGCTTATCAAGTTCAGGTGATTAATGGAGTTTGGCTTAGGTCCATCTCACAGTGGGTCCCTGCATCCTTGAACACAACCTGTGGTTATTTCCCTAGTTCCAGAATGCATACTTGGAGTAGATATGCTTAGAAGCTGGCAGAATCTCTAAATTGACTTTCTGCCCTATGGAGTGAGGGTTATTATGGTGGAAAAGGCCAAGAGAAAGCCATTAGAACTGCCTCTACTAGATAAGTAGTAAATCAAAAGCAATACTGTATTCTTAGAGGGATTGCAGAGATTAGTGCTATCATCAAAGATTTGAAATATGCACCACATTCCCATTTAGCTCTCCTATTTGACCTATGCAGAAGACAAATAGATCTTGAAGAATGACAGTAGATTACTGGAAGCTTAACTAAGTGGTAACTCCAATTGCAGCTGCTATACCAGATGTGTTTCTCTTTTCTTTTTTTTTTTTTTTGCCTAGGAAATTAACACATCCCCTGGTACCTAATATACAGCTATTGATCTAGAAAATTCCTTTTCTACATTGCTGTTCATAAGGCCTACCAGAGGCAGTTTGCTTTCAGGTGTCATGGCCAGCAATACATGTTCACTGCCCTACCTCGGGAATATATCAACTTTCCAGCCCAATGTCATAATTTAGTTTTCAAGGATCTTGATCACTTTCCCTTTCACAAGATATCACATGGTTTACTATATTGATGACCTTATGTTGATTGAACACAGTGAGTGTGAAGTAGCAAATACTCTAAGACATATGTCAGGGGTTGAGAAATAAAGCTGACTAAAATTCAAGGGCCTCCTACTTTATTGAAATTTCCAGGGATCCGTTGACATACAGCATGACCAGATATTCCTTCTAAGGTGAAGGATAAGTTGTTCTATCTGGCTTCTCCTAAAACCACGAATGCACAATGCCTAGTGTGCCTATTTGGATTTTGGAGACAAAATATTCCTCATTTGTGTGTGCTACTCTGACTCTTTAACCAAATGACCTAAAAAGCTACTAGTTTTGAGTGGGTCCCAGAATGAAAGAAGGCTCTGAAACAGGTCCCAGGATGCTGTCTGTACAAGCTGCTCTGCCACTTGGGCCATATAATCCAATGGAGCCAATGGTGCTTGAAATATCAGTGGCAGATAGGGATGCTGTTTGGAAACTTTGGCATGCCCCCATAGATTTACCCCATAGGTAAATCACAGCACAAGCCTTTAGAATTTTTGAGCAAGACCCTGCCGTAATCCACAGATAACTTATTCCTATTGAGAGACCACTCTTAGACTGCTACTGGGCTTTAGTAGAGACTGAACTCTCCACCATGAATCATCAAGTTACCATGAGATCTGAGCTTCCCATTGTATACTGTGTTATCTGATCCAGCAAACCATAAAGTTGGGCATGAATAGCAACTTACAGTTATACATGATAATATACATATATACATTCATATACCTGATCAAGCCTGAACAGCTCCTAAAGGCACAAGTAAGCTACATGAAAAAGTAGTTGAATGCCCATGACTCCCAACCCTGTTTGGCTGCCATCTTTCTCCCAGCCTGGACATATGACCTCAAGGGGAGTTTCCGATGTTCAATTAACAGAGGAAGAGAAGACTTGGGCGTGATTTACAGATGACTTTGCACAATACGTGGATACCATTTGAAAGTGGGCAGCTGAATCACTACAATCTCTCTCTGAAAGACAATGGCAAAGGGAAATCCTCCCAGTATACAGAACTTCAGGCAGTGTACCTGGTTGCACACCTTGCTTAGAAGGATAAATGGCCAAACATGATTTGTGCCAATTAATGTGCCATGGTCAAGAATTTGTCTGGATGGTCAGGGACTTGGAAGAATCATGATTGGAAAATTGGTGACAGAAATTTGCGGGAAGGAGTACATGAAGAAACCTCTCTGAATGGATGAAAAACATGAAGATATGTATGTTTCATGTGAATATTCACCAAAGGGTGACCTCAACAGACGAGCACTTTAATAATCAGATGTATAAGATGACCTGTTCTATAGATATCCGTCAGCCTCTTCTTCTAGCCACTCTATCATTGCCCCCCCACCAAAAAAAATAAACAAAATCACCATGACGGCAGGTCATGAGGTTATGCATGGGCTCAGCAACATGGACTTCTAGTCACCAAGGCCAACCTGGATATGGCCACTGCTGAGTGCTCAATTGGCCAGCAGTGGTGACCAACATTGAACCACTGATATGACTTCATTCCATGGGGTGATCAACCAGCTACCCGGTGTCAGGTGGATTATATTGGACTGCTTGAATCATGGGAGAGGTAATATTTTGTCCTTACCAGAATAAACACTTACTCTGGATGTGTATTAGCCTTTTCTGTATGTAATACTTCTGCTAAAATTATTATCTTCAGAGATATAGAATGTCTTATCTGTCATTGTGGTATTCCACACAACATTGATTCTTATGAAGAAACTCATTTCACAGCACAAGTAGTGGGGCATAGACCCATGTTCATGGAATTCACTGACCTTACCATGCTTCCCACAATCCTGAGGCTGCTGGCTTGATATGACAGTGGAATGGCCTTTTCAAGACTCAGATATAGTGTCAGCTAGAACACAATAGTTTTCAGGGCTGGGGCAAGGTTTTCTAGAAGTCTGTATATGCTCTGAGTCAGCATCTAATATGTGTTGCTGTTTTTCTGATAGCCAGGATTCATGGGTCCAGGGATCCAGGGGTGGAAATGGCAGTGGCACTACTCACTATTACCTTAGTGACCAACTAGCAAAATTTTGCTTCCTGTTTTCATGACTTCCTGCTCCACTTGCCTAGAGCTCTTAGTTTCAGAAGGAGGAATGCTTCTACCAGGAGACATAACAATGATAGATTTCATTGAAATGGAAGTTAAGACTGCCAGAAGACCACTTTATGCCCCTTATTTCTCTAAGTCAACAGGCCAAGAAGGAAGTTATGGTATTGGTTGGGGTGATTGATCTGGACTACCAAGAGAAAATTAGATGACTACTCTACAGTACAGAAAGTAAGAATATGTTTGAAACACAGAAGATCCTTTAGGACATCTCTGAGTATCACCATTCCTGTGATTAAGTTCAATGGAAAACTGCAGCAACCTAATCCAGGCAGGACTACAAATGGCCCAGAGTTTTAGGAATGGGGGTTTGGGTCATTCCACAAGGTAAACACCAATGATCAGCTAAGACACTTGCTGGAGGCAAAGGGAATATAGAATGGACAGTAGAAGAAGTTTGTATAAATATCAGCTATGACCATGTGACCAGTTACAGAAACAAGAATTGTAATTGTCATAGTATTTCATTCGTATTTTGTTATGCCTTAATTTGTGTGTATATATAAATAATAAATAAATATTTTTTCCTCTTTTATCTCCTCATCAGGTAACATAAAATATATTGACTTTATATCAGTATTTAAGTATTGTTAATATTACATCACAGTACTTAAGTTACAGAATATTACTCAAGGACTTTTCCTTCTCTTCTGGATAAGGGTTTGGTATGTTTTCAATTGTACACAGGATAGTTTTAGCAAGTTGGGTGGAATTATAACCATATAACTGTATTGCCTTTATTTGAATTAAGTATGATTTAAAGAGATGTGTATGGGTGCCAAATTGACAAAGGGTAGACTTGTAATGATTAATCTTAGTTGTCAACTTGACTGAGATAAGGAATGCCTAGATGACTGACAAAACATCATTTCTAGGTGTGTCTGTTAGGGTATTTGAATCAGTAGACTGAGTTAGATTGCTCTCACTAATGTCAGTGGCCATCATCTAATCTGTTGAGAGCCAGAATACAACAAAAAGGCACAGAAAGGAATGTTCTCTCTGTTTGAGCCGGGACATCCATTTTTTCCTGCTCTTGAACATTAATGCCCCTAGTTCTTAGACCTTCAGACTTGAACCAAGACTTAAACCATCAGCTCCTCTGGTTCTCAGGCCTTTAGACACATGTGGAATTACACTGCTAGCTTTTCAGGTTCTCCAGCTTACACATGGTGAATGGTGGAACTTCTCAGCCTCCACAATTGTGTGAGTCGACTCTCATAAAAAAATCTTGTTTATATAGATATAGATACAGAAGTCTCATTAGTTCTGTTGCTCTGGAGAACCCTGACCAATACACAGTTAAATTAAAAAATAATCTGCATTTTCTGTCTTTATATGTGACTTTCTGTCTTTCATACAAATACACAAACACACACACACACACACACACACACACGGTTTTTATTACAGCACTTCAACTGGTGGTCTTATGCTCTTTGTCCGGGAGAAGTACTTTTTATTTCAACTTCAAAGCATAAAAATAATTGCTTTGGAGCAATCATCCAAACATATCCCTATTTCCTTGAATTTTAAGAAGCATTTGTGACTGAAGTACCTAGCAGAGGGGCATCATATTGTGAAATGATTCATGTGCTATAAACATTAACTATTTAAAGGCCTTTATTTAGTACCATTATATGGTGTTGTGCCAAGCTCTATACCATGATAAACACATGGACACAATATCTTCCTTCTGAGAGATAAATTTTCCTTCCTTATATGATTTTAATCACCTAAGTTTTCATTGATGGAAAAAATGCATACATGGAGATTAAATTGAGACCCATACATATCGCTGAATGCTTACCAAGAAAGTATTGTCATCAAACCTCTGAAACCATTGCTAATTTGCTGAACAGTGCATGCTTTGCAGCCATTATGTGAAAATTCTACTCTCTCACTTATATATAAATAAAAGGGAAATAACCACAAAACTAAGAACCCCTGTGGGTTGTGATGTTAGCAAAAGTGCTGATAAAACCAAATGCTTCATAGATTTTTGTGTGACTTTAAAATCAAGTACACTAAAGGACTGTTGTTTTACATTTTGGAGAGTTAGATAAATGATGTAATGTTTTTACTGACCCAAAGTGAAGGGTGTAGATAGCAGAATTCCTAAACTTTCTTGTTTCTCATGTAAATCAGAAATTATAATAAAAACATTAAATGTTGGAGCTGGAAAGTGCATCAGAGGTTACCTTAGTCCACTTGTACCTAATTACTAGTTCCAGAATAGATTCATAAATATCACCTAGGTGTTTTGTCAAAAGTAGCCAAGCCCCAAAGCTCCATATTATGACACACTGATTCATTTAGTTTATGGTAGAACCCAAGAATCTGTATTTTAAAATAAGATGCTCAAAATGATCCTGTCATACAGGTTTGACAAATGCTGACTTGTACTGAGATATAATCACTTGTGGCAGATAAACTCTCCTGGAAAGAACCAGCGGGAAATTAATTTATATATAATCTTAGTTTAATCTTAATTTATATATATGATTTTAATTTTAATCATATATATGATTTAAATTAAATTAAAATCTATAAAATTTATAAAATTTAGATTTAATTTAAAAACTATAAATTTGTGTACAGATCAGACAGATAGGTAGATAATCTGCATCTGAAAGCCACTGAGGCAACCAGCACTTGCAAAGATAAAGTTCTAGAGAAAGAAGAACTGCATAGAAGTGAAGTAACATTCTGAAACTATATATTTTTTCCTCCAGGTATTTACTAGTATTGGGCACCAGGGAAAAAGGTTGAGATTGTGGATCTCTACTTCCCTATCCCCCACCCAGGTAGTTCACCTCTACTGTGAGGCAAAAAACAACAAACAAAATAAAAGAGCAGAATTTTTGGTAGCTTCATTGGGCCATGGGGGGAAAATGATTGGAGACTAAACGGTCCAGGATCTCACTGAAAATGGAATGAGGCTGGTTTACCTGTAATAACATTTGCTAAGTTTTGAAGTTGTATAGGGCAAGAGGTTAATTAGCTAAGCAGAAATCCTCTGGAAAAGCAGTCCAGCGTATTCAGCAATCTTATGATTCTGTGAAGACAAATACTTGCTGGGTGGAGAGGGTTTCCATTCAACCCTTGTCTCTCAGTCTCTCAGTTGGAACTACCAGTGGGCTGTGTTGGAACATAAGTGACTCAGAAGCAGTTGGAGTCTTACACATACTGCAACATAGCCTCAAGGCAGCTCAGTCTTTAATTTAATTAATGTTACTGTCCTCTACTTGATTTTTCCAGCAAAAGTTGACCTTTTCCAGATGGAAGATCATATCATTCATATCATCTACAAATTTTAATACACAAAGTCTGACATTTAACAAAAACATAAAGGCCATGCCCAGAAACAGGACAAGATCACCAAAATCCAAGATTAAAGAGAATGAGAGAAAAAGACCTAAAGATGATTCAGATATTGGTGATAGAAGAAAAGGACTACAAAATAACCATGATTAATATATTCAATCAATTAAAGGGAATGGTGGAGAAAATAAGTAAAACTATAGAGAATTTCTCCAGAGAATTTGAATCTGTTTAAAACAAAAATCAAATGGAAATTATACAATCAAAAAGTGCAGTATCTGAAGTTAAAAATATAATATTTGACTTTAGCAAAAGATTAGAGAAGATTGGTGAGGTGGAAGACAGATAATAGAAAAGCCCAGAGAAGAAAATAAATGGAAAATTCTAGAAAGAGGATAAAGAGACACATGAGATGGGATGGTTAGGAATAAATGACAAAATAACAGCTCGCACAATGATTCAGGAATACTCGTGTTTTGATCTTGATTGTAGTAAACAGTACTATACATTCTAGTAATCTTCAAATTGGGCATAGGTGTGCTCAGGTACTATATAGATAATTCAATGATGTGCAGAAAATAAATATTAAAGTTTCTACTTAAAGCTATTATTTTAAAATGTCTATTTTTACACTTTTTATAATATACATAAAATCATACATAGTAGTATATGAATATACATAAATAGAAACAAAAATGTTGGAATATGGATGCATTAACAAACACTTTTTTAATGAATGATGCCTAAGATCAATATTTTGGAAATGGTTGACCTGTTAAACATGGGAGTGGTGTCCTAGATATTAAGTATTAGCATAGTAACTTTTCCTGATATTTTCCTGAGATTATGCTTGTTGAAGAAGCTTATTCATGGGTTCTCTCTTTATACCAGGTGTTAAGCAACTCATACAATACATTTGACAATGGTGCTTTTCATTGACATAGAGGTCCACGTGTAAAATGGTAAAGCGGGCAAAGTTTGTTCGTCAGAAGCACATTTCTATTTTTCTCTTAAACCCTCTTACATATCTAAAGGCACCCTCACCATGAGAGACACTTATTTTCTCATTTTTCATAGGCCTTTAGAAAACACATTTTGCAGTTCTTTTCTTCCCACTAAATCAAACAAAATTCAGTCTCTCAATTTTGGCTTTACAGCTAATTTCAAGTGTTTGCTACTTAGGATGAAAGCATTTTGACTTTCTAATAAAACTTGGGCATAGATAATTCATATTTCATTTAGTACAGGTATAAAATTTTCATAGAAGTTTAACTAAATGTAGTATAAAGACATGAACCTTGAAGTCAGAATGACCCTTATCAAACATCCACTTCTCTTGCTTATAAATAATGAGATCTTGAAAATGTCATTTAAATTATTTGAATCTCTTGTATTCCCATCCATAAAATGGAAGTTTGGATACTCGTGGAATGATAGAGAAAATATATTTTATGTTTTCTGCACAGTAGAGCTTTCTTGAAAACTTTTACTAGGACCTGGGTTAAAGAACAAGCCCTGTAACTTAAAGGATGACTGAATACATAACAAGAGATTTACCTCCCCAGAGATTTGTGCTTACATTTCATAACTGGATGAGATTCAGAGCCATTATAGGAGTTGCCAACTCTGAGACAATTGTCTCATTGGTATTTTGAATACCAATACCCCCAATAACCAATACCAATAACCCCAGCTACTGGGGATAATTACAGCAAGTATGACAGTTGGAACTCTTAATATGTTATATTATTGCCAAAATTTTTGAAGCAATGATTATCACCTTAAAGGGGTAGACAAATTTGCTTACAAATTACAGCACCAAGAGACAATGTTAACATTAGCAGCCCAGGATGTTTCTTGCTGAGATGTTACATGGAAATAATAGTAACACAAGAACACGTTGAGAAATATCTTCTATAAAATGGGATATTATCTTTTTGATAACATTTTTTTAGATCTCAAAGCCTTTCAATTTTGTTTCAAATATTTAGTTAAAAATATTTACTTCCCCTTTAAATTTGGATAGAAAAATCATTTACGCAACTTTAAAAATTCAATAGTTCAAAATAATTCACCTCATAAATAAGGCAGTAGTCGTGAAAATTCTTTGTATATCTGCCCTTCCAAAGGAGACAATTGTAATGTTAGAGGGCACTCCAAAGATAGTGCCTCCCTTTCAAGGTAATGACACATACCTTTATTCAACAAGGCAGCTCTCTCCAAATGTCAAAGTTTCAGCCCCAAGGCATTTCTCTGGACACATAGTAGAAAATACAGCTATTTAAATAAAACCTGCATTTCCTTTGGCATTATTTTTTACAATCCATCTCTTACAGTGGGAGTTCCCAATAATTTGATAGTGCTGGGTGTATAATGAAGGAAAAGCAAAGCCTATGCCTTTATTTTTCGTGATTTTTCCAGTCTTTAATTTTTCTGTCACTCTATAGATAGTCTGGTTCTCCGAAGTACTAAAGAAAAAAGTTATTAGTATATACTACTTGGCAGATGTTGCTTATGCAAATATATACGTATGTTGATATATATAGACACATTCATATGCATATATCATATATACATATATATTTATTTATTGAGCGCTCTGTGCCACACTCTGTACTAAGCATTCTATATGCATTAGCTAATTATCATGACAGATTTGTATGATAGGTGTTATTGCTGTCTCATTTTACAGATGAGCATTTTGAGACTCAAAGATGTTAAATTATTTTCCCAGAGTTAGTAAATGTGGAGCCAATATTTGGACTAAGTCTATTAAACTTTAATACCCAAATTATGGAAAACTATGTAAATGCAACCAAAATGATAGAGAAAAATCATTTATGTTTTAAGTTATGGTAGCCAAAGAAGTGTATTTAAAATATGTTGAGCAAGTTGACGAATATATTGTTTCTTATTCTCAGTTTTTAATTGAGAGACAATGTTGAATAGCAGGAAGAGCACTGTATTTAGATGCAGAGAAAAGTGAGTCACTAAATTATGTGGCATTGGGCAAGTTATTTGACTCCTCTAAGCAGAAGCAATGTAAATAATCTTTAAAGAGTACTTTGCACAAAATAGCTGTGCAATAGTTTTGAACAATTTTTGGTAGATTGCAAAACTTTTCAGCTTTCCCCATAAAGATATGGATAACAGATTTGTCTGGTATTTGGCCTGTCCTTTTGACTTTCTTTGCCTGATAGAATATGGCAGAAACAACGTTAAGCCAGTTCTGATCCCAGGCCTCAAGCAGTCTTATATATACCTTAATTCTTACTTTTGAAATCCCACCAGGTCTGTCTGCTGGATAATGAGAAACACATAGCCTAGTTACCCGTATTGTACCCTCATTGCCCAAGCTGAGAGCCAACTAACCCCCAAAAGCAGAGCTGCCTGCTTGACTGACAGCGGATTGCATACACATGATTGAACCCAGTAGAATCAGTACTGCTCAGCTGAGCCCAGTACAAATTGCCAACATAAGGAATCATAAATTAAACTAATGGTTGTTCGTTTAAGCCACTAAATTTTGCAATGGTTTCATCTAATATAATCCAAATGGTACAGTATTTCCATCATTCTCTTTATTAATCAACCAAGCCAAGTCTTTACTGAACATTTGAATGTGAAACACTATGCCATTAGTTAGGAGTGAGAAGATACAAACAAAAGAAGTATAAGGCATGTTCCCTGTTCTCAAAGAGCCGAGTCTTGCAGGTAAGATGAGAGTGACAATTAAGGAATAATTACAGAGCAAAAAAATAAAATCAGAGCCCCTGTGTGAAAACAAATTAGATCATTAAAGAGGCAATATCATCTTTCAAGGATACTCAATCTCTACTTAGTGGAAGTACCTGTAGACAATTGTCATCATTGTCACTGCTTCCATGGCAATAAATTAAGAGAGCTGGATTTGTGGCAGCTGATTTAAGAAAAAAACAAACAAACTGGAGAGTGTGGAGAGTGAATGAAATCCTTCTTTGTTCCCAGTGAAAAGTTCCCCATTGGGTTGACTTTAGACTTGACTACTGAAAGGAGTATGTGAGTAACAGAGATGAGCTGGAAGAAAGGAAGATAGTGGGTTAGGGGAACCATTTCCATCAGTGAGCATGTGGTGATCTTTTAACTACACACACGCTGACAGGCTGTTGTCAATAGTCACTAATGTGAAAACACTGATATCTGCAACAGCCATACTGAAGAGGCAAATGAGTATTGGAGTCAGCCTGATCCAGGTCCAAAGGAAAATTCTCTCATTTTCTTACTGTGTGACTTTAGAGATGTTAAATAACCTATATACAGTTCACAGTCTTCATCTGTAAAAAGATTATAATGATGGCTCGTACCTCATAGGTTTGTTGTGAGGATACAGAGATATGCACGCACACACACACACACATACACACACACACACATACCATCTAGCCCAATCACTGGTATATTGTAGATGCTCACTAAATACAAAAAGACTTACATATGTCTACTATTGTTGGTGTATTTTTTTGCCCTAAATTTATGCAAGATAAAATCATTGACGTAGAAGACCCACACATAAGATTTTGAACAATTTACCCCTAGAAAACTACATTCAAAATTGTCTTTCCACTCACTCAAAAAAGCTAGGCTGATCTCAATTGTATATAAGTATTTGGAATGTTTAAAATGTTACAACTCCGTTACCTTGCTGCTTTTCCTTTTTTTTTTACATGAAGATGATCCACCTTTGTCATTGTCTGAAATGCAAAACATATGCAAATAGAAGAAAATTTACCGTGGTCAATTGTGCATTTAGTATGTGGGCTGAGGAAGGGCTTCCAAAGCATAATGGGAATCTTTCAATTGGCTCCCTATTATGTAAACAGTAAGTGGTGTTAACTAATGGGCAAGCCTCTGACTTACAATTCTCTAGGCAGCACGCCCCACTGTCAGTTTCTCTTCTCTATGAAATACTGGCTAAGAGCAGGATAATCAGTCCCTTGCCTCACACACTCTATCTCTTTTACAAAGAAAACTACGAGAGGCTGCTCAGTTTTGATTATATTCTCTTTAATGGATTTGTCCATTTCTTTTTTCCTCCTTTTGCTTTCTTGTTTTCTGGAAATGATTTTCCTTTCTAAAGCACCTTATCTCTGGCTATGTTTTTATTTAAGCTGCAGTCACAGTCCTTTGACTAGAGTTCTTTCTTCCCCCAAATGTAAAAGAGACAGGATTTACAGCTCATCTACTCAATTGAACTCAGGAGAGTTTTGTTGGTTGTGGGTCATTGTTAAATGGAAAAAGAAATTTCAGAAACACTGAAACATTGATTGACAGAACTCTCCTATTCACGCCTCATTTCTCAAATGCTGGCAGCTTTCTCTCCACTGCATGTATTGCATCTCCCTGATGTCCCTCCATTGCACAGGTTCTTCAGCCAATTTCACATGGAGACACTTTTGAGAAGCTAGGAGTTAGAAAGGGTTAATTCACAAACTTTATTATGTCCTTCATTCTTTCTTGTACTTCCCTTACAGATCCTTGATTTGTATCCTGGGAAATGCACAATGGTTGAAACGGAAATGATTCACTCTAAAAATCCTGACAGGATTGCTGTGAATTTATGTGTATGTTCTTGAACGATTTATACTAATGAAGTCAGGAGGTCTCAGAGCTCTTTACATTCTATCTGTGTCCCCTTCACTCTTCTCCCCTCTTTTACCCTGGCCCTAATTTTCCTGATTGCATACAATCAACCTTTCAATCCTTTCACTCCTCCTCATCCCAGGCTTCATTGATGGTAGCAGGAACAAAAAGTAGACACAGAGGAAAAAATGGAAAATATCCATGTCTGGCTGTATTCTTAAAAAAAAATAGAGACATTTGGAGCTCACTCATTATTTTCTATTATTTCTAGTTCCCCTGATAAGGATTATCAAGCAGCGGCTATATAAAAAACTTAAAGCAGGGGGCTAAAATTGCTAATTAGACACTCTTTGAGATTTTGCAGGGATTATATCCATTAATAATAGTAAACATTTCTGGGGCACTTAATATTACTAAGAACATTATGTGTGCATTGTCTCAATTATTTCTCATAACAACTTGATGAGAAAAGTACTATCATTATTCCTATTTTATGAATTAGGAAACAGGGGCTAAGAATGTCTGTATGAATTGCCTAAAAGAAGACAGATTATAAGTAAAACAACTGTGAGTTAAACTCATTTCTGCTTGACTCCAGTCAGAGCTCACAGAAATATGGACTGTGCCTAAAATAAGTATACTTAGATTCAAGCACTACTTTTTACGCTTTATAATACACTAGGAAGAATGCTAGGCTATTTAATTCACATCAGCTCTGCTAAAGTGAGCATTATTTCCCCCATTTTTATGTATTTAAAAATTAATAAAGGAAAAGTAATGAAGAAAGTGAGTAATGAAGCCAGAATTTAAAGCCTAGGTTTTCCAGTCCTTCTACAGAATGTCAATGAAGGGTATGGATACTGCTACATCAGTTTATGGGATCGCCTATACTGCCTTATGACAGCATTTATAGATCTAAGGTATTTATAGAATCTCTGTACTAGAGTTCTCCAGAGAAACAGAACCAATAGAATATGCATTTTAGAGAGAGAGAGAAAGAGAGGGAGAGATTATAGGCATTGGCTCACATAATTATGGAGAATAAAATACTGTAAGATCTGCAGTTGACAAGCTGGAGACCCACCCAGGAGAACCAAGCCAATGATATAGCTCCAGTCTGAGTCTAAAGTCCTGAGAAGCAGGAGAGCTGATGGTATAAATTTCAGACTGAGTCTGAGTTCAAACAAAGGAAAAGACTGATTTCCCAGGCCGGAGACAGGCAGAGAGAGCAAATTTTTCCTTACTTCACCTTTTTTCTCTATTTAGGCCTTCAGTGGACTGGATTAGGCTCAACCACATTGAGAAGTACAATCAGCTTTACTCAGTCTATGGATTCTACTATTAATATCATATAGAAACACTCTCATAGACACATGTAGAAAAATGTTTAACCAAATATTGGGCACCTTGTGGCCCAGTCAAGTTGACTCATAAAATTAACCATCACAATGTCTTTGGAAAATACAAAAACAAAGCCAAAAAAAATGCAAACAAACAAAAACCCTTTTTGAGACCTGGGTAAAAAGTATAAAAGATCTGGTAATAGAGAAAAGTACAAACATATATGGTGGCAATGTTCTTTCAATTCAAAACTGCTCACAAATCAATTTTTACCTTTTTAGCCACATCAAAATTTATCAGGGCAGGCAAAGATTTTTAAAGATAATCTAGTCCAACTACCTATCCAATTCATGAATCTCTTCCTCAACATCCTTCTCTTTAAATACTCCCAGTGACTATAAACTTATCGTTACTGAAAGTAGCCCATTTCCTTTTCACAAAACATCATGCTAGAAAATTCATTCTTGTATTGAGCAATGTCTCTTACATTATAAAAAATAAAAGCAAAATGAGATCTTAATCATCAAGTTAAATGTTCCCATTTTACATCTGTAAAATGAACAACTCTGTTATGAATTTTATCAGCACTAGGACTAGAACCCAGTTTCTCTCACTCCTATTCTAGAGCATTTTCCACTATAATATGCGTCCACTCTCTGGTAGGAAAAAAACACATAAATTGTTTTTCCTCTGCTCTCATATCACAACAATCAGCACAGACTACTTCTGTGGCCAAAGGTGTGGTGCCTTTTTTTTTTTTTCACACACCAAGCAGCAGACACCAGCTGGGTGTGAGTGTCCTCTAATTTAATTCAATTCTGACACTATCTATCTGGTTATAATCTCAGATCCTACAGGTTGAGGACTCAGTCCCATAAGACTACCCCCTCTTCAGATGCCAATGGCAAGTCTAGGCCTCCAGACCTTCTTGAAACTTGAACAGTTTCAAGTTGGGGTTCTCACAACTCCCTATTTGGGTTCAACTAATTTGGTAGAGCAACCCACAGAACTCAGGAATAACACTTCATTGGTTTATTGCAAAGTATACAGATAAGAGATGCACAGGGCAAGATACGGGGAAAAGGTCACAGAGCTTCCATGTCTTCTCTGTGTGGACACCTCTCCCAGAACCTCCATGGGTTCAGCTGTCTGTAAGCTCTCCAAACCCTGTCCTCTCGGGTTTTTATGGAGCCATCATTGATTAAACCATTGGTCATTGATGATCAAGGGGTGTCAACCCCTCTCCCCTCCCCACGGATCGGAGGATGAGACTGAAAGCCCCAACCCTCTAATCATAGCTTGGTATTTCAAGTGACCAGCCTCCATCCTGAAGCTACCTAGAGGCTGCCAGCCACTAGTCAACAAAATGACAAGACTTTGAAGATTCCAAGGATTTTAGGAGTTGTATGCCATCAAATGGAGTTGTAGACCAAATATATATTTCACAGTATCACACACCCATTAGGCTCAGATATGGAAGCCTTCTACCTGAAAGTCCTTCTGAAATTTAAAAGCAATATTTATGTTCCCCACCTTTTCCCCACTCTTTTTCTAGGCTTTCCCAAGGTAACACTTCCCGTTTTTCATGTGGCATAATTGTTGAAGATGAACTCTCTCTCTCTCCCCACCAGTCTCCCAGCTTTGGTTTCCTTGTGCATGCCTCCTTTAAAGCATGGTATTTATATATTAACACACTATTCCAGTGCAGTGTAGTGTATGAGTAGGCCTATCACCTCATCTGAACATAGCCTGAGATTACACTGATTGTTTTTGTGGCAGTCACACGTGCTGCTTTTAGCCACATCTTTCGCTTTTCCTTTAGCTAATTTACTGATCTAATTCTAAGACATCACATTTATTTCTGCTATATATCACATCAGACTTCCAATATGGTGATATCCCTTAATTCTATATCTATCACCCAAAAGATAAGCTTGCCTTACTACTTTCCTCCTCTTTTCTCTAGAGAGAATATTATCAATTTTTTAATTGTAGCAAAGAATGAAATATGTACTTACTAAGAGATCAAGAGCACCACCCATATTATTACACATCCAACATTCCCACTACTCCCAATTTGAAATATACTCCCCCAATCTCTTTTAAGGAATTATTGAATCAGTCAAGTTGTGCTAACCCTAACACGGGGGCTGGCTGAGAGGTTTCATGATGACTTAGTGGCCAATTTAATGCTTACAAATTCAATTTATTGTGAGGTTTTCACACATCAACAATCATGCAAATATATCCAACACTCACAGGCAATAGCTCAGGAGACCAGCATTTTGACCAACAGGCAGGTTCAGTTTTTTTCCTGGGAGTACCAATCCATGGTGGTGGGGAAAGGGAAGGGTCACTGCTTTTTTCCCAACCAAGGCTCTGGCGACTGCAGCTGTGGAAAAGGAGCCCTCAAGATTCTCACTGGCAGAGATCCTGGAGACATTCACCACGATCAGTCGCATTGTGGTTTTTATGGCCCTCTGCAGAAGTGTCCATGGCCATTATCTTCATTTGCCTTTTGGCTTCAGTTTCTTTTCTGATTTCAGGGGCGCCTGGCCACAGTAGGTGTCATCTTATCACCTAAGTCTACTATGCATATGCTTAACATTCAGAGGGGTCAGCAATTTCACCGTAAGCTGAGTCACTTGTCATAAGTGACTCCATTTAGAGACATTTAGGATTATAAAACATTATTATATATTAGACATTCAGGGAGATTCTTCAGTCTAATGCTCCTGATTGACTACTCTCAAAGGGTGCCTGGGACATGAACAATTAAATAATGACTGAGGAGTCTTGCAATGTGGAACACATATGGTAGAAAATGCTTAGTTGAAACAGGATAAATTTCAAATAAAGGTTTTTCAAGATCTATAGATTACCAGTTTGAACGTCTCCTTGGAGAACAAATGGGGTACTATCATAAAAATACTCTTGGCACATAAATGTGAGTACTTCATTAGCAAGCATAAACTATTGTTTCACTAAGACTACCATGGCAAATAAAATAAGATACAAACAAATTAAGACAATACAAGTTTAAAGAAGACGGTTCTCACCCAGGCATTATATCTATAAAGTCCTTTCTAGATAGACTCCCAGGCACTATTTTTAAGCTTAGCCATCAGGAAGCTCTTAAAACCTGTCTGGATAATATGTTGAGAAAAGTAAATAAAAGTGCTTTATAAACACTGCAGAATTGCCATAAAAGAAAGGAAGCCTCAGAGGTTAAACAGAAAGTAAAAGCAGGAATCCCAAGCAGAAGAGGAAGCCAAAGCTAGATTTTGCTCTGTGTTTCTCGTCACTGTTGTTGGTGGTGTTTTTGTTTTGTTAATGCTATGGAAGATTTTAGCTTAGGCCACAGTAGCTGTATAAATTCAGGGACATAAAAGGAAGTATAAGGCCTGCTCGAGATTGAATGTCTAACAAGAGATCTCCCACATAAAACTGGAAACTTAAAGTTTACATCCAGTAAAAGAGTAAAAGAGAAACCTGTCATATGGAATGGGTTAGAAAGGAAATTGTCTACCTCAAACCTGGTATTAGGTAAGTGAAGACAAAACATCCCCTGAAAGAATTCAAATCCACCAAGAAACCATCATGGCAGATGAAGTCCAAATTCAGCTAGTTGTATGATACAAAAATCCTCAAGCAAACAATTTAATTGAATAGGCTGCTATATTGGCAGTTTTCACAAGTGAATGACAAAGGCAAAGATAAATTCTTGGGGAATAAAGGAAGTCTAACACATAGTTATATTAAAATAATCAGTATACTGTCCAAAAATCATAAATCGCAGTATAAGGTAGAACTAATAGGAAAAATAAAATAGACTACAGAGTTAAACCTATAATAACTGGATTTATCTAATACTAGAAAACAAAAAGAAATACATATAATTCATGTATATAAAGAAATAAAAAGAGAAATTTGAAAATAGGATAGGACGGAGAAAAAGGAGATATTATAGTGTTCAAGCATATTTTTAAAACTGTAAGTAAAACTTCTGAAAATTAAAAATAAAACAATTGAAATAATGAAATGTAAACTTTTGGGTTTAAAAAACATATTAAAAAGTGTATATGTATAAACTCATATTAAATGTAGATGATGGGAGAACTACTGACCTAGAATATGTCTTTAAAAATTATCTAGAATTACGTTGTATCACCTCAGAGAGAAACGAGTTAAAATTATATCAAGTAGGTTTCCTAACTTAATAAAATAAAACAAGAAATAAATAACTACAAAATACTTGGAAAATTTGCAAATATTTTGAAATTAAATAACAGGAGTCAGATAGAAAATTCGAAAGGAAATTAGAAAATATTTTGATCTGGATTAAACAAAATGATAATGTATCAAAACTCGTGAGAGGCAGTTCAAGCAGTATTTTGTACTTGTGCAGTTCAAGCAGTATTAAGTATTTGCCCTTATCTTCTGTTGGGAGAATTATATAGGAGAGCATGGTTTATGTAGATGTGGTATTACAGAGACTGGATAAAGGATGTATTATTCAAGTAATGATTCTGGGGAAAATGGATATCCATGTGGAAAAAGTAAAATTATATCTCCTTCCCACAACATAAAAAAATCAATGTGGCCAGGCATGGGGCCCATACTTGTAATCTCAGCACTTTGGGAGGCTGAGGCAGGAGGATCACTTGAGGTCAGGAGTTCATGACCAGCCTGGCCAACATGGTGAAACCCCATCTCTACTAAAAAATACAAAAATTAGCCAGGTGTGGTGGCAGGCGCCTGTAATCCCAGCTACTCAGGAGGCTGAGGCACGAGAATTGCTTGAATTCGGGAGGTGGAGGTTGCCATGAGCCAAGATTGTGCCATTGCACTCCAGCCTGGGGGACAAGAGCGAAATTCTGTCTCAAAAAAAAAAAAAAAAAAATCAATGTGAAAGCCAAAAATACAAATGGTTTTCAAACTTTAGTGTGTGTCAGAATTATCTAGAGACCTTGTTAAAACACAGATTTTTAGGCCTCTTATATGGAAGTTCTCTTTGACTAGGCTTGAGGTAGGACTGAAGTATTCGCATTTTTAACAAGTTCTCAGGTGATGCTGATGCTGCTGATCTAGGTGTAACATTTCAAAAACCATTGCTTTGGCCGGGCGCGGTGCCTCACGCCTGTAATCCCAGCATTTTGGGAGGCTGAGGCAGGTGGATCGCCTGAGGTCAGGAGTTCGAGACCAGCCTGGCCAACATAGTGAAACTCCATATCTACTAAAAATACAAAAAATTAGCTGGGCATGGTGGCGGGCGCCTGTAATCCCAGCTACTAGGGGGGCTGAGGCAGGAGAATTGCTTAAACCCAGGAGGCAGAGGTTGCAGTGAGCCGAGATTGTGCCATTGCATTCCAGCCTGGTCAACAAGAGCGAAACTGCATCTTAAAAAAAAAAAAAAAAAAAAATCCAAAAAACATTGCCTCTAAACTTTTATAAAAATGGGAAAATATATTTACAACCTTGAGGTAGGGGAAGAACTTCTTAACTAGAACCCAAATGTCAAGCCATAAAGGAAATGATTGATAAGTTCAACTATGTTAAAACATAAAAGCAGATTTGTTTATCAAAGACACATGAGAGTTAAAACACAAGCCTAAATCTATGAAAATATTTGCATTATATACAACAGACAAATAATTATTATTCAGAACATTGAAAGAACTCCTATATATTAATTTCTGAAAGCCTGTCAACCTATTGGAAAAATGCAGAGAAAAAATGAGTAGATATTCCACAGTAAAAAAAAAAATTAGCCTATGAAAATATGAAACATGATCAACCTTATTAATAACAAATGTAATAAAAATTAATCATGGTAAATTAAAATTTAAAACCACAAGTTTGGTGAAAATCTAAATGTCTGACAACATCAAGTTTTGGCAACAACACAAAGCAATGGGAAATTTCATACCTTGCTGATGGAACAGTAAATTTTTATGTAATAAAAGGTTGACACTATTTGGTAAAGTTAAACATGTGAATGCCTTATGACCCAACAATACTCCTAGGCATTTCTCTCAAGATATACTACCAGAGGACACAAACAAGAAAGTTCATAACAACAATGTTCATGACAGCAAAATGTGAATACAATCCAATAGTTCATCAACAGTTGACAGGTTAAAGAAATTTTGTCATACTCATATAATGGAATACAATAGAGCAGTAAAACATTTTAATGAATCACAGCTACAGCCATCGCTATGCATGAATCTCCAATATATAATTTTGAGCAACAGAAGCATGTCACTGATGGATATATATAGTATTGCAATATTTATATAAAGTTCAAAGTCAAGTAAATATGAATAATATGTTATTCAGGATTGCACTTATAAGTATTAAAATATTTTTAAAAACCAAGAGAATCACTAATGTAAATTTGAGGATTGTGGTTGCCTCTGCAGTGTAGCACATGTGATGTGATTAGGAAACAATATAAAGGAACGTTCATTCAAAATGGCTGACTAGAGTCATCTCTTGCTTTCCTCCTTTACTGAGAAGAACCAAAATAGTTACTAATCATAACTCAAATATATCATCCAAGAGAGAACACTGGAATTCAATAGATTAAAAAAGTGACTGGAAACACCTAAAACAAGGAAAGAGAGGGAAGAGAGGCAGCCTGCTTGGCTGGAATTGGCTGGGAGCCAGGAAAGACTCTTTAATATAGGGAAAAAGTAAGTGAGACTTCCATAGTGTTCCACATTCTCATCCTGGACTCCTGCAATCCTACTCATGGAAGAACCCCTTGACTCTTGTGGGCCCTAAAACTAACATAGGGAGCTTCCAGGAGATTATGCAATGGCATGGCTATAGAAAAAGAGGTCACACTGGGTCCCAAATATTTCTCAAGGCTGAAATAGCTACAGCAAGGTATCATTTTGAAGCCTAAACCCAAGCAGACTGCACGGTCCTGTGGCTCATTGGCACTGGGGCTGAAGCACCAGCAAAGCATAGGCTGCTACTGCTTGAGCTGAGGCATGAGCTAGGAGTGGGCTGTACAGATGGAAGAGAGGTGCAAAGAAACAAGTTGTAAGCTGTCACCACTAGGGATGATGAGTGATCACCACTGAAGCTGAGGCACAGGTGAGGTGTGCATTCCCCAACAGCTGGATTAGGCTGCCAACACTGAAAGCTGCACTGGCCTATTCAGTGGCAGAGCTGCAGTATGCCTGCTACCACACCTAATCCAAGCACTCTACCTGGCAGCTGAGGATAGTCCAGCCCATGCCTACAATGGCTGGTGCCCACACACACCACCAGGGGCCTGAAGAAAAGTCTGCTGGCCCAGCCTCACTCTCTCATGCCATAGCACACAGTCCAGAGGCCTGATGATTGCCCAGACCAGCCTGCCACCATTGGCACCTGAGCAATCCCCCCATGGGACTGAGGCTGGGCCTACTCACCCACCAACTACCAACACAACTGGCATCTACCTTCATATTACACCTGTGGGCCTGGAGACTGGCCCATATAGTCCATTGCAGCCACCACCAATACCATTATGCACAGTTCTAAACTCAGAGGTTCACCTTGACACTGCTGTTGCCATTACCCACACCACACTGTCTGCCCAGGGGCCTGAGAACACGCTCACTCACCTGGCCTACTGTTGCCAATACTGGCATGCAATCAAGCCACCTGGAGGCCCAAGAATCTGCCTGCCTGGACCAATTGAACTTACTGCCAGCATATGACTCCCTGGGGCCCAAGAATAGGCATGCTCAGCCCACTGTAGTCACCACTGCAACCTGAAGACTGACCCACCTGGTATCCTAGTCTCCAGAAAGACTTCACCTCAGCCTCCACTAATAACTGCACCCTAAGTCACCAAGGAAATTACAGATGCTACTGACACTGTTTAGTCAAATGAATCATACAAATACTGCACTACTGCATGAACCCAGAATCAAACCCAAAGTGCCCTACCCAGCCGACACCATAGATACATCTTGAGAAAAAAAAATCCTCCTCTATGAAAGCAAATTTAAAAGCTTGGAAGAAGTGACAATCACAACAGATGTGCAGATATCAATGTGAGGACATAGAAAACATCCAAAAAAGAGAGAAAATATAATATATCCAAAGCAACAAAATAATTCTTCATCAACAGATTCTAATCAAAAAGAAATTTATGAAATTCTGGAAAAGTAATTCAAACTATTGCTGTTAAAGGAGTTAAGTAAAATACAAGAAAATTGTGAAAAATAATAAAAAGAAATAAGAAAAAACAATTCTGCACATAAATAAACAAATTACCAATAGAGATCTCTATTTGATACACACACACACACACACACACACACACACACACACACATATATATATCTCATAAAAAAGAACCAAATAGAAATTCTGGAAATGAAGAATTTATTAAATGTAATACAAAATATATTTGAAAGCTTTAACCATAGACCAGATCAAGTAGAAGAAAAAAATTCTCAAAACTTAAATATAGGTCTTTTGAAATAACCAAGTCAGGCGAAAATAAATTTTAAAACACTAAAAAGAATGAGCAAAGCCTTGGAGGCACATGAGACACTACAAAGTGATAAAATATTCAAATTATCACTATCCTAGCAGGCAAAAAGAGAACAAAAGATTTAGAAAACCTATATAACAAAATAATAAATAAAACTTCCCAAGTTTAGCAAGTAATTTAGATATCCAGAAACGAGAAACTCAGATATTCCAAACAGATACAATGAAAAAAAGGATTCTTTACGGCAAATCATATTCAAACTGTCTAAAGTCAAAGACAAAATAGAATTTTTAAAACAGCAAGAGAAAAACAACTAGCCACCTATAAAGACGCCCCAATTAGGCTAAACGTGGACTTCTCAGCAGAAAACTTACAGGCCAGGAGAGAATGAGATGATGTATTCTAAGTGAAAAACAAACAAACAAACAAACAAAAACACTGCCAGTTAAGGATACTATATCCAGAAAAATTATCTTTCATAAATGAAGGAGAAATACAATCTTTCCCAGACAAGCAAATACTGAGAGAATGCATCACCATTAGATTGGTTCAACAAGAAATGCTCAAGGGTATTCCTAAACCTGGAAGCAGAACAACATTTACCATCATAAATACACATAAAACTAAACTATAAAGCTAACTGGTAAAGAAAAAATACAAATAGGTACAAGGAAAGACTGAAATGGTACTATTAAAGACAACCACCAAATCACAGTGATAAACAAGGAGAAAAAGAAAGTTACAAAGTACATAAACAACAACCAGAAAATAATCAGCAATATGACATAAATGAAACCTCACATATTAATAATAACCTTGAGTATAAATGAATTAACTTTTCTCCACTTAAGATATAGACTGAATGTATAATAGGACATGATGCAACTACATGCTGCTTACAAGAAATGCACTTTACCTGTGAAGACACATATAGACTCAAAGTAAAGGGATGGAAAATGACATTTCATGCAAACAGAAACCAAAAGTGAGTAGGATTAGCTCTACATGTATCAGATAAGACAGAATTTAAGTCAACAACAGTAAAAAAAAAAAAAAAAAAAGGACAAAGAAAAACATTATGTAGTGATAAAGGTATCAATTCAACAAGAGGATGCAACAAATCTAAGTATATATGTACCTAATTCTGGAACACCTAGATTCATGAAGCAAATAGTCCTAGACTCAATAAGATAGATGGACTCTAATACTATAATAGAAGAGACTTCAACACCCCACCTTCAGCATTAGACAGATTATCTACATGGACATTCAACAAAGAAATATTGTATTTAAACAGAACTTTAGACCAAATAGACCTAGCAGACATTTACAAAAAATATTAACCAACAACAGAATACATATTCTTCTAGCCAGCACGTGGAACATTCATCAGAATAGACTATATGTTAGGCCACAAAAAAAGTCTGAACAAATTTTTAAAAATCAAAATCACATCAAGTATAGTCTCAGACCACACTAAAATAAAACTAGAAATCAATACTGAGAGAAATGTTGGAAACTCCAAGTACATGCAAATTAAACAACATGCTCCTAAACGGCCATTGGCTCAATGAAGAAATTAAGACAGAAATCAAAAAAAGCATTGAAACAAATAAAAATGGAAACAAGATATATCAAAAAGTATGAGATATAGCATAAGCTGTGCTAAGAGGGAAGATTATAGCAATAAACTGATACATCAAAAAAGTACAAAGATTTCAAGAAAACAATGTAATGATGCACCTCAAGGAACTAGAAAAGCAAGAATAAACTGAATCCAAATTAGCAGAATACAAGAAATCATAAAAATCAGAGTAGAACTAAACAAAACAAGAAATAAAAATAAAAAGGATCAATGAAACAAAAAATTATTTTTTCAAAAAGACAAATAAAATTGATAAACTGCTAGCTAGACTAAATGAGAAGAGGGAAGACCAAAATAAACAAAATCAAAAATAGAAAAGGCAATATTTCAACGGATACCACAGAAATACAAAAGATTTTTAGACACGATTATGAACAATTATCTGCCAATAAACTGGAAAACCTAGAGGAAATGGATAATTTTCTTGATGCATACAACCTACCAGGATTGAATCAGGAGAAATACAAAACCTGAACAAATAAATAATGAGTAGCGAGGTTGAATCAACAATATAATGTCTTCCAACAAAGAAAAGTTCAGGATCAGATGAATTCACTGCCACATTCTACCAAACATGTAAGGAAGAAATAATAGCAATCCTCCTGAAACTATTCCAAAAAAATTGAGGGGGAAGAAATTCTCCCTAACTCATTCTAAAAAGCCAGCATTATCGTTATACCAAAACCAGAGAAGTACACAACAACAACAAACCACAGGCCAAAATTCCTGATGAACATCGATGCAAAAATCTTTAGCAAAGTACTGGAAAGCTGAATCCAACAACAAATCAAAAAGATAATACACCATGATCAAGTGGGATTTTTACCAGCAATGCAAAGGTGGTTCGACATGCAAAAATCAATGAATGTGATACATCACATCAAGAGAATGAAGGTCAAAAACTGTATCATCATCTCAATAGACACAGAAAAAGCATTCGATAACATTCAACATCCCTTCATGATAAAAATTCTCAACAAACTAGGCATAGAGGGAACCTACTTCAAAATAATAAAGGCAACAGATGACAAATCTACAGCAAACATCATACTGAGTGGGGAAAACATGAAAGCCTTTCTTCTAAAACTAGAACAAAACAAGGATGCCCACTTTTACCACTACTATTCAACATAGTACTGGAAGTTCTAGGAAAAAAAAAAAACAGGCAAGAGAAAGAAATAAAAGGCATCCAATAGAAAAACAGTAAGTTAAACTGTCCCTCGTTGCAGATGATATGATCTTATATTTAGGATAACCAAAAAACTGTACTAAAACATTCTTAAAACTGATAAATTTAGTAAAATTGCAAATTACAAAATTCACATGCGAAAATTAGTAGCCTTTCTTCACATCAACGTTGAAATAGCCAGAAAAAAATAATCAAGAAGACAGCTCCATTTACAATGAAACAAAAAGTAAAATATTTAAGGATAAAGTTAACCAAGGAGGAGAAAGATTTCAACAAGGAAAACTACAAAATGCTAAGGAAAAAATTTGAAGATGACACAAAGAAATGGAAAGACACCCCATGCTCATGAATTCAAAGATTAACATTACTGAAATAACCATAGTGCTGAAAGCAATCTACAGATTTAATGCAATTCCTATTAAAACACCAGTGTCATTTTTATAGAATTAGAACAAAATCCTAAGTTTTTTTATAAAATAAAAATAATTCAGAATAATCAATGCAATCCTGAGGAAAAAGAACAAAGCTAGAGGTATCACACTATTTGACTTCAAAATACAAAATAAGGCTACAGTAACCAAAACAGCATACGATTGGTACGAAAAAGACACATAGATCAATGGAACAGAATAGAGAACCTAGAAATAATGCCACATATTTACAGCCAATTGATCTTTGACAAGCCTGTCAAGAACACGCATTAGTGAATGAGAAAGAAATAGAAGGTACCCACTTCAATAAGTGATGCTGGGAAAACTGGAAACCCATATGAAGAAAAATGAAAATGGAGATAGAGATTCGAATGATAGATACTAGAGGCTAGGAAGGGGGTGTGGATGGCAGGGGGATGAAAAGAGTTTTGTTAATGTGTAAAAGTGTACAGTTAGGCAGAACAAATAAATTGTGATGTTTAGTAGTAGAGTCACTACAGTTAGCAAGAATATGTTGTGTACTTCAAAGTAGGTAGAAGATTTGAAATGTTACCAACATGTGAAATGATACTCAAGGTGATGGATATTCCAAATACCCTGACTTGATCATAATACATTTTATGCATGTAACAAATACTCACAGGTATCCCAAAAATATGTAAAATATTATGTATCAATAAAAGAAAAAAATAAAGGGACACTACATTACTGGTATTCTTCAGTTTCTTAAGCTGGAGCAGGGAACTTGGACGTTCTTGATTTTTATCATTCTACAGACTACACAATGCATTGCACTTTTTTGCATTTAATTAATAGTAAAATAAAATTATAGTATCCGCCTCTTGCCTTCCAATTCAAATCAAAAGTTTCTGGCATGTTTTCTAGGCCCTAAATAATCTGATCATTCTCTACCAAATTATTTTCTACTATTTCCTGGCATTTAGCTTACCTTCCATGTATTTCTTATGCTATTTCTCTTACCTTGAATATTCTCATTTCTTCCCATCTAAACCAAACCCACTATATTTTTATGAAAATATTTTTATTTATATTTAAAATTTAAAAATATAGATCACAAAATGACAGACTAGACATAGACAGGAAGAGCTTCTCCCACCAACAGACAAACCATGAATAAGACTGGCACACTCTGGACAGATATTTAAAAAGAGGCATTGAGAATGGACAGGTGGAAGCTGGAGTACCTGAGCTGAAAGGGGAAGAAACTGAGAACTCTGCAGAGGGTTGTTGAGCACCAGGATTATTCCTGGCCCTGAGTGGCTCCTGGGGAAAGGGTGAGTAAAATAGGCATGGAGTGGCACATTCTCACCATGGAAGTCTAGAATTATAGCTACAGGAGACTCCATAACTGCCATGGACATTTGAGCTGGCATGGAGAACTTTCTGGAGAGTTGGCAGAGACAGATCTCCAGCCTGCATGCAGCTCAGAGGGGTTCCTTTGGAAGAGTTTACAGTGGAGCACAGTCATGAGTACCCATCCCCCAAGGCTTGCCATATTCCTCTAAGTAGCTTTAGACTTCGTTTGCTGCCAGACCTTGACAGAGCAGGGCTATCTTGCCTATGAGATGGAGCCATGCTGATTTGAACACTTCCTGGTCTCCTGGTCTGTCCCAGGATCCCTGCCTGGCTGCACAAGCTTGCAGCATGGCCTCTGCTCCTGAGGTGAGTCAAGTGCTAGTGGCTACCACCATAGCTCGTTCTCCAGCAGACCCCACCTAACAGTCAGAGAACTTCTGCGGGTATGCCTCTTCTGGTGCATACTCACCTGCAGCCCTCCACTGCCAGTGTGCACTCACCCACAGACTCCTTCCAAGGTTTTGCTGGTGCACAAATATGCACTGAACCCACTATGCCTTGTCACGCAACTACCCTGTCAAAGTGCTTTTGCCTGCGCCCCCCATTGGAGTGTTGTTCCTACCAGACTGGGAACAGTTTGGCCCCTCAAGCACAGCAGGTGCTTAAACTCAAGAAGCCAGAGGAAAAAACCTTGGGCCTTGTCCCAGCCCTCCACGGTTAGAGCACGCAGCCCAGGAGTGCTGAGCTGAGCCTTGGCCCCTTGAAATCATCCAGAAATTAAGCCAATTTACTAAACCCATCTCATACCACTGTTAAACCCTCAAGGGCATCAAAGAAAATAAAAGCAAAAAGCCCCATCCGAAGGACAACAACTTCAAAGATTAAAGGAACATCAGCCCACACAGATGACAAACAACCAGTGCAAGAACTCTGGCAACTCTAAAAGGTAGAATGTCTTCCTGTCTCCAAATGACTGCACTAGCTCCCCAGTAATGGTTTTAACCAGATTGAAATGGCTGAAATGACAGGAATAGAACTCAGAATCTGGATGACAGTGAAGATCATCTAGATCCAGTAGAAAGTTGAAACCCAATCCAAGAAATCTAGGGAAACCAATAAAATGATACAAGAGCTGAAAGATGAACTAGCCATTTTAAGAAAGAACAAAACTGATCTTCTAGAGCTAAGACACTACAGGAATTTCATAATATGATAAGAAGTATTAACAGCAAAATAACCAGGATAATTAAAGAATCTTACAGCTCAAAGACCAGTTCTTCAAATCAACTTAGTGAGACAAAAATAAAGAAAAAATGAACAAACCCTCTGAGAAATATAAAATTATATTAGAGACCAAACCTAGGATTCATTGGCATCCCAGAATGAGAGAGAGAGAGAGATCAAACAACTAGGAAAACATATTTGAGAATATTGTCCAGAAAAATTTCGCCAACCTCACCAGAGAGGTTGACATGAAAATTCAGAAAATTCAGACAACCTTAGTGAGACACTACATAAGGCAACCATCTCCAAGAAACATACCAGCCAAATTACACAAGGTCAATCTAAAACAAAAAAATATTAAAGGCAGTTAGAGAGAAGGGGCAAGTCAGCTATGAAGGGAACCCCATCAGGCTAACAGTGGACCTTTTAGTAGAAACCTTACAGGTCAGAAAAGATTTGGGGTCCATATTCAGCACTTTGAAAGAAATAATATTCCAACCAATAATTTTAATAATATTCAGTCAAACTAAGCTTCTATGTGAAGGAGAAATAAAATCTTTTTCAGATAAGCAAGTGCTAAGGGGATTCATTACCACCAGACCTGCCTTGTCAGAGAGTGAGGTAAGGGACTCACTCAAGGGCGTGATAAACATGGAGGGAAAAGACTGTTACCTGCCATCACAGAAATACACTTAAGCATATAGCCCACAGGCAGTATAAAACAACTGTACAATTAGGTCTACATAGCAACTAGCTAAAAACATAATGACAGGACCAAATCCTCACATGTCACTATTAACTTCGAATGTAAATGGGCTAAACACCCCACTGAAAAGTCACAGAGTGGCAAGTTGGATAAAGAAGCAAGACCCAACTGTATGCTGTATTCAAGAGACCCATCTCACTTGCAGTGACACTGATAAGGATCAAAGTAAAGTGATAAAGAAAAATCTACCAAGCAAATGGAAACAAAACAAAACAGAAAAAAGTAGCATTGCTATTCTAATTTTAGACAAAATAGACTAAATCAACAATGGTAAAAAAAAGACAAAGAGGGGCATTACCTAATGATAAAGGGTTCAATTCAATAAAAATACTTAATTATCCTAAACATATATGCACCTAATGCTGGAGCACCCAGATTCACAAAGAAAGTTCTTAGAGACCTACAAAGGGACTTAGATAACCACACAATAATAGTGACAGACTTCAAAACCCCACTGAGAGTGTTACATAGATCATTAAGGCAGAAAACTAACAAAGATATTTAGGATCTAAACTTGACACTTGATCAAATGGATCTAGCAGATATCTACAGAACACTCCATCCAAAACATCAGAGTATACATTTGTCTCATCTGCACACAGCACATACACTAAGATCAACCACATGCTGGGCCATAAAGCAATTCTCAACAAATTTAGGAAAACCAAAATCATATCAACCACAGTCTTGGACCACAGTGCAATAAAAATACAAAGCAATGCCAAGAACATATCTCAAAACCATACAATTGCATTAACATTAAATAACCTGCTCCTGAATGACTTTTGAGTAAAGAATGAAATTAATGCCAAAATCAAGAAATTTCTTGAGAAATTTTTTGAAACTATCGAAAACAAAGATACAGCATACCAGAATATCTGGGACACAGCTAAAGCAGTGTTAGGGAGAAAGTTTATAGTGCTAAATACATCCATTAAAAAGAAAGTTCTCAAATTGACAATCTAACATCATGCCTACTGGACCCAGAAAAACAAGAGCAAACTAACCCCAAAGCTAGCGGAAGAAAATAAATAACCAAAATTAGAGATGAACTGAATAAAACTGGCACATGAGAATCCATACAACTAACCAATGAAACCAAGCTTGGATTCTTTAAAAGGATAAAATGACATTGATAGAGAGATAACTAGAATAATAAAAAAAGAAAAGATCCAAATAAAGACAATAAAAAATTACAAAGGTGACTTTACCACCAACCCCACAGAAATACAAAAATCCTGTATAGATTATTACAAACACCTCTATGTGCACAAACTAGAAACCCCAGAAGAAATGGATAAATTTCTGGAAATATACAATCTATTAACATTGAATCAGGAAGAAATGGAATACCTGTACAGACCAATAACAAGTTTTGAAATTGAATTAGTAACAAAAATCCTACCAACCAGGAAATGTCCTGGGACAGACAGATTCATAGCCAAATTCTACCATATATATAAAGAAGAGCTAGTAACAATCCTACTGGAAGTATTCCAAAAGAATTGAGGAGGAGAGACTCCTATCTCATCCTATGAGACGAGCATCAGTCTAATACCAAAACCTGGCAGAGACACAACAAAAAAAGAAAACTTCAGGCCAAAACGCCTGACTAATGTAGATGCAAAAACCCTCAACAAAATATTAGCAAACCAAATCCGACAGCACATCAAAAAGCTAATCTCCCATTATCAAGTAGGCTTTATTCCTGGGATGCAAGGTTGGTTGAACAGACACAAGTCAATAAGTGTAATTTATCATATAAACAGAGCTAAAAACAAAAACCTCATGATCATCTCAATGGATATAGGAAATTTTCAATAAAATTCAGCATCCCTTTGTGTTAAAAACCCTCAACAAACTAGGCATTGAAGGAATATACATCAAAATAATAAAAGCCATCTATGTAAAACCCACAGCCACCATCATACTGAACAAGCAAAAGCTGGAAGCACTCCCTTTGGGAACCAGAACAAGACAAGGATGCCTACACTCATCACTCCTATTCAACATGGTACTGGAAGGAAGACCAAACCAGAGAAATCAGGCAAGAGAAAGAAATAAAAGGCAAAATAGAAAGAGAGGAAGCTGAAGTACTTCTCATTATGGATGATATGGTTCTACACCTAGAAAACCCCATAGTCTCTGCCCAAAGGCTTATAGAACTGATGAACAACTTAAGTAAAGTTTCAGGATAAAAAAATCAATGTACAAACATGAGTAGCATCTCTATACACCAATAATGCCTGAGCTGAGCCAAATTCAGAATGCAATCCCATTGATAATAGCCACAAAAATTATAAAATACCTAGGAATACAGTTAATCAGGGAGGGGAAAAATTTGTACAATGATAATTATAAAACGCAACTGGAAAAAAATTAAACACTACACAAACAAATGGAAAAACATTCTATGTACACAGTTAGGATGAATCAGTATTGTTAAAATGGCCATATTGCCCAAAGCAATTTATAGATTCAATGCTATTCCTATCAAAATATCAACATATTTTTTTCTCACAGGATTAGAAAAAACCACTCTAAAATTGATACAGAATTAAAAAGGAGCCCAAATAACCAAAGCAATCCTAAGCAAAAGAACAAAGCCAGATACATCACATTACTCAACTTCAAACTAGACTATAAGGCTATGGTAACCAAAACAGCATGATACTGATACAAAAACAGTCACATAAACCAATGGAATGGATTAGATAACCCTGAAATAGATCCACACATCTACAGCCATCTGATCTTTGACAAAATTGACAATAACAAACAATGGGAAAAGGATTCCCTATTCAATAAATGGTGCTGAGATAACTGGCTAGCCATATGCAGATGATTGAAACTGGACTGCTTTCTTTCACCATATATAAAAATCAAGTCAAGATGGATTAAATACTGAAATGCAAGACCTGAAACTATAAAAATTCTAGAAGAAAACCTAGGTACTACCACTCTGGACATAGAGCAAATATTTCATGACAAAGACTCCAAAAGCAATTGCAACAAAATCAAAAATTGACAATTGGGATCTAATTAAATTAAAGAGCTTCTGCATAGCAAAATAAACCACCAAGAGAGTGAACAGACAACCTACAGAATGGGAGGAAATATTTCCATTTGGTGCATCCAATGAAAGTCTAATATCCAGAGTCTATAAGGAACAAGCAAAGAACAATAACCTCATTTAAAAATGGGCAAAGGACATGAACAGACACTTCTCAAAAGGAGACATACATGTGGCCAACAAACATAAGGGAAGTGCTCAACATCACTAATTATTAGAGAATTTCAAATCAAAACCACAGTGAGATACCACCTCACACCAGTAAGAATGGCTATTAGTTAAAAAGTCAAAAAATGACAGATGTTGGCAAGGTTGCAGAGGAAAAGGAATGTTTGTACATTGCTGGTGGGAATGTGAATTAGTTAAGCCACTGTGGAGAGCAGTTTGGAAATTTCTCAGAAAACTTAAAACAGAACTACCATTTGACCCAGCAATTCCATTACTGGGTATATATCCAGATGAATATAAGTCTTTCTATCACAGTGATCCATGCACACATATGTTCATCTCAACACTACTCGCAATAGCAAAGGCAGAGAATCAACTTAGATGCCTATAAATGGAGGAGTGGATTAAGAAAATGTGGTACATACACTCTATGGAATATATTACACATCCATAAAAAAGAATGAAACCATATTATTTGCAGCACCATGGATGCAGCTGAAGGTCGTTATCCCAAGCAAATTAATGCAGGAATAGATAACCAAATACTGTATATTCTCACTTATCAGTAGGAGCTAAATTTTAAGTATACATGGATATAAAGAGGGGAACAATAGACACTAGGGCTTACTTGAGGGTAGAGGATGGAAAGGGGGTGAGGTTAGTTTCATGAGCGTCCGTGTGAAGAGACCACCAAACAGGATTTTTGTGAGCAATAAAGCTTTTAATCACCTGGGTGCAGGCATACTGAGTCCGAAAAGAGAGTCAACAAAGGGAGATAGGGGTGGGGCCCTTTTATAGGATTTGGGTAGGTAAAGGAAAAAGGGGGGTTGTTCTCTGGCAGGCAGGAGTGGGGGTCACAAGGTGCACAGTAGGGGAGCTTTTGAGCCAGGATGAGCCAGGAGAAGGAATTTCACAAGATAATGTCATCAGTTAAGGCAGGAACAGGCCATTTTCCTTTCTTTTGTGGTGGAATGTCATCAGTTAAGGCAGGAACCGGCCATCTGGATGTGTATGTGCAGGTCACAGGGGATATGATGGCTTAGCTTGGGCTCAGAGGCCTGACATTCCTGTCTTCTTATATTAATAAGAAAAATAAAATGAAATAGTGGTAAAGTGTTGGGACAGCAAAAATTTTGGGGGGATGGTATGGAGAGATAATGGGCGATGTTTCTCAGGGCTGCTTCGAGCAGGATTAGGGGCAGTGTGGGAACCTAGAGTGGGAGAGATTAAGCTGAAGGAAGATTTTGTGGTAAGGGGTGATATTGTGGGACTGTTAGAAGAAACATTTGTCATTTAGAATTATTGGTGATGGCCTGGATATGGTTTTGTATGAATTGAAAAACTAAACAGAATAAGAGAAGGAGAAAAACAGGTACTAAAGGTCTAAGAATTGGGAGGACCTAGGACATTTAATTAGAGAGTGCCTAAGGAGATTCAGCATAGTCCTGCCAGCAAAGATTATTTATTTACTTTAAGAGTTAACAATGGCAGTTTGGGGATAGCACCAGGAGATATCAGCTGTGATGGCTTGGAGAAACAGTGTAAACCGGCAGTGTAAACAAGAGCAGGGCATGTATGAATAGTTGAGAATGGTGAATAGGAGTATGACCAGACAGAAGATAGTAGGGATGACAAGTTTTTTGGGGCACAGTCCAAGTTGGTCTGGTGTCTGGAATGAGACTGGGGCCTAATAAAAAGGAGCGTCCATATAGGAGCTTAAATGGGCTGTACCCTGTAGCATTCTGAGGACAGGCCTGAATTCTGACAAGGGAAAGTGGTAAAAGTATTGTCCAGTCCTTTTTAAGTTGGTAGCTGAGCTTGGTGAGGTGTGTTTTTAAAAGACCATTAGTCTGTTCTATCTTTCCTGAAGACTGAGGACCGTAAGGGATATAAAGGTTTCACTGAATACCAAGAGCCTGAAAAAATGCTTGGCTGATTTGACTAACAAAGGCCGGTCTGCTATCAGAGTGTATAGAGGTGGGAAGGCCAAACTGAGGAATTGTGTCTGACAGAAGGGAAGAAATGACTGCGGTGGCCTTCTTAGACCCTGTAGGAAAGGCCTCTACCCATCCAGGGAAAGTGTCTACCTAGACTAAGAGGTATTTTAGTTTTCTGACTCAGGGCATGTGAGTAAAGTCAATTTGCCAGTCCTGGGCAGGGGCTAATCCTCGAGCTTGATGTTTAGGAAAGGGAGGAGGCCTGAACAATCCCTGATGGATAGTAGAATAGCAAATGGAACACTGAGGAGTGATTTCCTTGAGGACAGATTTCCAGAATGGAAAGGAATTGAGAGGTTCTAAGAGACGGGCTAGTGGCTCATAACCTATATGGAAGAGGTTATGAAATGACGACAGAATAGAATGGGCCTGTGAGGCTGGAAGGAGATATTTTCCTTGGTCTAAGAACCATTTGCCTTGTGTGGGAAGAGATTGACATGTGGAATTTTCAGTGGGGGAGTAGGTAGGAGTGACTGATGTGAAGGAGAAAAACTGGCATGAGGGACAGAAGTTGGAAAGCTAGCTGCTTGTCTAGCCACTTTATCAGCATAAGCGTTGTCTAGAGCAATGAGATCTGATGCCTTTTGATGGCCTTTGCAGTGAATGACTCCAGCTTCCTTTGGAAGTAAAGCGGCCTTGAGCAGAGTTTTTATTAAAGAGGGGTTAATGATGGAGGACCCTTGCATAGTGAGGAAATCTCTTTCAGCCTATATAACAGCATGGTGGTGCAGAATATGAAAGGCATATTTAGAGTCACTATAAATATTGATGAGTAGTCCTTTTGCAAGAGTGAGGGCTTGAGTTAAGGCAACTAGTTCAGCTTGCTGAGAGGCAGTGGAGGGGGGCAGAGCAGTAGCCTCAATGACAGATGTGGAAGATACTATAGCATAGCCTGCCTTTGCTGGTGAGTGGTAATTAGGCCTGGCGGAACTGCCATTAATAAACTAAATGTGATCAGGGTGAGGAACAGGAAAGAAGGAAATATGGGGAAATGGGGTGAATGTCAGGTGGATCAGAGAGATACAGTCATGAGGGTCAGGTGTGGTATCCAGAATAATGTGGGAGGCCGGATTGAAGTCCGGGCCAGGAACAATGGTAATTGTGGGAGACTCAACAAAGAGTGAGTACAGCTGAAGGAGCCGGGGAGCAGAAAGTATAAGTGTCAGGCGTGAGGAAGAAAATAGATTTTGGAAGTTATGAGAACTGTAGAGAGTGAGTTGAGCATAGTCTGTGATTTTAAGGGCCTCTAAAAGTATTAGGGCAGCAGCAGCCACTGCACGGAGGCATGATGGCCAGCCTAAAACAGTAAGGTCAAGTTGTTTGGACAAAAAGGCTACAGGACGCGATCCCGGTCCTTGTGTAAGAATTCCGACTGCACAGCCCTGCACTTTGGGATGAGTTAGGGAGAGCTAGGATGGGGGCAGTCTCTAAAGCTGTCTTCAAGGAACAGAAAGAGGAGTGGGGAAAGGATTTAGGATCTATGGGGCCAGCTTGGTTTCCTTTTGTGAGTTTATATAATGGTTTTGTTAGGATGGCAAAACCAGGTATCTAAAGTCGAAAGTATCTAACCATGCCTAGGAAGGAAAGGAGTTGTTGTTTTGTAGAAGGTGCTGGGGTTTGAAAGATCAGTTGGACACGATGGGCAGGGAGAGCACGTGTGTTTTTATGAGAATTATGCCAAGATAGGTAACAGATGAGGAAGAAATTTGGGCTTGACTGAAGTAATGGGGGCTGTCTGTGAGGCCTTGCGGCAGTACGGCCCAGGTAATTTGCTGAGCCTGATGGGTGTCAGGGTCAGTCCAAGTGAAAGCGAAGAGAGGTTGGGATGAGGGGTGCAGGGGAATAGTGAAAAAAAACATCTTTAAGATTAAGAACAGAATAGTGAGTTGTGGAGGAAGGTACTGAGGACAAAAGAGTGTACGGGTTGGGCACCACAGGGTGGATAGGCAAAACAATTTGGTTGATAAGGCGCAGATCCTGAACTAATCTGTAAGACTTGTCTGGTTTTTGGACAGGTAAAATGGGGGAATTGTAAGGAGAGTTTATAGGTTTTAGAAGCCCATGCTGTAGCAGGCAAGTGATAACAGGCTTTAATCCTTTTAAAGCATGCTGTGGGATGGGATATTGGCATTAAGCGAGGTAAGGGTGATTAGGTTTTAATAGGATGGTAAGGGGTGCATGATTGGTTGCTAAGGAGGGAGTAGAGGTGTCTTATACTTGTGGGTTAAGGTGGGGAGATACAAGGGGAGGATGTGAAGGAGGCTTTGAACTGGGGGAAAAGGTGGCAATGAGGTGTGGCTGTAGCCTAGGAATAGTCAGGGAAGCAGATAATTTAGTTAAAGTGTCTCGGCCTAATAAGGGAACTGGGCAGGTGGGGATAACTAAAAAGGAGTGCTTAAAAGAGTATTGTCTAAATTGGCACTAGAGTTGGGGAGTTTTAAGAGGCTTAGAAGCCTGGCTGCCAATACATACAACAGTTATGGAGGCAAGGGAAACAGGCCCTTGAAAAGAAGGTAATGTGGAGTCTGTAGCTTCCGTATTGATTAAGAAGGGGACAGACTTACCTTCCACTGTGAGAGTTACCCGAAGCTCGGTGTCCATGATGGTTTAGGGGGCTTCCGAGGAGATCCGGCAGTGTCAGTCTTCAGCCGTGAAGCTGAGAAGATCTGGGAAGGAGTCAATCAGAGAGCCTTGGGCCAGAGTTCCAGGGGCTCTGGGAGTGGCCGCCAGGTGAGTTGAACAGTCTGATTTTCAGTGGGGTCCCACACAGATGGGACGTGGCTTAGGAGGAATCCTGGGCTGCGGGCATTCCTTGGCCTGGTGGCCAGATTTCCAGCACTTATAGCAAGCTCCTGGGGGAGGAGGTTCTGGAGGAAGGCCTGGCTGCTGCGGTTCAGGCGTTTGGAAGTTCTTGTGTGCTAGAGATGTGGCTGGGGTTTGTCTCACAGTGGAGGCAAGGAATTGCAACTTTTTTCTATTACTGTACACCTTGAAGGCGAGGTTAATTAAGTCCTGTTGTGGGGTTTGAGGACCGGAATTTAATTTTTGGAGCTTTATTTAAAGTCAGGAGCAGATTGGGTAATAAAATGTATATTGAGAATAAGACGGCCTTTTGACCTTTTGGGGTCTAGGGCTGTAAAGCGTCTCAGGGTTGCTGCCAAATGAACCATGAACTGGGCTGGATTTTTATATTTGATGAAAAAAGAGCCTAAACGCTAACTAATTTTGGGAGAGGTCAGATAAAGAAAAAGGAGCATTCACCTTGACTATGCCTTTAGCTCCAGCCACCTTTTTAAGAGGAAATTGCTGGGCAGGTTGGGGAAGGCTAGTCGAGGAATGAAACTGTAAGCTGGACCAGGTGTGAGGAGGGGAGGTGATAAAAGGATTATAGGGTGGGGGAGCAGAGGCTGAGGAAGAATTGGGACCTGGCTTGGCCTGGCGAGGAGGGGAGAGGTCAGATGGGTCTGTAGAAAAGGAAGATTAGAAAGACTCAGCGACACTTGGGGTTGGGACTGAGGGGACAGGCGGGAGGGAAAGAAGGAGGATTTGGGATGAGTCCCATTGGGAACAGAGACGAGGGAGGGAAAAATGTATAAAAGAATGCCTGGATGTCAGGCACCTCAGACCATTTGCCCATTTTATGATAAGAATTATCTAGATCTTGTACGATGGAAAAATTGAAAGTGCCATTTTCTGGCTATCTGGAACTACTGTTGAGTTTGTATTGGGGTCAAGTGGCATTGTAGAAGAAAATAAGGCATTTAGGTTTTAGGTCAGGTGTGAGCTGAAGAGGTTTTAAGTTCTTGAGAACACAGGCTAAGGGAGAGTAGGGAGGAATGGAGGGTGGAAGCTTGCCCATAGTGAAGGAGGAAAGCCCAGAGAAAAGAGAGTAGAGAGACGGAGGGAAGGGGTTCAGGGGTTCTTACCCTCCAGAAAAGTGGGAGAGGGTTCAGGGCACAGAAATAAGGGGTTGGGGCACAGAGATAAGAGGTCAGAGCGCAGAAATAAGGGATCGGGTTGCAGAGATAAGAGGTCGGGGCATGCAAATAAGGGATCGGGGCACAGAGATAAGAGGTCGGGGTGCAGAAATAAGGGATTGGGGCACAGAGATAAGAGGTTGGGGCATGGAAATAAGGGATCAGGCCACAAAGATAAGGGGTCAGGGCATGGAAATAAGGGATCGAGGGGTTCTTGCCCCCCAGAAAAGCAGAGAAGGGGTAGAGACAGGGAGAGAAGGGGTGGGGTTTCTTGCCTCTCCCCCAGGAAAGCAGGGCTTGCAGCTAAGGTTGAAGGAGCAAGGCAGGCGTCCCTGCGTGGTCAGACACCTCTGAAACGTGGGTGAATAATCAGAGAGCATCCCTGCAGTGATTAAACACCAAGGGAAGGCTGCCTTCCCGAGTCCGTGACCGGCACCGGAGTTTTGGGATCATGGATAAAACGTGTCTCCTTTGTCTCTACCAGAAAATGAAAGGAAATGAAATTAAGAGAAGGGAGAGATTGAAGGGTGGCACCAAGATTGAAAGGAGAAAGTGGTTGAGGGATAGTGAGAGAGGTTGGAGAAGAGAGTAAGAAGAGGCCGCTTACCTGATTTAAAATTGGTGAGATGTTCCTTGGGCTGGTGGGTCTGAGGACCCGAGGTCGTAGGTGGATCTTTTTCATGGAGCAAAGAGCAGGAGGACAGGGGATTGATCTCCTAAGGGAGGTCCCCCAATCCGAGTCACAGCACCAAATTTCATGCGCATCCGTGTGAAGAGACCACCAAACAGGCTTTGTGTGAGCAATAAAGCTTTTCATCACCTGGGTTCAGGCAGACTGAGTCCGAAAAGAGAGTCAGCAAAGGGAGATAGGGGTGGGGCCGTTTTATAGGATTTGGGTAGGTAAAAGAAAAAGGGGGATTGTTCTCTGGCAGGCAGGAGTGGGGGTCACAAGGTGCACAGTAGGGGAGCTTTTGAGCCAGGATGAGCCAGGAGAAGGAATTTCACAAGATAATGTCATCAGTTAAGGCAGGAACAGGCCATTTTCCTTTCTTTTGTGGTGGAATGTCATCAGTTAAGGCAGGAACCAGCCATCTGGATGTGTATGTGCAGGTCACAGGGGATATGATGGCTTAGCTTGGGCTCAGAGGCCTGACAGTTAGAAAAACTACCTATTGGGTATTATGCTGATTACCTGGGTTATAAAAGCATTTGTACACCAAAACCCAGTGACACACAATTTACTCATGAAACAAAACTGCACATGTACCTCCTAAACGTAAAATAAAAAGGGGAAGAAAATAAATTAAAAATATATATTTAAGGTCTACAACGCAATGTTTTGAAATACATATATATATATATAGTGAAATGACAAACCAACTCTCAAAGTTGACTTCAAACTTCATGCCCCAGTGCTTCCATGAAAGTTCCCCTGCTATCTAGTCTGATGTTTACCTAACCCTTCTCTGAACCCATTTCCTTTTTTAAAATTAGTAGTTTTGCACTGTATACTGTAACATTTTATTTGGCTCTGATTGTTTTATGAGTATACCATCTCTTTTATCAGAAGTTTACTTTTTTTGCATCTTGTTATGACCTAACACAGTTCTTGGCTTACCAAACATATTCCGATAAATACATGTTTATTACTTAAATTGGTCAAAAATCTATATTACATAAAATTTATTGAAAGCTATGCACATTTAATTTATTCAAAAATACACAGCTAAGTAAACACGAAAAATGGTCAAGTAGCGTCTGCTGTAGTACACAAGGTTTTTTCACTATTGAGACAGCTTTCATAGGCAAATGACATTAAATTGCCTCAAAAAATGTATTTGTGTCAGGAGAATATATTACCTGTTGCCATTAGAAACACTAAATGAGTGGACACCACATCACTAAAGATTTAGTGATTACTTAGGTTAAAATTAAAATATTAACTGACATCTTACCTCACACAGGTATTTAAATTTGCTTGCAAACCCCCATCTCCAAATTCCCTCTTCCCTCAAACTACAGTATTACTCAGATTCACACATAAGCAGATTTAGTATCATAATACAATAATATTTGCACAGAGGCATGGTTGCGCTAGCTGTTTTCTTACAGATGCAAAACAAACAATTTGAAGCAAAATTATTTCATAGGCAAAATAAAACATGTCTTTTGTCTTTCCTAGAATTCTTCATACAGTCCAAATGTAAACTTTTGTAATGAGCTCTCGCACAGTAGTGCCTACTCTCTTGAAGTCCTTTTGAAACCTGTGGAGCTCAATCTCTTCGAATTTGGCCATAAAAATTCTGTTTTGCTATGCACTAGAACAAGTCAATTGTTGTTCCCAGGCTTGCTTTCTCTAGGATATCTCTTGGTGGATATAAAAAAACTGATCAAATATTTGGCTTATAAATAATATTTGGAAACACTGCATGACACAGTGTCAGTTGGTTTGTATTTGTGATGAAAAGAAATGAAAGAGAATCTCAGACAAACTTTCCTTCATCAGAGATCCAACATTTCTTTCTGTTTACAACATTTTATTCTGCACCTTATCCAACTGTTTTATTTTCACTATATCAGCATCATTTTCTCACTGAAGGACTCGCATACCAGATAATGTGATTTAGTTAAAAATGGAGTCTGAATCAATTCAACAAGAAGATGTAACAACCCTAAATATATATTAACCTAACTCCAGAGCTCTCAGATTCATAAAGCAACAACTACTATACCTAGGAAAAGAGAAAGATAGCAACACGATAATAGTGGGGGACATCAACACTAGACAGCACTAGACAGATTACTGAGGCAGAAAGCTAACAAAGAAACCCAAGACTTAAACTTTACTCTAGAACAAGTGTACCTAACAGATATTTACAGTACATTCCAACCAAAAACTGCAGAATATACATTTTTTTAATCACATGAAACATTCTACAAGATAGACCATATGATATGTCACAAAGCAAGTCTCAATAAATTTAAAAAATCAAAATCATATCAAGTATCTTCTCAGAACACAGTAGAATAAAACTAGAAATCCATTCCAAAATAAACCCTCAAGCCTATACAATTACATGAAAATTAAACAATCTGAATATGACTGACTTTTGGGTTAAAAATGAAATCAAGATAGAAATTTAAAAATTTTTCAAAATGAATAATAACAGTGACAAGTTATCAAAACCTCTGTGATACAGCAAAAGCTGAATTCTACCATAATTTCAATGAAGAACTGGTACCAAGTCTACTGAAACTATTCCAAAAGATTGAGAAGGCAGGAATCCTCCTTAACTCATTCTATAAAGCCAGTATCACTGTAATACCAAAGGCAAGAAAGGACATAACAAAAAAGAAAACTACAGACCAATATCCCTGATGACTACAGGTGCAAAAATCCTCAACAAAATACCAGCAAACCGAATCCAACAGCACATCAAAAATAATAATAATAATTCACTATGATCAAGTGGGTTTCATTCCAGGGATGCAGGGATGGTTCAACATATGTGAGTTAATAAATGTGATTCATCACAGAAACAGAATTAGAAACAAAAATCATATTATTATCTCAATAGATGCAGACAAATAATTAGATAAAATCCAGCATCGCTTTATGATAAAAACCGTCAACAAACTGGGCATTGAAGAAACATACCTCAAAATAATAAAAGCCTTATATGACAAAACTTCAGTTGACATTATACTGAAGCAGGAAAAGTTAAAAGCATTCCCCTGAAGAACTGGAACAAGACAAGGATCCCCACCTTCACCATTTCACTTCAACATAGTACTGGAAGACCTAACCAGAGCAATCAGGAAAGAAAAAGAAATAAGGGGCATCCAAATTGGAAAAGAGGATGTCACACTATCTCTGTTTGCCAGTGGTATAATCTTATACCTAGAAAACCCGAAAGACTCCTCCAAAAGACTCCTAGATCAGATAAATGAATTCAGTAAAGTCTCAGGTTACAAAATCAATGTACACAAATAAGTAGCATTTCTATGCACCAACAATCAAGCTGAGAATTAAATGAGGAACTCAATCCCTTTTATATTTGCTACAATAAACAAATAAAATACCTAGGAATATATTTAACCAAGGAGGTAAAAGTACTCTACAAGGAGAACTACAAAACACTGCTGAAAGAAATCATAGATGACACAAACAAATGGAAACATATCCTATGGTCATGGATTAGAAGAATTAATATCATTAACATGACCGTACTGCCCAAAGCAATCTAAAGATTCAATGCAGTTCTTGCCAAAATAACAACATAATTTTTCACAGAATTAGAAAAAAAAAATCCAAAAAATCATATGGAACAATAAAAGAGCCTGAAGAGCCAAAGCAATCCCAAGCAAAAAGAATAAATCTGGAGGTATCACATTACCTGACTTCAAATTATACTCCAAGATTGTAGTAACCTAAACAGGGTGGTACTCACATAAAAGTAGATACATAGACCAACAGAACAGCTATTCTATTAGAACTCAGAAATAAAAACCAATACTTACAACCAACCGATCTTTGATAAAACATGCAAAAACACAAATTGGGGAAAGGTTCACTTCAGTAAGTGGTTCTGTGATAACTGGCTTGCCAAATGCAGAAGAATGAAACTGGATTCCTGTATCTCACCATATACAAAAACTAACTCAAGATGGATTAAAGACTTAAATCTTAGACCTGAAGTCATAAAAATTCTAGAAGAAAACCTAGGAAAAAAACTATTCTGGACATTGGTGAAGACAAAGAATTTATGATTAAGTCTCCAAAAGCAAATGTAACAAAAACAATAGTAAATGAGACCTAATTGAACTTAAAGCCTTCTGCACATCAAGAGAAATAATCATGAGTAAATAGATAACCTACTATATGGGAAAATAAATTTGCAAATTATGTATTGGACAAAAGACATATTTCTAGATTCTACAGGGCACTCAAACAAATCAGCACGAAAAAATATCAAATTATCTCATTAACACGTGGGCAAAGGACATGAATAGTCATTTCTCAAAAGAAGATATGCAAATGGCCAAGAAACATGAAAAAATGCTCATTGTCACTTATCATAAGGGAAATGCACATTAAAACCACATGAGATACCACCTTACCCCTGCCAGAATGGCCGTTATGAAATTCAAAAAACAATAGATATTGGCAAGGATGTCATTAAAAGGAACACTTATATACTTCTAGTGAGAATGTAAATTATTACCCTTTCTATGGAAAACATTATAGAAATTTCTTAAAGAACTAAAACTACATCTACCATTTGATTCAGCAATCCCACTACTGGGTATCTACCCAAAGGTAGGGGAAAAGTCACTATATCAAAAGCATACCTGTATGCATATGTTTATCACAGCACAATTCACAATTGGAAAGATAGGGAATCAACCTAAGTGCCCATCAACGAATGAATGGATAAAGAAAATGTGGTATAGCGAGTAATACTACTCAGCCATAAAAAGAACAAAATAATGTCTTTTGCAGCAACTTGGATGAAACTGGAGGTCATTATTCTAAGTGAGGTAACTCAAGAACTGAAAATCAAATACTGCATGTTCTCACTTATAAGTGGGAACTAACCTATGGATATACAGGGTTATGCAAAGCAGGATAATGGACACTGGAGACTCAAAAGCAAGGAGGGTAAGAGAGAAAAAGGGATGAAAAACTGCCTATTGGGTACAATGTACACTACTAGGGTGGCAGTTGCACTAAAATTTCAGACTTCATCACTATATAATTCATCCTTGTAACCAAAAACCACTTGTACCTCTACAGCTATTGAATAAAAATAATAAATAAAATAAGATAAAATAAATTAAAAATGGAGCCTGAAAGCAAAGTCCAGCAACAAAAACAGGGGAGTCACGTTGGTACCACCAAATCTAAAACTGCTAGTTTTAGACGTTTTACTCAATGAAAAGTTATCTAGAGAGTAAATCTTGAAACTATTGACCCACAAAAATAGTGGGGCTGATTTTCTGAAGGGGTTGAGTACAGTTGTCTACTTTTTTTTTTTTTTTAGCTCCTTTAAAATTCATTCTCTGTTGGTTAAATAGAAAGGACATTTTTAGGACATTAAATGAAATTCTTTAAAACTTTGTGTTTTCCAATATTATTTCATATTGCCTCTATTTCCAAAACTTGCACATCTATTTTGTTTATTTTTACATTACAAATTATGATATTAATATTTGGTATCATATCTTGTGATTACTGCAAGTTCATTCTTATTGCTTTCAAGAACACAGGATTTATATAAAAATAATAATGAAATAATAATGCCATTTTAGGTAGTATCATAGCGTAATTAAAAATTAAATAAATAATTTGGCGTCTAGAGTGTCTACTACATATTGTGAAGTTAAATGCTTAAGGTTTGGAATTTTCTTAAACAGAAAAAGAGGTTTTAAGCTCAAAATGGAAGCTCTTTTCAAATTCTTCTCCTGTATGGTATAACATATTGCCAAGAGGTGAAATATTTGCTAATCAGAAAGGTGAGTCAGGTGAGGTATTTCAAGTATAATTATCTAAGTCATGTTATGGCTAACCATCAGCATCAACAAAAGAGTTAAGTAAATTCAGATTTTATGTAATTGTGTGTTGCAGATTTGCTCTCACTTTCAGCCATTTCCACCTTCCCTTAAACTCTGGTTCAGCTCCTTCTCACCTCACAGCAATAAAGTAAAAGAGACAATGCAATTAGGGAATTATCTGTATAACAACGGGCCGCTTAAAAAATACCCATGGAGATGTACAGGATAGGATGAAAAGCTACTGTACTTGTCACTTTATTTCTTTCAAATCCTGAAACTCTTAGTGTGTGTGTTTGGGCGGAGAGAGTGTAATGCAAGTGAACAGTGGAGATTAAGACAGGAGGGAGTAAGACCTGGACATGATACAAGGATGATGATAATACTTTGCTGCTGGTTTTGTAAACATATTTTCATAGTAAAATATGCCCTCTCAGGAAGCATTGACAGATGGAGTAAAGTAAAACAATCCACTATACCTGAAAACCCTGCATAGTGCCAGCTGGACCCATTTAGAAGCTGTGAAGAAATGTCAGTCATTATTAAGGGTAGTCCTCTGAGATCAGAAAGCAGGAGATTGGTTTGCAAGTGCCTCCCCTGCAGGGAGTCCGGTAATACACTCCAAGCTGAACCTGTGACCATCACTCATTAACTCTGGTGCTAGTGGATCATTTTGTGTAACAACATTCCAACTAATACTGATGATCCATTGATTATATTTCATGAACCTACTCAATTCATTTGGAAATAAAAGGGAAGGATGTTTGCTTGAGGCATTATATAATACTTCTCTCCTGAGGATTAATGTGTTAGTATTTGTAATGCACACTGAAGATGAAAATTGCTATATAAATAATAGCTATTATCCTGTGGTACATATAGCAGCAGCTACTCCATTAGGAAAGGGGTGGGGGGAAGACAGCAATATATGACCAGGATAAAAAGTCAGATCAGAGTGAGACACCAGCTATATACCCAGCCCACCACCCACTGAGGTGAGAGGTTGACTTAAAATGTGACAAAGTTCAGTAAACCATATCCAAAGAGAGGGAAGACTTCATGGTTAGCAAAAGGCAAGATGTCTGTGCAGCCCCACTATGTTTGCAAGGTTGCAAGTAGTTCAATGTTTCAATCTGAGCCTGGCCCCCAGCCAGAAGATTAGCATAGGTGTGCTTTGCTCAGTTCCTGCTGCTAACACTATGCTGTGGGTGTGGGAAAGGCCCTGGCCATTGTCACTCCCTTCCCCATGTCTCTGGAATAAACTCTGCTGCCACTAAGTGAAGTTACAAATGATAAAACTAAATTCAAATTAAAGTGGCAGTTCAATTGTAATTAAAGTGCAAATTGAATTGGAAGCTTAGATGGAAATCCAGTGTGTCATCCAAAAAGGCACACTGACTTGCCTCTCATTTCATGAGTGAACCACCAGAAGGCTCACAGAGCAGCTTTGTGTTTAAAAAGCTTCTCAATGCGAAGTAGCACTTAAGGCCTGAAGCCCCAAATCTCAGGGAAGCTATAGACAGGGATACATTTCTAAAGCAGTTATACCCAGAGTTTTTGATTTCACACAATCTTAGAATGTTAGTTTATATTCATCATCTATTATTACAATCACTTCAAAACTTAAAACACATTTAAAAATCTAAGAAGTAGGGAAAAGTTAGACAGAATAAATGAACTGTTACAAGAAAGGACATGTAGCAAACTTACAGCCACATGTATACATTTTATGTATATTTGGCAAGTTATCTAACTTAATCTCTTCAGGTTTATCTCTATAAGGAGAAAAGAGACAGTGCCATGTGTTATGAAGAGTAACTAAATTAATATATAAAGTTCTTAGAACAGAACCTGGCACCCTATATTCAAGACATAAGAGTTGACTATCTTTCTCTCTCTCTGTATAAGTTCCTTATTAACTTTTTAAAGTTATAACCATAGACTGGTGATAATCTTACTTTGAACCAGCACTAATTCACACACCTGTATTTGGAAACACTGTCCTAGAACAAAATCCACAGTGGCCTATGATACGACAGTTCTATTAGGAAACTGGACTAGTTTGTAATAATTAAAAACCCTCAAAGAAGAAGAAAATACTTCATCCTAATTGGTCTTGATTAAAATGTTTATCAACATATATAAAAGTCTTCAGCATCATATCCCAAATATTTCTATTATTTAGATAAAGATATGCAGGCATATCTTGAAAATATTGCAGATTCGGTTCTAGACCACCACAATTAAGTGAATATTTCAAGAAAGCAAATCAGACACATTTTTCCCAGTGTATATAAAAGTTATGTTTATACCATACTGTAGTCCATTAAATGTATAATAGCATTATGTTTAAAACTGCATACCTTAATTTAAAAATAACTTTATTTACTTTATTGCTAAAAATTGCTAATAATTATCCGAGCTTTCAATGAGTCCTAATCTTTTTGCTGGTGAAAGTTTCTGCCTTCATGTTAATGGCTGCTGACTGATCAGTGTGGTGGTTGCTGAAGGTTGAGGAGGCTGTGGCGATTTGTAAAAATAAGGCAATGCCTCCACCACTATGGTGTGTGCCCACAAGGTGGCAGGAACCCCAGCACCTGCTAGCACTCTGCCACAGCTGCTGCACTTTGGTGCCCACAGTGTAGTGGATTCTAAACCTTGAGGAGCCAGAGAAAAATGTTGGAGCCCAATACAAGTCCCCAAGAGTTAGAGGACGCAGTCCAGGAGTTGGGAGCTGAGTGTTGGCCTGCTAAAATCTCCCAAAAACAAAGCCAGTCAGCTGAATTGATCTTATACCAAAATCACATCCCCAAGGTCATCAAATAGGATAAAAGAAAACCAGAAAACCCATCCAAAGGTCAGGAGCCTCAAAATTGTAGGTAGATAAACCCACAAACATGAAAAATTATCAGTGCAAGAATGCTGAAAACTCAAAAAGTGAGAGTGCCTTCCTTCCTCCAAATGACAGTATCATCTTTCCAGCAAGGGCTCTGAACTGGGATGAGATGCTGAAATGACAGAAACAGAATTCAGAATATGGATAGAAATGAAGATAATGAGCTATGGGAGTATGCTGAAACCCAAGGCAAGGAAGTTAAAATCATGATGACACAATGAAGGAGCTGATAGACAAAATAGAAAATACAGAAAAGAACATAATTGACCCACTACACCAATTTTATAATGCAATCACAAATATTAATAGCAGAATAGACCAAGCAGAAGAAAGAATCTCAGAGCTCAGACTGGCTTTGTGAAATAAGACAGAGAGAAAACAAGAGAAAAAAAAAGAATAAAAAGGGATGAACAAAATCTCTAAGAAATATGGGATTATGTAAAGAGAGACTGAATCTAAAACTCATTAGTGTCCCTGAAACAGATGAGGAGAATAGAATAAACTTTGAAAACATATTTCCAGATATCATCCATGAGAACTTCCCCAACCTAGCTAGAGAGGCTAACATTCAAATTCAAGAAATGAAGAGAACCTAAGTAAGATACTTCACAGAAAGATCATCCCAAAGTCATATAATCATCAGATTCTTCAAGGTAGAAATGAAAGAAAAAATGATAAAGGTAGCTAGAGAGAAAGGTCAAGTCATCTACAAAGAGAAGCTCATCAGACTGATAGTGGACCTATCAGCTGAGACCATACAAACCAGAAGAGAGTGGGAACCAATATCTAACATTCTTAAAAAAAAAAAAAAGAAATTCCGACCCAAAAGTTTATATTCAGCCAAAATAAACTTCATAAGTGAAGGAGAAATAAGATCCTTTTCAGACAAGCAAATGCTGAGGGAAACTGTTACCACCAGACCTGCCTCCCAAGAGCTCCTGAAAGAAGCACTAAATATGGGGGGAAAAATGACCATTACCAGCAACTACTATAAAGACACACTGAAGTACACAGATCAGTGACACTTTAAAGCAACCACATAAATAGTTCTGCAAAATAACCAGTGTATTAGTTCCTTTTCACACTGCTGACAAAGACAGACCCAAGACTGGGAAGAAAAAGAGATTTAATTGGACTTACAGTTCTACAAGGCTGGGGAGGCTTCAGAATCAAGGCAGGAGGCAAAAGGCACTTTTTACATGGCAGCAGCCAGAGAAAATTAGGAAGAAGCAAAAGCGGAAACCCCTGATAAACCCATCAGATCTCTTGAGACTTATTCACTATCAGGAGAAAAATTCCACAGTCCAAAGTCTCATCTGACACAAGACAAGTCTCACATCCTGAATTGAGGTTTGGGAACCTCCACTTAGATTTTAGAAGATGTATGGAAACTCCTGGATGCCCAGGTAAAAGTTCGCTGCAGGGGTAGGGCCCTCACGGAGAACCTCCGCTAAGGCAGTGCAGAAGGGAAATGTGGGGTTGGAGCCCCCACACAGAGTCCCTACTGGGGCACTGCCTAGTGGAGCTGTGAGAAGAGCGCCACCATCCTCTAGACCCCAGAATTGTAGATCCACCAGGAACAGAACGATGCACAGCTGAATTGTACCAGGTGTATGAAGAAGACCTGGTACCCTTCCTACAGAAACTATTTCAAAAAATTAAAGTGGAGGGAGTCCTCCCTAACTCATTCTATGAGGCCACCATCATCCTGATACCAAAACCTGGCAAAGATAAAACAAAAAAGAAAACTTCAGGCCAATATCTTTAATGAATACTGATGCAAAAATTGTCAGCAAAATACTGGTAAACCAAATTGAGCAACATATCAAAAAGACTACATACCATGATCATATAGGCTTTATTCCTGGAATATGAGGTTGGTTCAACATATGCAAATCAGTAAGTGTGATTCATCACATAAACAGAACTAAAGACAAAACCACATATTATCTCAGTGATGCAGAAAATGCTATCAATAGAATTTGACACACATTTATGTTAAAAACTATCAATAAACTAGGTATTGAAGGAACATACCTCAAAATAATAAGAACCATCTATGACACACCCATAGCCAATATAATACTGAATAGACAAAAGCTGGAGGCATTTCCCTTGAAAGCTGGGAAAAGACAAGGATCCCCACTCTCACCAATCGTATTCAACATAGTGTTGCAAGTTCTGGCCAGTGCAATTATGCAAGAGAAAGAAATAAAGGCATCCAAATAGTGAGAGAGGAAGGCAAGCTATCCCTGTTTGCAGATGACATAATCCTGTATCTAGAAAACCTCATCGTCTCAGCCCAAAAGCTTCTTAAGCCTATAAAAAACCTCAGCAAAGTCTCAGGATATAAAATCAATGTGCAAAAATCACTAGCGTTCCTATACATCAAAAACAGTCAAGCCACAAGCCAAATCAGGTACAAACTCCCATTCACAGTTGCCACAAAAAGAATAAAGTACCTAGGAATTCAGCTAATTGAGGTGAAAAGTGTCTACAAGGAGAACTAAAAAGAATGCTAAAAAAAATCAGAGTTGACACAAATGGAAAAACATTTCGTTTTCATGGATAGGAAGAATCAATATTGTAAAAATGACCATACTGTACAAAGCAATTTATAGATTCAATGCTATTTCTATTACACTACCATTGAGATGCTTCACAGAATTAGAACAAACTATTTTAAAATTAAATGAAACCAAAAAGAGCCCAAATAGGCGAGGCTATCTTAAGCTAGAAGAACAAACCTGGAGGCATCATGCTACTCAACTTCAAACTGTACTACATGGCTACAGTAATCAAAACAGCATGCTGCTGGTACAAAGACACATAAATCAATGGAACAGAATAGAGAACCGAGAAATAATGCTGCACACCTACATCCCTCAGATCTTCAACAAAGTTGACAAAAACTAGCAATGGGGAAAGGATTCTCTATTCAATAGATGGTGCTGGGATTACCAGTTCGCTATATGCAGAAGATTGAAACCAGAACCCCTTCCTTATACCATATACAAAAATTAACTCAAGATAGATTAAAGACTTAAGTGTAAAACTCACAAATATAAAACCCTGGAAGATAACCTAGGCAATATCATTCCGGATATAGGAACAAAGATTTCATGACAAAGATGCCAAAAGTAATTGCAACAAAAGCAAAAATTGACAAATGGAATCTAATTAAACTAAAGAGCTCTACACAGCAAAGGAAACTATCAACAAAGTAAACAGAAAACCTACAGAATAGGAGAAAAATTTTGCACACTATGTATCCAGCAAAGGTTTAATACTCAGCATCTATAAGGAACTTAACAAAATTTACAAGGAAAAAAAGCCCATAAAAAAGTAGGCAAAGGACACAAACAGACACTTTTCAAAAGAAAACATACATTCGGCCAACAAATCATATGAAAAAATGCTTAACATCACTGATCATTAGAGAAATGCAAATCAAAGCCACAATGAGATACCATCTCACATCAGTCAGAATGGCTATTATTAAAAAGTCAAAAAAATAACAGATGCTGGCAAGGTTTCAGAGAAAAATGTACACATACCCTGTTAGTGGGAGTGTAAATTAGTTCAACCATTGTGGAAGACAGTGTGGCAATTCCTCAAAGACCTAAAAACAGAAATACCATTCAACCCAGCAAATATAATTACTGAGTATATACCAAAAGGAATATAAATCAATCTATTATAAAGACACGTGTATGTGTATGTTCATTGCAACACTGTTCACCATAGCAAAGACAAGGAATCCACCAAAAAGCCCATCAATGACAGACTGAATAAAGAAAATGTGGTTTATATACACTATGAAATACTATGTAGCCATCAAAATAAATGAGACTATGTCCTTTGCAGGGACACAGATGGAGCTGTTGGCCATTATCCTTAACAAATTAACACATGCACAGAGAGCCAAATACTGCATGTTCTCGCTTATATGTGGAAGCTAAATGATGAGAACACATGGCCTATTGAAGTATGGAGGATGGGAGAAGAGAGATCAGGAAGAATAACTAATAACTAGGCTTAATACCTAGGTGATGAAATAATCTGTACAACAAACCCCTGTGACACAAGGTTACCTATATAACAAACCTGCACATGCATCACTGGACTTAAATTAAATATTAAAAAAGTAAGGCAACAATGACGTTATCCACATCAATTGACTGTTTCTTTTATGAAAGATTTCTCTGTAGCATGTCATACTGTTTGACAACATTATATTCACAGTAGAATTTCTTTCAAAATTGGAATCAGTCCTCTCAAACTATGCCACTGCTGTATCAACTATGTTAGGTCATATTCTAAATCCTTTGTTATTGTTTTAACAAACTTCACCAGTAGAATATTCCATCTCAAAAAAGAACTTTCTTTGTTTATCCATAAGAAGGAACTTCTCGTTCATTCAAGTTGCATCATGAGATTGCAGCAATTCAGTCACATATTCAGATTCCTCTCAAAGTCATCCATAAGGATTGGAAAAAAATTTTTTCCAAACTTTTATTAATGTTGATATTTTGACATCCTCCCCTGAATCATGAGTGTTCTTAATGGCATCTAGAATGGTGAATCCTTTCTGGAAGGTTTTCAATGTACTTTGCCCAGATCCAGCGGAAGAATCACTATCTATGGCAGCTATAGCCTTATGAAATGTATTTCTTTTTTTTTTTTTTTTTTTTTTTTTTGAGACGGAGTCTCGCTCTGTCGCCCAGGCCGGACTGCGGACTGCAGTGGCGCAATCTCGGCTCACTGCAAGCTCCGCTTCCCGGGTTCACGCCATTCTCCTGCCTCAGCCTCCCGAGTAGCTGGGACTACAGGCGCCCGCCACCGCGCCCGGCTAATTTTTTGTATTTTTAGTAGAGACGGGGTTTCACCTTGTTAGCCAGGATGGTCTCGATCTCCTGACCTCATGATCCACCCGCCTCGGCCTCCCAAAGTGCTGGGATTACAGGCGTGAGCCACCGCGCCCGGCCCCATGAAATGTATTTCTTAAATAATAAGCCATGAAAGTCAGTATTATTTCTTGATCCTTGGGCTGTAGAATGGAAGTTGTGTTAGTAAGCATGAAAACAACATTAATCTCTTTGTACCTCTCCATCATGGGTCTTGGGCAACCAGGTGCATTGTCAATGAGCAGTAATATTTTTCTTAGCAGTAAGTTTCAACAGTGGGCTTAAAATATTCACCAAACCATGCTGTAAACACATGTAGTATCATCCAGGCTTTATTATCCCATTTATTGAGCACAGGCAGAGTAGATTTAATATAATTCTTAATAACCTTAGGATTTACAGAATGGTAAATGAACATTGGCTTCAATTTAAAGCTACCAGCTGCATTAGTCTCTAACAAGATACCCTGTCCTTTGAAGCCAGGCATTGACTTCTTTCTAGATGGAATCTTCTTCCAATAGAGGCTGTTTTGTCTACATTAAAAATCAGTCATTTAGTGTAGCCACCTTCATCAGTTATCCTGGCTAGATCTTCTAAATAACTTGTAGCTTCTACCTCAGTCCTTGCTGCTTTACCTCATGCTTTTATGTTACTGAGATGGCTTCTTTTCTGAAACCTCATGAACCACCTCTGCTAGCTTCAAACTTTTCTTCTGAAGCTTGTTCACCTCTCTCTGTCTTCATAGAATTGAAGAGCATTAGAGTCTTTCAAAGCATTAGGCTTTGGCTTAAGGTAATATTGTGGCTGGTTTGATCTTCTATCCAGACCAGTTAAACTTCCTTTATATCAGCAGTAAGGCTGTATTGCTTTCATGTCATTTGTGTGTTCACTGGAGTAGCACTCTTAATTTCCTCTACAAACTTTTCCCTTGAATTGATAACTTGGCTTGCTGTTTGGCACAAGAAGCCTAGATTTGTCCTATCTCAGCTTTTGACCTGCCTTCCACACTAAGCCAAATCATTTGCAGATTTTGATTTAAAGCGACAGATGTGTGACTTTTCCTTCACTTGAACACTTAGAGGGCATTGTAGGGTTATTGATTGGCCCCATTTCAGTGTTGTTGTGCCTAAGGGAATAGGGAGGTCCAAGGAAAGAGAGGTGGGGAAATGCCGGTTGGTGGAGCAAATATAACACACACAACATTTATCTATTAAGCTGACCATATTATATGGGCATACTTCATGCCACTCCAAAACAATGACAATAATGACATCAAAGATCACTGATCACAAATCACCATAACAAACACAGTAATAAAAAGAACTTTAAAAGATTGTGAGAATTACCAAAATATGACAGAAATATGAAGTGAGAATGTGCTGTTTAAAAAAAGTGACACTATTAGACTTACTCAACACAGGATTGCCACAAACTTTTAATTTGTAAAAAAAAATGCAATGTCTTTGAAGCACAATAAAGCAGAATAAAACAAGGTATGTCTGCAGATAATACTACTAACACTTATTAAACACAAAGTAGTCATCCTTGTTTCCTCTCTTTTCTTCCTTTCTCACATTCAATCTATTATCAAATTCTGTCAAATATCATTCCAAAACTTAATTCTGATTCTACCTATTTTCTCAATTTACACTGCTACCACCCTAGTTCAAGTCACTGTCTGCTGAACTTTCATCCTAACTGGTCTTGGGGATTCCACTCTTGCTATCTATGATCTATTTTCCACACAGCAATCAGAGTGATCTTTAACAGTAATGTAAACCTTCCAGTAGCTTCCCATTGCATTTGTAACACAATTCATAATCTTACCACACAATAAAAGGCTCTGAACGATCTAGCCCTTGCTTATCTCTCTGACATCTTGTACTGCTCCTTTCCATGTTTATAATATTTCAACAACACTGGTCTTCATTATGTCCCTTGACTACTGCAATCCTGTTCCTCTCTCAGAGACTTTAATTTGCTGCTCTCTCTGCCTCGATCACTATTCTTTCACTTGTTGACATGGGTGGTTCCATCCTCTCATGCATATTTTAGCATAAATAATGTCTCTTTAAATATGTTCCTCATCTTGATCCTCCTTTATCCGTTTTATCTATTTTTTATAGAATTTGCCACTTTCTGAAATTATTTCACTTGCTCATTTGCTTATATCTTTTTTTTTTTTTTTTTGAGATAGAGTCTCACTCTGTCATGCAGGCTGGAGTGCAGCGGCACAATCTCAGCTCACTGCAACCACTGCCTCCCGGATTCAAGCAATTCTCCTTCCTCAGCCTCCCAAGTTGCTGGGATGCACCTGTAGAGACCGAGTTTCACCATGTTGGCCAGGCTGGTCTCGAACTCCTGACCTCAGGTGATCCACCCACCTCGGCCCCACCAAGGGCTGGGATTACAGGCAGGAGCCACCACGCCCGGCCTGCTTATATCTTTATTCTTGCTCTTCTACCTCAGAATTTAAGTTCTGAAATGGTCTTTGTCTGCCTTATTCAATAATGTATACTTACTATCTCTTATATTGAGAACAGTGACTAAAAAATACCAGTCATTCAATAAATGTTTGTCGAAAACAATGAATAAATGATTTTTCTGCTTATCATGTTAAATTCTTTATAAACATTTTGTTTATTTAATAACATGTATGTAATTCACATAGTAACACTATGAAGCAAGTATGTTACTGTCCTCAGTTTACAGTTAAAGAAGCCGAACTTAGACATTTAAGTAATCCTCAAAGGCAATGGAAATAATAAGTATCTATACTGGGACCCAGCTGCTGGATTTAACTAGATCTAACTCTAGAGACCACTTTCTTAATCTCATGCTATACATCTCCTTATGTAACTTGATAAGAAAATCCTTATCAAGTTTTCAGATTTAAAAAATCTTTTAACAAACAAATACATCAAAGGACTGAATTATGATCCCAAAAGTTCACTACCACAGATTGAAATGATGACCCAAAACCAATAAAATTGAACATAATAGGAATACATTTGAAGTTCTGTTCTTAATGTTTAATTAATCAGCTGAGAAAGAATAGATGAGCAGAGCTTTGGCTTGTAAACAGTATTTGTGAAAAAAGACTTGGAGGTTTTATTTGACTTTAGGTTCCATGTGAGCCAACAGGATGCTGTGACTGCCATAAAACAAAACAAAACAAAAGCAAGCTGCTACAAACAGGCTTCATTAATATAAGTCTAGACTATGTACAACCACACAAGATTCTTCATTTGGCAGAGTCTCACAATTAATTATGGAGATCAAATTTGAAACAGGATATACGCAAACTAAACCTTAAACTATGGAAAATGACCAAGAATATGAAGAGTTTGAAATGAATACAAAACAAGTGACAGTTGGAGGGGGTAAATGTGTATAGCTTCGTTCAGAAAAGGAACAGGTTATAAGTGTTATATATCGCTGTTTAGGGACTGATTATTCATTGTTTTTTCATAATGAAAAATCATGGCAAGTGAATAGAAGCTAGATTACAGGTCAATATATGGAGCAATTTTCTAATGCAGAACTTTGTGTTAATAACGGACCCAGTTGATTTACAAACGGTGAGATTCTGTTACTAGAAATCTTCAAACAGAGGTGAAAAAGCACTTGACAGAAATAGATACATTTCTGCATAGGGACTGGAGTTGGACTAGACTGGCAATTCCCAAACCTTAGTCCAGTAACTGGTGCTATGTTGTAAAAACATACAGATGCCTGGGTAACATCTAATAGGTCTGTCAAGGGGACACAGTGATATGTATTTTCTAAAAATATCCACATCATCCCGTTGAACCCTGCAAAGATTCTAAGACAAACAGTTCCCAAGTCCTCAGCATCCTTATCTCTTTGACTGCTAAAATCTCACTCACTCAAACTGCTGGACTGTGATCTGCTTTATAATAAGAAATACATCATTGCTTCTTCTACAATGTCTAACACATAGTAGCTGCTCAATAAGAGTGTGTTAAATATATTACATATTTGTGAATAGATGAATAAAAATTCTTAGGTACATTTGTCTAAAGCAGAGGAGCCTTCCAAATGTCCTTAACAGGAAGCAAATGGAATATCTGCAAAAGCTCAGGCTTGAAAAATACAAAATAGTGCTGAAAAGTTTGTCATCTTTCTACTATTTAAATGTAGCTTTCTCCAAATAGAAGGCAATGTTAGTTAGTTTTTTGTAACAGTATGAAATGAAGTAATGGGAGGTCTATTAGTTTCTGGACGTGCCGCAATGACAACAATAACAAACCCAGAAATTTAGTCTCATATTTCTGGAAACCACAAGTCAGAAATTAGGGTGTCAGTAGGGGTGCAGTCCCTCTAAAGAATCTAGGGGACAAAACTTCCTTGACAATTTTGGCTTCTGCTGGTTCCTGGAATTGCTTGGTTTGTGGTAGCAAACCTCTAGTTTCCTCCTTTTTCATGTGGCTGCCTTCCCTGTGTCTTTGATTAACAAACTTTTCTCTCATTTCTCTTACAAGGACATCAGTCATTGGATTTAGGGCCTACCCTCAATCTAGGATTCTCACCTTGAGATTCTTAATTGCATCCGCAGAGACCCTATTTCCAAATAGGGTCACATTAGCAGCTACAGGGGAGTGATTGATTAGAACTTGGACATATATCTTTGGGGGACACAGTTCAACCCATTATAAAAGGAAACATTTATACAATCTCTAATAATAATGACAGCTAACATTTGGTGAGTGCATACTATGGGTAAGGCACTTTGTGAAGTACTTTGAATGTATCATTCAATTTAATGATCATAAGGACTTGAGTTGGAAACTGTAGCAGCCAGAGATATTTTACTTTTCCAGGGTCACATGGCATTAATTGGTAGAGCTAAGATTCAAAATCTTTCTGGTTTCAGATCTCATGCACTTAACTGCTTTGCTATACTGCTTCTTAATTATTGTTAATACTATAATACTAGAATAGTAATAATAGTTATTGAGAGATATGGACCAGGCTTAGCACATTACATGGATTACTTCACCTAACTTTAATGACAACCTTGTAAGGCAATTACTTTTATGATTTCCATTTATTTCGTAGTCAAGAAAACTGAAGCTCAGAGAGTTTAAATTGCCAAGATTATACATCTAAGTAGTGGATTCAAAATTAGGTGACCTGACTCTAGAGCTGGTGTGCTTAATGACTATGTGATATTCACTAGATCTAAGATTGAAACTCATTTATTCATCATTCATCAATCTCTTCCATAGTATCTAATGTATATCATGTGCTCAGTGAAACATAATGAATGAATGAACTACATTAGTAATATTGTAATTGTTACATTTTTTCTGGAGCCTCAGTCTGTTTCTCTGTTCTAACTTCTCAGTGTGTTGATTTCTGTCTGACACTATCTCCTCCTTCATGCCTATATGTCCGTATTGACAAGTATGCCATTCCTCAAGCACTTCTGTAATGCAACCAGATGGATCTGTGGAAGGGTTTGTTTTTTTTTTAAAAGAGATTTGTCTACAGGAAGACATGCTTTAAACAACCATTGTCTCCAAACCTATCCAATTCAAATCATAGGTTAATCAAACTATTTCTGCGAACAAACTGGAAGCCACACCAAGTATACTGAGAATATTCTACCAAGATAGTCCATATGCCAAATAAACTGGATGTCAGCATCTTCACTACTATGCTCATGTTTCAACAGCCAAGTCAATAATTAAAAAAAAATCCTGCAATTAATGCCTAAGGAAGGAATTAAAGTAACATGCTGTCTAACCAGCCTTGTTTCACCTTATCTCTTTGAAACTAATAATGTAAAGGTCTTACTCTAAATACAGATATCATTCTTAAATATATTAATAAGAAATTAGAGGTCAAATTTAAACTTGCAACAATATCTTCAGTCCCAAATGTAGACTCTGTAAATATCAGCAGCAGTGCCAGGCCTATTGCACAACTCCAGGGGGTCAATATTTACATTACAGTCTGTGTGAATGGCATCTCCTGGAGTTGTAAAGTGCATAACGTGCTGGACAGTATTTGGAGATTCTGGTCAGCAGAACTGATTTAGAGTAACAAAGAACCAATGCAAAAAATTGGTTGATTACAAAGAGTGCTGATCCACACCAGTGATATTTCAAGTTTTAGCAAAGTCAAAGAGCCTGCTACACTTGCAGCTTGTTAAACTCGAGTATTAGTCTGAGCTGGCTTTGATGAGCTGAGGGAATTCTAGTGAAGGGCAAAGCTAAAAAAAAATGGAGTTTTATCTGAACCTTTTCTCAACTTTTCAAACCTTCAGGTGCTAGATACCTCATGAAAACTAGCTTTCTTATGAGATTTTGTTGTAATTTCCATTAAAGATTGTTAAGAAGGGGAAAATATATCTTAAGAGATTAACTGAAAGCACTCCAGTACTTCTAGTAACAGCAAGAAATCTAGCCATGCATAAAGACCCAGGAGATAAAAGGCAGCTCTACAAACAAGGAAATGCCCATGCTGGCCATGGACTTATAGTGACCGGGCACTTATAACCTCTCTCTTTGTTGCCACTTGGGGACAACTGCTGGATAATGTCACCTGATCTGAGTTATTTCACTCTTCTCCCTCCTTTTCCAATTTTCTGTTATATTTGACTATTGTTTCTGTGTGGGAACTCTTTTCCAATGGCTGACTAGCATTTAGTTTGTATCTGAGAATACCTTTGGCTTGGTTTTGGTTTGAATATGCAGTCTGCCATAAATGCTAAAAGTGAAAAACAGATTTTTTTAAAATGCTACAATTTATGCAATGCTTACTGTGTGCCAGAATGGTTAATCATTGTCTCAGTGCTGGAAATCAAATCCAGTACTGCTTGACACCAGAGCCCATGAAATTACTACACTACATCTTTTTTTTTTTTTTTTCTTTCTGTGATGGAGTCTCTCTCTGTCACCCGGACTGGAGTGCAGTGGTGCAATCTCGGCTCACCGCAAGCTCCGCCTCCTGGGTTCACGCCATTCTCCTGCCTCAGCCTCCCCAGTAGCTGGGACTACAGGCGCCTGCCACCACGCCTGGCTAAATTTTTGTATTTTTAGTAGAGATGGGGTTTCACCTTGTTAGCCAGGATGGACTACATCTTTTTATAAATACACTTAAATGTTTTTAGGCCCATTAACATACCCTTGTTTACAATGGATATGTCCTATTAAAATACATATCCCAATTTCCTCCCCTTTCCCATCTTCCTCAATTTATTTCACTTTTGTAATTAAAGAGGATACAGAACCATGACAAAAAGCTCATGAGTTTTTAGATATACATTCCCATGAAATAACAAAATAGAAAGGAGAAATCAGAGGTGTCAAATTGCTCTTAAGTCTGTCACAATGTTTTTATTAATTCCTACTTCCAAAACCATAATTTCTGTATACATATTTATGGTGTGAAAAAACTGAGAGGTTTATTTTTATTTTCATGAGTTTAATATCATCTTTAATCCTCATTGCAAAAAGAAAATTTACTAAAGTTTTTGTAATGAAGTAAGAACCAGAGAGTCATTCTTATTTTTATTTTACAGAATGGGAAACAAAGATCCAGCAAGGCAAAATTCTCTCATCCTTAAGAGTAATCATGAAATCAAAGAGCCATTTGGGCTGAAAATGACTTTTAAAAGATTTACGCCTCCTGAATAGACTTTTAAACTTTCCATAGATTTTCGGCATCCAACTTTATTCTAAGATTTTCATAATGTGGGCTATGGAAACTACAGAAAACATTACAGTTGCATATGATTCTAAAATGTAAATAACAGGCAGCTTCAGCCCCCCTAAATCTCAGCATTACCAACGTTTGATTAAAATTACATTAAGACATTTGGAATAGATGAGACATTGTGTTTCCCTAGTTTTCTAGAGGCTTGAGAGTTGTGTGCAAGAGATTACATCTTTCCTAACCTATTTCCTCCTAGCTGTGTACCACCCATTCCTTTCCAAATTCCTATGTTTCCTGATATTAACAATGTGACAGAGATCCAGGAGTACTAATTCTTGGTTGGACATAGATGAGCTCTTGGAAATTCCTGACTTATAGCCAGAGAGTAGGCACATTAATATTTTATGCCTTTCTCAGGTAGAAACTTGTGGACAATAATAACAGATATAATTTGATTGATTCATGTCAGCTATATATCAATCTTTTTATAATTATGCCTATTCCTTACAACAATCCTATAAACTAGGTAGTAAGAGCTCCATTTAGCAGAAGAGAAAACTGTATAGGAGATAATGTAAGAGTTATAAATTGAATTAAGGTCCCATTGATTTGGATTAAGGTCTAGATTTTATGATCTTCAAATGTCTAAATTAAATTTGATCTACTACTTTTTAGATCTACTCCTTTTTGTCCTGTCCTCAGAGGGCAGAGAATGCAAGGTTTCTGATTGTCAAACTAATTTTTTGTCTTTTAATCTATATTATTTTTTTCTTAACTAAAACAATACCAACAAAAAAGAAATACAAACAGAGCTTTTCTGTATCAAAGAAATTCCCAAGTGTTGTTTTCTGGATTGAATTCAATATTGAGGCAAAGGTGCAAGTGAGTTCATATGCCAGCCACTTTAAAATGATCTTCCATTTCCCTCTTGTTATATGCATTTTGATCTCCTTTTTCCTTTAGAGAAGAAATGTAAACAGAGAAGGCTTATGTAGCATCACAGAAAAGACTCGAAAATCTGATACTTTTCTCTCCATTCTCTTCTTGTCATGAATAATCAAAAAAGCAAAATAGTTTATGGGCATCCTGCTCTCCAATTCTCCATACTTAGATCAGATGAAAACATTTTTCCTCATTAAGAAGGAGTTGCCAAATATATTCCTTTCTTCTGCTAGAAGTATAACTAAACACACTAAAGTTGTTTGGTGGTCAGATTTTCCCCACATACTGCTAAGTTGCCCTATCCTGAAGCTCAGCTATTTCTAATGTTCCCGCAATTTCTTTGTGGAAAGATCTACCTGGCCCTTCATTGCCTCTCCTCCCTTCCCTCTCCTCTCCTCCTCCCTTCCCTCTCCTCTCCTCCTCCCTTCCCTCTCCTCTCCTCCTCCCTTGTTCTTGCTTCCCTTCCCCACTTACTCTTCTTTTCCTCCCTCTCCCCTACCCTCTCTTCTCCTCCTCTCTCCTCTCCTCCCTGCGCCCCTTTCTAGTCTCAGGTGGAAACATGTGGAAATGTCTCTCTCATCCTATATTTCTCTTTGATATGGTTCAGCTGTGTCCCCACCCATATCTCATCTTGGATTGTAATCCCCATAATCCCCACATGTCAAGGGTGGGACCTGGTGGGAGGTGATTGATTCAAGCATGGGGGTGGTTTCCCCCATGCTGTTCTTGTGATAGAGAGTGAGGTCTCAGGATATCCAATGGTTTTATAAGGGGCTCTTCCCCCTTCTCTCATTCACTCTTTCTCTTGCCTGCTGCCATGTAAGACGTGCCATTGCTTTTCTCTCACCTTCTGCCATGATTGTACATTTCCTGAGGCCTCCCCAGCCATGGGAACTGTAAGTCAATTAAACCTCTTTTATTTATAAATTACCCAGTCTTGGGTATGTCTTTATACTAGTGTGAAAATAGATTAATACACTCTCCTATCTCTCTCATACCATCAATTCAATTGCAAAGGCCTTTAATCAAAGTGTGCATGGAAGGCAAGGAGATTCTGATGCTTTATAGCATCTAACCTTCAACTGGAATTTTTGCTTGGAATTCTATATCACTGGGCCCTGTTGACATTCACCCTTGCTTTGCCCTTAGGATATATGACATACATTCATGAATTTTAAGGAGAGTTTTCTCTCTTGATCCCTCAACCAGGAAAACATCTTGCTATATGAAACTGTAACCATTTCTTTGCCTGGAAATATTATATTGTCAAAGACCTACTGTATGTCCTGCAAAATATGAGTAACTGGCAGTACCATTAGTCTCACAGAAGGAATAATAATTTAAAAAGTTATTCATTCTAATACTGGCAGAAATCTTGGAGGAAATAATTTACCTTTCCAGTTATTTCATTTATTTATTTTTAATAACACAATTCTATGAATGTCTTATGTTTTAATTTTTTAAGTTTTCCCTAATATTATATTCTAAAAAATTCCATGTGTCCTTATACCTGGAGACAGGTTGATAACTTGAAAATTTTGCTTCATACTCTCCCTTTGGGGGCACAACTGGATTTTTGAAGAAGTTGGCTTCCCTTTTCAACACAATTTGGCTGCTCATTAATAAGTGTATTATGCTACTCCCCAGAGGCTTCCCTCTGATGATAACAAGAAAGGCATTACCTGACAGGCACATGAGGAACAAGATGTACTCCTCGTTTCTTAGAAACACCGATGGCAAAAATGTGAGAATGGGAACTGCAGGAAAGAGATGCATATGTGAAAAATAATGACAGAGGCTTAAGGACTGATAGCAAGGTGAAAGAGATTCCTGTAAACATGCAAATCCCTAGAAGAGTAAGGACTGAGCTCCACATATAAGATTGTAGCAAGAATTCATGAAATTACTTCTAAGCCTCCATTTTGCATTTCTTATAGTATCACAGGTTTCATTTTTATTTTTGGCATTTCTAATAAAGTTAACTAAGTGCCAAGTTCATGAAGTTGATTAAATAATATGATAGAGAGAGAGAGAGTAAGATCAGACAGAAAAGATTCAAGCATTGGGAGTCTCTTCCTGGGTTGCTCCAGAGAGTCATGGGTTTTTTTTGTTTGTTTTTTGTTTTTTGTTTTGAGATGAGGTTAGCAGCTCTAATGTTACACTGCATGGTTCATAGTTGCAAACTTGAAAGCCAGGATGCAAGTAGCAGCTGCATTCTTGGTACAACTCTAAACCCAGAGTGGTCACTCATTAACTGCAGAAGGAGAGTCTGTCCATTTGCAATATTCCACTGTAGTGGCAGAAGCAATAGCAGTAGATTGAGCAGCTTTCCCCCATGCAATGCCAGACTTAAAAGCTTTACAAGAATGTTGGGGCCTTTCTGTTTACGCAGTGATATTGAATGAAGATGGGACCAGCTCAAGTCTGAGGTTGCTGCTCAGAATGGACTCATTGAAAGAAAATCAGAAAGCCATTCTGTTTTGAGTTCTCAAGATCTGTTAATTTATGAAAAACGTATGAATTGGCAAAGCTGTGTAGAATGCAGTTGTCTAATCAGTAAAACATACACCACAAAACAAAATGTAGCACAAAGCGGGAGGATTTCAAAAACAGGCCCATTGGTTGCAAAATATATAAGCTCTCCTGACTTTACCTGGAACAAAACTCTGTCATCTATCCAAACATTAGTTGTTCCTGGGAAGCACTTTTGGACGCTTTACTAAAGTAAACACATTTTCTTATTGTCTACATTTATTCAAACCAGATCTCTGAATGAAGAGCCTATAATTAACTTAACTCTTTAGGTGCTGTGGCAAATACAAACAAAATAGAAGTATAATAAAACTATTAGCTTGCTTCTTGATTGATAGACATTGTGATAACAGCATTGTCTATAAATTCTCATCTAAGCCTCACAGTGATCTTATAAGGGGAGTCCTATTACATAAATACCAGGTTTGCCACAAAACCCTTGCTATGTTAATTGCTTTCAAGATCCTTGAAGACCAAGACTCCCTCAGTTCTTATCTGCTGTCTGAAAAGAGATTACACAGAAAATAGAGTGAATGAGAAGACATATATTGCCATGTTCAGTTTTAAATTTGCTTCTAGCACACACTTTCAACTTTGTCCTTAGACATATTCCTCAAAGAGAACAAGAACATCTGCAATCTACAGTGGGAAGGGATGTCCTAAGATTCAGGTACATTTAGGAATATTTAAGTGTTAGTTGTAATCCTGTTGTGTGAAAAAGGACCAATCTACATTTCCAAGCGTGAGAATATAGAGTGTATACATTGTCAAAGTTTTGGAGTTTCTGAATTTTGATGACCAATCAGTTCTTGCTAAAGAGACCTAAAGCAGTATTGCCCTATAATGTCTCTGTCCAGAAATGCAAGCAGTTTGCACATTCTTATATTTTCTAAATTAAAAAAAAAAACAATAGTTTTGTCATTTTGTACTTTTTTTTTGGCTAGATCTACATTTAGCAAAAGATGCTATATTAGACATGGGGATGCTTATTTTAAGGGGTTACTCTCAAGGAGATATAAAGAGTTAATAATATATTTATAAGCCTGCTAAAGATGGTATACAGACACATACAACTACCTTACAAATAATTTACAACATATTTACAGAAAATAAGTTAAAACGCAGCAATGGCTCTTGCAAATTCATTTCTTACAATTTTGGATTCATACATTTTATTCAATACGACTTAAATATGTTCCAGTGCACTATATATAATGAAATGGAGGTTCCAGGAATAGCAATCGATGTGTAGCAATTGTTGACCAGACAGAGCTAATGTAAATTACTTAAGGTCAAATTTTTGTTCATGAATATATACAAATCAAACTGCATTTAATAAGTCCTTTAAAATCCCTTAAAGGGAAAATCCAATAGTTTGAAAGAAAGGGAATTTATACCATGATGGAGCAACATAAATATAAGAGAAGGCTCACAAATATTTCTCCTATTGACTACTGAAAGCATTTGCCATGAACTTACCTAACCCTTCTTCAAAACGTATTTTCCTTCCTTAGATGTAAAACTAAATAAAGACTTGCCTACAAAGCTGAGTGGATCTCAAAGATATTTTCTACAGGACTCTGTGTTCTAGTTTTATCTCCTTTTGCTTTCCTCAGCAGACATGTCCAGGCCCCAAATTCTGCCATTGCCTTTGAGAAATTTTAAATTCTCAATACCTTGCTGCATCTTGGAAGTGATTTGTTAGTGTTTATGATGTTCATATTTTTGTACAATGAGGATCTAGAGAAGACAAGGACATATACAGTTTACTACTCTTCCATATATAAATTGACAAGATCAAGGTACAGCTTCCATATCAGCCTCAAACTTGTTTCAGGATATTTATTACGTAGTCCACATCAGCCTCTTCTTGACTAATGCTTTATCTCTGAGCATTTTCTATTGGAGTTTATGAGCCTTAAAGATATTTTCCTAGTAAAAATTATCCAAGCATATTTTTATTTTCTGTCCATTTTGATTTGAGGAATTCTGAAGGCCAAGCCTAAGTCTCTTTCATTTCTTCTAACTGTCCTAGTACATATCACAGTATTGTGACTACCGAAAGTACTTAATAACGATAAATGTTTGAAGAAACCATACACAGTTCCTTCCACATCCCCCACAGCCTGAACTGCATACTATTATTCAAGAGGTTGGATGAAAGCATCTGTATGAAGTGTAGAAAGCAGTGGATTGACCTCATTAATTTATATACATGCTTATGGAGCTGACCTAAATTTGGTCACTTGATATGAAGGAGGCTGCTATTTTCTCTGTTACAGGGTAGCAACTAAACTAAGATGGAACAGCTGGCACCAAAGGCTATACCAGAAATTGAGGCGAAGTAAAAAGGAAGCATCATTCACAACTTGCATAGTACTCACAAAATCCATGGAAAGTTCTTATCTCAGATCTTTGAAACAAAACAACGAATGCAAAATTGATTCTCTTCTCAGCCAGGATTGACAAGAGCTTTGACGTTTGTGTGTATTATAACCTACACAATGTTGGAAAAAGAAAGATAAAATAAGGCTTTGCTGTTAATGGTTATCTGTTCCTGAATGGCAAGCTTTACATGCTTGTATCTCCCACAAGGTTCATTTCTTGAAACAGACAAAAAGCTCCACTGGTTCTCTGTGATTTGTCTGAACTGTTTTGCGTGTCTCTGATCCTTCCTTTGCAAAGCTGGCTGACAACATGAGGTCTTGTTTTCTGACTCAAAATATTCAAACTAAGGGTGTTGAATTGCAGATTTAGGACACAATTGGAAATTTTAAATGAATTTTAAACTTTCCCACCTGAATTAACATATAAGTCACATTTGTTAGGCTTATTAGCACAAATGATGGGGAATAAAGAGAAAAGAGTAAAATTAAAAATTAGTAAATTCAATTTAGGGGAGGATTTCAAGAATTTGGGGTTGGCCTGTACATGGATTCTGGAACTTCCCCAAGTATGTAAATTATCCCCAATGTTTCAACTATCTCATCTTTTGAAAAACTAGTGAATTCCAGCTAGATGCTGGCAGAGCTGCAGCTGTTAGAGCATCCTAGCCAACCTAGCAGAGAAGCCAGGAGAGCACAAAATGAGAAATCTGCATGCTCTCTTTCCTCCAGCCTGACCATCTGTGTATGGACATAGAGCACCAAAGTCGTGCAGCTGTACTCATAATGCTCTATTATGGAAAGAGATAATTTATCTTCAAATGTAATTCATTTCTCTGTTGTCAATGGCTATCAGACAATGCTGAGGCAGAGGTAGGGGTTTTGGGGTGGGGACAAAATGTGGAGGATATGCATCATGTGTTTTTACATGAATACTATAAACTCATGATATAACAATGATTATTTGGTCTTGGATATAGTCTCTTCTAAAATCCACATGCATTCATTCAATTATCGGTTTGCAGGTGGTGAGCACATGCTCTATTGTGAACACTTTGTATCTGCAATGTGAAGCAACATTTTACAAATGTCATGAGAGCACAGCAATGATAACCTGTCTGGCTTTCTGTAAACAATTTTGTTCAAAGGAACAGCATCCAATTTGGTTCAAATAATTTACAGAAAACAGAATCTCCATACCCAACCTATATATATCCTAAATAAGCAGAAGTACAGAAACTTTTAAAACTAAACTAAAAAACATGTATAAGTTCTGAGCTACAGGTAGACATTTCACTAAAAGTGGCATCCACTGTGATGTGACTGCAAGCAATTTTCCAACCAAGTCTCCTGTAGGTTAAACCATAACAAAGACTGGAGATGTATCTTCCCATTTCCTGCAGGAGAATATTTCATAGAAAAATCATGTCATCCATTTTTGAAACTTTTAGGAAAGCTTTAGGAGACACAGTTTTTGTTTGTTTGTTTGTTGTTTTTTCTAAACCCTTGGGCAGGAAGATTAAAACCTGTTCCAGGGCTAAGCCATGATTCAGTCAGGAAAATATTTTATTTTAAAAATTAAGGACATAAGCATGTAGGACTTCATGAATCTCCTTATTCCCAACCATTATCCTATTAGAACTGTATTTAAAAAAAAAAAGTCAAAGAGAACATATTTTCAAAAAACCTCAAACCTAAAGGAAAGGAAAAGAGAAACGGTAATAGTCATGCAATGGGAGGAAATGTTTTAAAATAATACACTGAATTAGAACTGCCTCTTACAAAATATATGAGGAGATTTTGTTTACTAGTCTACTCCCCAGGTCTATATTTTTATGCTACATATCTGTACCCACCATTATATGCATAATGGAGATATGGTGATATGGTACATTAGATTCTACAGAGCAAGAAGAAGGCTTGGGGCAACTTAATCAGACCCCTATGCTGGAAAATGATACATATCATAAAGAGCTACTTTTTGCTAGGATATAAGTAATAAGTAATATCGTATTACCACTGGTGTCTATCCCCTATAGTTCAACAAAGCAGAGTGTACCCATTTCTTGTCTGGTCTGGTGCATGTTTCTTTTTGCAGTAGTATTGCCAATGTGAAAAATTAGGTTTGATGATTTCAATCTGTCAAGCTTCCTAAAAGCTTGTGCTCCATATATTTTGAACAGTTAATAGAAGAGTTGCCAATAAAAAAAAAAAAAAAACTATGTTAATTTCTTCCCAAGCTTGAGTTTTGTCTGATGGTGCTCATCCGCAATGTGTTTTGAAATCTAAAAGTTAACACAGATAGAAAGTCAAAACAAACAGAAAAGGGCAAAAACATGAACATATTTTATTGTGGTTTTAAAAAGCACATAATGTGAGAGCTACACTCAACAAATTTTTACGTGTACACTGTTAACTATAAACACAATGTTATACAGTAGGTCTGTCTCTAGAACTTTCTCATTTTGAATGATTGAGAACTCTAAACCCACTGAACAGGAACACCCCATTTTCTACTACTCCCCCAGACCTTGGCAATCACCATATTACTCTCTGTTTCTGAATATGGTTATTTAATACACCTCATATAAGCAGAATCATGCAGTATTTTTCCTTCCATTACTGGCTTATATCACTTAGAATAATGTCCTCAAGGTTCATCCATGTTCTATCACAATACAGGATTCAGTTCTTTTTTAAGGGAGTAAGGATCTACTGTATGTATATACTACATTTCATTCATCTGGTGATAGACGTTGGGGTTATTTCCATATCTTAGCTATTGTGAATAGTGCTGCAATGAACATGGGAGTGCAAATATCTCTCTGAGATCCTGATTTCACTTCTGTCAGAAAATACCCAGAAATGAGCTTGCTAGATCATATGGCAGTTCTATTTTTTGTTTTTTGAACAAACTCCATACTGTTCTCCATAGTGGCTGCACCATTTTACATTCCCACCAACAGTGCACAAGATTTGCAATTTCTCCACATCCTCACAAAGACCTGTATTTCTTCTTCTGATTTTGTTTGATTGTTTATACATTACAAAGACCATCCTAATAGGTGTGAGATGTTTCATTGTGATTTTAGTTTGCATATCCCTGATGATTAGTTATGTTGAGCATGTTTTTATATACCTGCTGGTCACTTGTATGTCTTCTTTGAAGCAATGTCTAATCAAGTCCTTTGCCCATTTTTCAGTTGGGTTATTCGTTTTACTGCTATTGAATTGTAAGTGTTATTTCTATATTTCGGATATGAAACCCTTTTCAAATGTGTGGTTTGCAAATACTTTCTCCTACTATATAAGTTTCCTTTCACTCTGTTGATTGTTCCCTTCGCTGCAAATAATGTTTTTTAGCTTGATGTGGTCCAACTTGTTTATTTTTGGTTTTGTTGTCTGTGCTTTTTGTCATACCCAATAAATTTTTACCTGGACCAATGTCATGAGGTTTTTCCCCTATGTTTCCTGCTAGAGTTTTATAGTTTTGGGTCTTAAGTTTAAGTTTTAAACCATTTTAAGTTGATCTTTGTTTATGGTGTAAGATGAGAATCCAATTTCATTATTTTGCATATGGTTATCCAGTTTTCCTGATATCATTTGTTGAAGAGAATATCCTTTCCCTATTGTGTAGTCTTTGCACCCTGGTTGAAGATCATATGACAGTATATGGGTGGGCTTATTTCTGGGCATTCTATTCTATTCCATTGGTCTCTATGTTTACTTTTATGCCAGTACCATACTGTTTTATTATTTTAGCACTATAATATGTTTTAGACTCCAGAAGTGTGACTTCTCCACTTGACTCTTTTTTCTCAGGATAATTTTGGTTATCCCAAAATAATTGTGATTCCATATACATTTTACGATTGTTTTTCTATTTTTGCTAAAAATGCCATTGAGATTTTGATAGAGAATACATAGTATCTATAGATTGTTTTTGGTAGCATGGACATTTTAATGATATTAAGTCTTCCAATCCATGAACTTGAGCTGTTTTCCATTTATTTGTGTCTTCTTTAATTTGGCAATGTTTTGTAGTTGTCAGTGTTCAATTTTTTTGCCTCCTTGGTTGTTTATTTTTATTTTTTGATACTATTGTAAATACGAGTGCTTTCTTAATTTCCCTTTTGCATTGTTTACTATGAGTGTATAAACTTCAACTGATTTTTTTTTGGTTTCCTTCTTTTTTTTTTTTTTTTTTTAAGACATAGAATCTCATTTATTCACCCAAGCTGAAGTGCAGTGTCATGAACATATCTTGCTGCAGCCACAAACTCTTGGACTCAAAGGATCATCCAGCCTCAACGTCTCAAATCACTGGGATTACAGGCACATACCAACAAGCCTTGCTAATTATTTTATTTTATATTTGTAAAGATGGGGCCTGGCTATGTTGTGCACTCTGGTCTTGAACATCTGGCCTCACGCGTTCCTGTCTTGACCTCCTGAAATTCTAGGATTACAGATGTGAGCCACCATGCCTGGCCTGAAACTAATTTTTGTATGATGGCTGTGTAACCTGCAAATTTGCTGAAGTTGTTTATTACTTATACCATTTTTGTGTGTTACATCTTTGGAGATTCCTATATACAAGATTATGTCTTCTCTGAACATAGATAATTTTAGTTCTACCTTTCTGATTTGGATGCCTCTTATTTATTTTTCTTCCTTAATTGTCCTTTCTAGGACTTTCAGTAATATGCTAAATATTGTTCCTTATCTTAGAAGAAAAGCTTTCAGTTTTTGACATTGAGTATGATGTTATATAGGGGCTTTTTGCTTTTTATATATGGCCTTCATTATGTTGAGGTAATGCCTTTCTATTCCTTATTTGTTAAAAGCTTTTATCATAAAAGAGTGTTGAATTTTGTAAAATGCTTTTTTGTATTTATTAAGATGTAATGTGATTTTTATCCTGTGTTCTCTTTATGTGGTATATCATATGATTGTTTTTTGTATTTTGAATCATTCTTGCATCTCAGGGATAAATCTCACTTGTTCATGGTATATGATCCTTTAATACGTTGTTGAATTTAGTTTGCTAGCATTTTGTTGGAATTTTTGGCATGTATATTCACCAGGTATACAGAACTGTAATTTTCTTTTCTTATAGTGTATTTTTCTTGTTTCGGTATCAGAGTGTGCTCGCCTCATAAAATGAATTTGGAAGTATTTATTGCCTTTAATTATTGGAAAGTGAGTAAAAACAGTTTTCTTTAAATGTTTGATAGAATTCTCCAATGAAGCCATGTGATCCTGAGCTTTTATTTGTTGGCAGGTTTTTAATTGCTAATTTAACCACTTTATTGATTATACTCCATTCAGATTTTCTATGTATTCATGAGTCAGTCTTAGTAGACTGAATGATGTAGAAATTTTTCCATTTCTTCTAGGTTATCCAATTTATTGGAATATGATTATTCATAGTATTCTCAAATGAACCTTTTTATTTCTCTGGCATTAGTTGTAATGTCTCCTTCTACTTTTAGTTACTTGAATCTTTCTTTTCCTATAGTCTAGCTATGTGTTTGCCAATTTTGACCATCCTTTCAAACACTAACTTTTAGTTTTCTTGATTTGTCATTATTTTCTGTTCTCTATTTCATTTATTTCTGCTTTAATCTTAATAATTTAATTCCTTCTGCCAACGTTAGGCTCAGCTTGTTCTTTTTCTAGTTCCTTGAGGTGTAATGTTATGTTCTTTATTTGGAATCTTTCTTAATATTAAAGTAGGTATTTATTGCCATAAATTTTCTGCTTAAACTCCTTTTGCTGAATCCCATAAGTTTTGGTATATTTCGTTTCCATTTTCATTTGCCTCCTACATTTTCCTTTTATTTATTTTTATTTTTATTTATTTTTTTTTTTTGCTTTGTTGTTTGTTTGGGAGCATGTTGCTTAACTTCTGCATATTTGGAAATTCTCTGAAAATTCCTCCTACTATTGATTTCTAGTTTCACACCATGGTGGTCAGAAAATATATCTAATATGATTTTAATCTTTTAAAATTTGTTAAGACTTATTATGTGACCTAACATAGATCTATCCTGGAGAATGTTTTGTATGTGCTTGAGAAGAATGCATATTCTGCTGCTGTTGGATGGAAGAATGCATATTCTGTATGTGTCTGTTAGGTTCATTTGATCTAAAGTATAGTTTCCGCCCAATAGTCCTTTATTGATTTCATGTCTGGATAATTTGTTCATTGTTAACAGTGGTGTATTGAAGTCCCCTACTGTTATCAAATTGCAATTTACCACTCTCTTTTTATCTATTAATATTTGCTTTATGTATTTAGGTGCTTCAATGTGGAATCCATTCATCCATGTTTACAATTGCTGTAGTTTCCTGATGAATTGACCTCTTTATCAATAAATAAAGTTTTTACTTGTCCCTTTTTCCAATTTTTTACTTAAAGTTTATTTTTTCTAATTTAAATATAGCTACCTCTGTTCTCTTTGGTTTCTTTTTGCATAAAATATCTTCTTCCATCTTTTTACTATCAATATCATATAGTTAAATCTTTTTAAAAATCTATTCAATCACTTTATGATTTTTAACTGAAGGATTTAATCCATTTACAGTAAAGCTAATTATTAATTTGTAAGAATTTAACACTGCCATTTTAAAAATTGTTTTAGGATTGATTTGTAGAGCCTTTATTCTGTTCTTTCTTGCTGTCTTCATGATTAGATACTTTTTTTCTAGAGACATGCTGTGATTTCTTACTTTTTATCATTTGTGTATCCACATAGATTTCTACTTTGTGACTGCCATGAGGCTTGCATAAAATATTATATAGTTAAAATAGGCTGTTTTAGGCTGATAACAACTTAAATTTGATTGCATAAAAGGACTCTATACTTTCACTTGACCTCCCATATCATTTTATTTTTTATTTTTTATTTTTTTTCAGATGGAATCTTGCTCTCGTCGCCTAGGCTGGAGTGCAATGGCATAATCTCGGCTCACTGCAACCTCCGCCTCCCAGGTTCAAACGATTCTCCTGCCTCAGCCTCCTGAGTAGCTGGGATTACAGGCACCTGCCACCATGCCCAGCTAATTTTTGTATTATTAGTAGAGACAGGGTTTCACCATGTTGGCCAGGCTGGTCTCCAACTCCTGACCTCATGATCCGCCCACCTCGGCCTCCCAAAGTGCTGGGATTACAGGCATGAGCCACCGCACCTGGCCCATTTTGTGTTTTTGAGGTCACAATTTACACAATTTATATTGTGCATCCACTAACAAATTATTGTTACTATTATAATATTATTTTCTTTTCATTTTCATAATAGCAATATAACTGACTTATACACCATCATTAGAGTATTAGAGTATTCTAAAATTGACTGTCTACTTACTTCAAAAAGTAAGTTTTCTTTCTAGGTTTCCATGTTACTGTTAGGTTGGTGCAAAAGCAATTGCAGTTTTTGCCATTACAATCAATGATAAAAACCATAATTACTTTTGCAGCAACCTAACAATTAGTCCCTTTTTCTTTCAGCTTAAAACAGTCTCTTTAGCATTTCTTTTAATAGTGATCTGGTGATGATGAACTCCCTCAGCTTTTGTTAGTCTTGGAAAGTATTTATCATTCATTGATTTTTTTTGTATTTTTGTGGGTACATAGTAAGTGTATATATTTATGGGGTAAATGCTATATTTTTCCAGAAGCATACAATGTGAAATAATCACATCAGAGTAAATGGGGTATCCATCACTTCAAGCATTTATCCTTTTCTTGTATTACAATGTAATTATACTTTTTAAGTTATTTTTAAATGTACGATAAATTGTTTACTGTAGTTACCCTGCTGTGCTATCAAATACTAGCTCTTATTCATGCTATCAAACTATAATTTTGTGCCCATTAACCATTTCCACTTCCCTTACCATGCTACCTTTCCTACCCTGCAGTAACCAACATTCTACTCTTTCTTGCCCCATGAGTTCAATTGTCTTAAATTTTAGCTCCCACATATAAGTGAGAACATGAGATGTTCGTCTTTCTGTGCCTGGCTTATTTGACTTAATATAATGACCTCCAGTTCCATCCATGTTGTTGCAAGTGACAGAATCTCATTCTTTTTTGGGGTGAATAGTACTTCGTTGTATATAATATGGTTTGTTTCTGTGTCCCCACCCAAATCTCATCTTGAATTATACTCCCATAATTCCCATGTGTTGCGGGAGGGACCTGGTGGGAGATAATTGAATCATGGGTGGTTTTCCCATATTGTTCTCATGGTAGTGAATAAATCTTATGAGATCTGATGGTTTTATAAGGGGAAAGCCCTCTGACTTAGCTTTCATTCTCTCGTTTGCCACTGCCGTGTAAGAATTGCCTTTTGCCTTCCACCATAATTGTGAGGTTTTCCTAGCCACATGGAACTGTAAGTCCATTAAACTTCTTTCTTTTGTAAATTGCCCAGTCTCAGGTATGTCTTCATCAGCAGTGTGAAAACAGACTAATACAGTAAATGGGTACCAGTAGAGTGGGGCACTGCTGTAAAGATACCCGAAAATGTGGAAGCGACTTTGGAACCGGGTAACAGGCGGAGGTTGGAACAGTTTGGAGGGCTCAGAAGAAGACAGGAAAATGTGGGAAAGTTTGGAACTTCATAGAGACTTGTTGAATGGCTTTGCCCAAAATTCTGATAGTGTTATGGACAATAATGTCCAGGCTGAGGTGTTCTCAGATAGAAATGAGAAACTTGTTGGGAAATGGAGCAAGGGTGACCCTTGTTATGTTTTAGCAAAGAGACTGGTGGCATTTTGCTCCTGCCCTACAGATTTGTGGAACTTTGAACTTGAAAGGGGTGATTTAGGGTATCAGGCAGAAGAAATTTCTAAGCAGCAAAGCATTCAAGAGGTGACTTGGCTGCTGTTAAAGGCATTCAGTTTTATAATTGAAGGAGAGCATAAAAGTTCAGAAAATTTGCAGCCTGACAATGTGATAGAAAAGAAAATCCCATTTTCTGAGGAGTAGTTCAAGCCAGCTGCAGAAATTTGCGTAAGTAATGAGGAACTGAATGTTATTCCCCAAAACAATGGGAAAATGTCTCTAGGGCATGTCAGAGGTCTTCACAGCAGCCCCTCCCATCACAGTCCTGGAGGCCAAGGAGGAAAAGGTGGTTTCCTGGGCTGGGCCCAGGCCCCTGTGCTGTGTGCAGCCTAGGGACTTGGTGCACTGTGATCCAGCCACTCCAGCTATGGCTGAATGGGGCCAACATAGAGCATGGGCTGTGGCTTCAGAGGGTGGAAGGCCCAAGCCTTGGCAGCTTCCATCTGGTGTTGAGCCTGTGAGTGCAAAAAAGTCAAGAATTGGGGTTTGGGAACCTCTGCCTAGATTTTAGAGAATACCTGGATGCACAGGCAGAAGTTTGCTGCAGGGGCAGGGCATTCAGGAGAACCTCTCCTAGGGCAGTGTGGAAGGGAAATATGTGGTAAGAGCCTCCACAGAGTCCCTACTGGGGCACTGCCTAGTGCAGATGTGAGAAGAGGGCCACTGTCCTCCAGACCCCAGAATGGTACATCCACAGACAGCTTGCACCATTCACCTGGAAAAGCTGCACACACTCAACGCCAGCCCATGAAAGCAGCCAGGAGTGAGGCTGTACCCTGCAAAGCCACAGGGGCAGAGCTGCCCAAGACCATGGGAACCCACCTCTTGCATCAGTGTTACCTGGATGTGAGACATGGAGTCAAAGGAGATCATTTTGAAGCTTTAAGATTTGGCTGCCCTGCTGGATTTCAGACTTGCACGGGGCCTGTGGCCCCTTTGTTTTGGCCAATTTCTCCCATTTGGGACAGTGTATTTACCCAATGCCTATACCCCCATTGTATCTAGGAAGTAACTAACTTTGCTTTTGATTTTACAGGCTCTTAGGAAGAAGGGACTTGCTTTGTCTCAGATGAGACGTTGGACTGTGGACTTTTGTCTTAATGCTGAAATGAGTTAAGACTTTGGGGGACTGCTGGGAAGGCATGATTGGTTTTATAATATGAGGACATGAGATTTGGCAGGGGCCAGGGTTGGAATGATATGGTTTGGCTCTATGTCCCCAGCCAAATCTCATCTTGAATTGTACTCCCATAATTCCCATGTGTTGTGGGAAGGACCTGGTGGGAGATAATTGAATCATGGAGGTGGTTTCTCTCATATTGTTCTCATGGTAGTGAATAAGTCTCACAAGATCTGATGGTTTCATAAGGGGAAGCCCCTTTTGCTTGGCTTTCAATCTCACTCTTGCTGCTGCCATGTAAGAAGTGGCTTTGACCTTCCACCATGATTTTGAGGCCTCCCTAGCCAGGTAGAACTGTAAGTCCATTAAACTTATTTATTTTGTAAATTGCCTGGTCTCAGGTATGTCTTCATCAGCAGTGTGAAAACAGACTAATACAGTACATATGTACCACATTTTCATCATCCATTCTTTTGCTGATGGCCACTTACCTTGCTTCAAAACTTTCACTATTGTGAATACTGCTTCAATAAACATGGAACTGCAGATATCTCTTTGATATACTAATCTGCTTTCTATTGAGTATGTACCTAGCAGTGGGATTATTGAATCATACAGTAGTTTTATTTTTAGATTTTGAGCAATCTCCAAACTGATCTTCATAGTGATTGATCTAATTTACATTTCCACTAACAGTGTAGGAGTGTTCCTTACTCTCCACAACCCCAGCAGCATTATTGTCTGTCTTTTGGATAAAAGCCATTTAAACTGGGGTAAGATGATACCTCACTGTAGTTTTATCTTGCATTCCACTGATGATCAGTGATATTAAGCACCTTTTCACATATCTGTTTGCCATTTGTATGTCTTTTGAGAAATGTCTCTTCAGATTTATTGCCGACTTTTATATTGGATTATATTTTCTTATTGAGTTGTTTGAGTTCCTTATATATTTTGATTATTAATCTCTTATGAGACAGATAGCTTGCAAACATTTTCTTCTATACTCTGGGTTATCTCTTCACTTTATTGATTGTATCTTTGGCTGTGCAGAAGCTTTTTAACTTGATGTGATCCCATTTGTCCATTTTTGCTTTGGTTTCCTGTGCATGTAGGATATTGTTCAAGATATATACGCCCAGACCAATGTCCTGGAGACTTTCCCTAAGGTTTTCTTGTAGTAGTTTCATAGTTTGAGGTCTTAGATTTAAATCATTAATCTATTTTGATTTGATATTTGTATATGGTGAGAGATAGGGGTCTGGCTTCATTCTTTTGCATATGGATATTCAGTTTTCCCAGCATCATTTATTGAAGAGACTGTCTTTGTGTCTCTAAGTGCGTGGATTTGTTTCTGAGTTCTCTATTTTGTTTCATTGGTCTATGTGTCTGTTTTTATGCCAGTACCATGCTGTTTTTGTTACTATAGCTCCAATGTATAATTTGAAATACAGTCTCCTCCAGTTTTGTTCTTTTTACTTAAAATAACTTTGGCTATTCTGAGTCTTTTTTGATTCTAAATAAATTTTAGAATTTTTTTTCTATTTCTATGAAGAATGTCATTGATATTTTGATAGGAATTGCATCGAATCTGTAGACTGCTTTGGGTAGTAAGGACATTTTAACAATATTGATTCTTCCAATTCATGAGCATGGAATACTTTTTTTAAAAAAAATTTGAGGTGTTTGCTTCACTTTCTTTCATCACCGTTTTATAGTTTTTATTATAGAAATCTTTCACTTCTTTGTTTAAGTTAATTCCTAGGTATCTAATTTTCTGTCTGGCTATTGTAAATGGGATTACATTTTTATATTTGTTGTTCACATTGTTCACTGTTGGCACATAGTAATGCTAATAATTTTTGTATGCTGATTCTGTATCCTCTAAATTTTCTGAATTTGTTTATCAGTTCAAATAGCTTTTTTGTGGAGTCTTTAGATTTTTTCCAAATATGAAAACTTATCATCTGCAAACATGGAGAATTTGACATATTTCTTTTCACCTTGTATGTACTTTATATCCTTCTCTTGTCTGATTCCTCTGGCTATGATTTCCAGTACTATGTGGCATAACAGTAGTGACAATGGGCATCCTTGTTGTGTTCCAGAGTTTAGATGAAAGGCTGACAGTTTTTCACCATGCAGTATGGTACTGGCTTTGTGTCTGTCATATATGGCTTTTATTGTATTGAGATATGTTCCATCCATGTGTCGTTTTTTAAGTTTTTATTGTGAAGGGGTATTAAATTGTATTAAATGGTTTTTTGGCATCAATTGAAATGATCATATGGTTTTTATCCTTCGTCTGTTAATATGATGCATCAGATTGTTTGATTTGTGTATGTTGAATCATCTTTGCATCCTTCAGATAAATTTCACCTGGTCATAATAAATATTTTTAAAGGTATGTTGTTGAATTTGTTTTGCTAGTATTTTGTTGAGGCTTTTTACATCAATGTTCATCAGGGTTATTGGCCTGTAGGTTTCTTTTTTTGATGTGTCTTTGCCTAGTTTTGGTATCAGGGTAATACTGGCCTCATAGAATGAGTTTGGAAGTATTCTCTCCTCCACTATTTTTCAGAAAAATTTGAATAGGGATTGTATTGGTTCTTCTTTAAATGTTTGGTAAAATTCAGCAGTAAAGCAATTGGATCCTGTGCTTTTTTTGCTGGGAGAGTTTTTATTATTGTTTAGATCTCTTTATTAGTTATTGGTCGGTACATGTTATGGATTTCTTCATGGTTGAATCTTGGAAGGTTGTATGTGTGTATAAATTTACCCATTTTTTCTAGGTCTTCCAATTTATTGGCATTTGGTTGCTCATAGTAGCCACTAATGATCCTTTAAATTTCTGTGATATCATTTGTAATGTCTCCTTTTTCAACTGTAATTTTACTTATTTGATCTTTTCTCTTTTTTCCTAGTTAGTCTGGCAAAAAGTCTGTCAATTTGTTTATCTCTTCAAAAACCCAGTTTCTTTTGTTGGTCTTTTTGTTTGTTTGTTTGTTTGAACTTCATTTATTTTTACTCTGATCTTCATTATTTCTTTTCATCTACTAATTTTTGGTTTCGTTTGCTCTTGCTTTTCTAGTTATTTAATATGCATTATTAGATTGTTTATTTAAAGTTTTTCTACTTTTTTTTAATGTTGATGCCTATTGCTTTAAACTTTTCTCTTAATTCTGCTTTCCCTGTTTCCCATAGAGGTTTTAGTATGTTATGTTTCCATTATTATTTATTTCAAGAAACTTTTCAATTTCCTTCTTAAATTTTTTATTGACCCACTGGCTATTCAGGAGCATATTGTTTAATTTCCATGTGTTTGTATAGTTTCCAAAATTCCTCTTTTTGATTTTTAGTTTTATTTCATTGTGGTCAGGGAAGACACTTGAGATGGTTTACATTATTTTTTTTGAAATTTTTAAGACTTGTTTTGTGGTCTAAAATACAATCTATCCTTGATAATGATCCATGTGCTGAGGAGAAAAATGTGCATTCCACATCAGTTGGATAAAATCTTCTGTAAATATACATTAGGTCCATTTGGCATATAGTGTAGATTACCTCCAATATTTCTTCATTGATTTTCTGTCAGGGAGATTTGTCCAATACTGAAAATAGGATGTTGAAGTCTCCAGCTATTATTGTATTGGGATCTATCTCTCTCTTTAGCTCTAATTATAATTGCTTTATACATCTGGGTGCTAAAGTGTTGGGCGCATATACATTTTCAATTGTTATATATTCTTGCTCAATTGACTATTATTATATAATGACTTATTTTTCCCTTTACATAGTTTTTCTCTTGAAATCTATTTTGTCTGAAATAAGTACAGCTACTTCTGCTGTTTTTTGGCTTCCGTTTGTATGAATTATCTTTTTCCAGCATTTTGTTTTCATTCTATGTGTGTCTTTATAGGTTAAGTGCTTTTCTTGCATGTAACACATCACTGGGTCTTTTTTTTTAAATATATTCAGCCAGTCTATGTCTTTTCATTGGAGACTTTAGTCCATTTAAATTGAGTGTTATTATTGATAAGTAAGGACATATTCCTGCCATTTTGTCATTTGTTTTCTCATTGTTTTGTGGTCTTCTCTACCTTCTTTACTTCCTTCCTGTCTTCCTTTTAGTGATGTTGATTTTCCCTTGTTGTATGCTTTAATTTCTTGCTTTTTATTTTTTGTGTATGTGTTGCATGGATTTTGGTTTGAGGTTATCATGAAGCTTGCATATAATATCTTATATTTCATAATTTTAAACAAATTACAAGTTAACACTGGTTACATAAACAAACTAACAAACGAGCAGAGAAAAACTAATAATAACTCTGTACTTTAACTCTCTCCAGTCACTTTTTAACTTTTTGTTATTTCTTTTTATATCTTATTGTATTATCTATGTCTTGAAAAATTGTCGTACTTATTTCTGATAAGTTCTTCTTTTAGTCTTTCTACTCAAGATATGAGAAGTTTGTACATCATAATTATAGTGTTATAACATCCTGTGATTTTTTTGTGTAGTTATTATTACCAGTGAGTTTTTTACCTTCAGATGATTTCTTGTTGCTCTTTAACAATCTTTTATTTCATATTGAAGAACTCTTTTTAGCATTTCTTGTAGGACAGGTCTGGTGTTGGTGAAGCCCCCCAGCTTTTGTTTTTCTAGGAAAGTCTTAATTTCTCCTTCGTATTTCAAGAATACTTCTGCTGGATATACTATTTTAGGATAAAAGTATTTTTTCTTCAACATTTAAGCATGTCATACCAGTCTTTGATGGCCTGTAAAGTTTTCACTGAGAAGTCTGTTGCCAGATATATTGGTACTCTTGTGTATGTTATTTGTTTCTTTTTTCTTGCTGTTTTTAGAATCCTTTCTTTATCCTTGACCTTTTGGAGTCTGATTATTAAGTGCCTTTAGGCAGTCTTATTTGGGCTAAATCTGCTCGGTGTTCTATAACCTTCTTGTCCTTGGATATTGATATCTTCATCTAGGTTTGGGAAGTTCTTTTTCATTATCTCTTTGAATAAATTGTCTACACTGATCCCTCTCTCTACCTCCTCTTTAAGACCATTAACTCTTACATTTGCACTTTTGAGGCTATTTTCTAGATCTTGTAGGTGAGTTTCATGCTTTTTTATTCCTTTTTCTTTTGTCTGCTTTATCTAATAGTATTCTGACTTCCTTCCCAGAACTATCTTGAAATTCACTGAGCTTCCTCAAAACAGCTATTTTGAATTCTCTTTCTGAAAATTTACATATCTCTTTCTCTCTGGGATTAGTGAATAGTGCCTTATTTAGTTGATTTGGTAAGGTTATGCTTTCCTGGATGGTTTGATGCTTACGTATGTTCATTGTTGTCTAGGCATTGAAGAATTAAATATCTATTGTAGTCTTCACAGTCTGGGTTTGTTTGAAGCCATCCTTCTTGGGAAGGCTTTTGAAGAACTTGGGTGTTGTGATCCAAGTCTTTTCGCCACTGTTGCCGTATCTGCATTAGGGGCACCTCAAACCCAGTAATGTTTTGGCTCTTGCAGACTCGTGGAGGTACTACCTTGGTGGTTTTGTATGAGATCTGGGAGAATTCCCTGGATTACCAGGCAGGGATTCTTCTTCTCTTACTTTCCCCAAACAAATGAAGTTTATTTCTGTTTCTCTCTCTGAGTCTCTCTCTCTCTCTCTCTCTCTCTCTCTCTCTCTCAGTGCTGAGCTTCCTGGAGTTGGAAGAGGGGTGACTCAAGCACCCTTGTGGCCACAACCGTGGGGACTATGCTGGGTCAGACCCAAAACCAGCACAGCACTGCAGTGACCACTGCCTGGCTGCCATCTACGTCCACTCAAGGCCTAAGGGCTGTACAACCAGCATGTGGTGAATCCAGTCAGGTGTGTTTCCTTCCCTCCGGGGTGGTGAGCTCCCCCTAGCCTTGGGAGTGTCCAGAGATACCTTCCAGGAGCCATTGCCTAGAATTGGGAACCTTAGGAATCTACTTCATGCTCTATTTTACTGCAGCTGATCTGGTACCCAATCCATTAGACAAAGTCCTTCCCACTCTTTCCTTCCCTTTCCTTGAGCAGAGGAGTCTTTTCCTGTCACTCCCACTGCCCCTGGCCTGTGGCAAGTACTGCCTGGCTGCCACCGATGTTCACTCAAGGCCTACGAGCTCTTCAGTCAGCTTGTGATGAATGATGCCAGGCTTGGGTCTCTCCTTTCAGGGAAGTGGGCTCCCATCTGGCCCAGAGCAGGTCCAGAAATATTGTCCAGCAACCAAGGACTGAAACCAGGGACCCCAGGAGCCTGCTTGGTGCTCTACCCTACTATTGACAAGTTTTATTCTTCCCTTTCCTTTTCTGAAGCAAAAGGTGTCCCTCTCTGTAACCATCACAACTAAGAATGTGCTGGGTCACACCTAAAGACAGCATGGCTGTAAGTCTCACCAAAGGACTATGGTGAGTACTGCTTGGTTACCATTGCTGATTATTCAGGGTCCAAGTGCTCTTTAGTCAGCAGGTGATAAATCCTGCCAGAAGTGGGTCCTTTCCTTCAAGGCAGCTGGTTCCCTTCTTGCCCAGAGTGTGTTCAGAAATATCATCTGGTAGCTAGGTCCTAGAATTTGAGCTTCAGGACTCTGCCTGGTGCCCTATTCTACTGCACTTAAGGTGATATCCAAGTTGCAAGACAAAGTCTCTCCTGTCTTCTCTCTTCAAGTGGAAAGGATTCTCCCCAAGAGGTGTAAGCCGTCCTGCCTGGGGTTTGGGGACTGGTGACACAAGCACTCCTTTGGCCATTCTGGCTAATGTCGCACTAGGTCACATGCACCCCATGTCCACTGGCTCTAAGCCCAGCACAGCACCAAGAATTACCTAGGAATTGAAGTTTTGTAGCTTAGAGTGCCTTTTAAGTTCATTTAGAACCCCAGAGCACTTTAGTTCATGGTAGCACTGTTTGCCAGAACTCAGGTTCCCACCATTAGGATGGGTGACTTGCCTCTGGCTAGGTCTGGTCTAAATGCTTCCTCTGTGGACACCAGCTGAGTTCTGCCTTAAATTGCTTTCCACTGTGACAGGGCAGCACTGAGTTACTGAGTTCCAATGCAAAGTTCCACAATTGCGGTACTCTCCCTCCCCCAAACACGCAAGTTCTCTCCACACCACACAGCCACTGTTGGGGGATGGAGGAGGGGTGGAATAGGCAATTCAAGACTGTCTTTCCTACCCTATTAAGCACCTCTTTACTTAATGTTAAAACAAGGTACTGTGATTGCTCACCTGATTTTTGGTTCCTATGAAGGTTCTTTTTTGTGCACAATTTTGTGTTCTTGCATGGGAGAAAATCACTGGAAGCTTCAACTCATCCATCTTTCTCTGCCACTCTTCCTTCATTTCTGAAGGACAGCTTTCCCAGATAATGCATTCTTGATTGGTTGGCAATCCCCCCCCACCTCAGCACTTTCAATATTTTCCCAATCTCTCCTGGATTGTCAATTTCCTGCTGAGAAGTTTGCTCCTAACCTTACTGAAATTCCTTCTATGTGCGATATACTTCTTTTCACTTGAGGTTTTCTGAATCCTTTCTTCATCTTTAATTTTTGACCATTTAATTATAAGACTTGGTTTAGTCTTGTTAGGATTAAATCTGACTTCAGACATTTGACTTTTCTGTACCTGGATATTTATATGTTTTCTCAGATTTAGAAAGATTTCAGCTGTTATTTTTTCCCTTTGTTTATCTCTTCTTCTTAACCCATATAATTTGAATATTTGTTCTCTTGATGCTGCCCCATACATTCTGTAAGCATTCTTTATTCCTTTCCAGTGTTTTTTCTTCTGTGTAAATTTTGAATAAATTGCACTGATACTCAGAATGCAGCATCCCTACTGTTACCATAATAGTAACAGATGCAAGGTGTGGATACTTATGAAGTAAACAGAAAGCTGAGAATGTGAGCCCAGATGTGCACAGATTTACAGTGGTTTCAGGGTCAGGGCATGATCTAGTTCTTTATGGAATATGATCTGGTTCCTGGAGCACAGGTACACTCAAAGAGATGCTGGCTCTGGGGCCAAAGTGTGAACAATTTTCTATGGCAATGGCTCTGGTGTCTGAGACATTGGCAGGCACAGTGCAGCCACAGAGCTGGGGTCCATAGTGTGAGCAATAACAAAGCAGCTGCAGCTTGAGAGTTAGATCTCACATGGGAATGGGACAAGTGGCAGCTCTGGTCCTGAAGCAGCACAATTTTGGCTGCTTCTTGAAGGGACTTAGGGGTATAGCTGCATCTCACACTCTGGTGTTCCTCAGAGAAAATGATTGTTCATTATCTCAGTGACCTAAGATGCTGGCATCTTCTGCAGAGCGGGTCACTGAGGACCATGGTGGTTCCTGCTATTAATGCCAATAATCATCAACTTCTTTTTTTGTCCCTAGCCATCTCCTGGCATCTCAGGTATGCTGATCTCACTAGTGATCCTTTTTATGTGGATAATCTGTTTCATTTGCTTCATTGTGTTGCTACAGATTTTTAAATAGGCTCTTGAGCTCTCCCAGGGCAAATTTGCTTGCGGATGTCTATCTATCTATCTCTCTAACTCTCTCTCTCTATCTCTCTATCTGTCTATCATCTTTTCTTATGGGGCAATAAAGGGTGATATCTCCCACTCCATCATTTTGGTGGTTTCTGAGGAATGCATTATATTCTTCACCTTCTTCAGCATTTTTATAAACATTATTTTGACTCTTTGTTTTTAATTAATGCATCTCCATTTTCTTTATGGTCCCTTACTTTAGATTTACTTTGTTCAATTGTTTGGGCTATGTTTCTTTGTTTCTGCTTCTGTCTCATATATTTTTTTAGAATCCATAGATTTGAAAAAAAAATAAAAATAAGTTTTTTAGAATACATTTGGAAAAAAAAAAAAAAAAAGACTGTCTCTCCTAGTCTTTATAAACTGACTTTGTACAGGGACAGATTCTCACCAGTCAGCCTGTGTAGACATTCTTGTTGCCTCCAAAACTTTTGCGGGGTGCTATTGTAATTCTTTGAGATTGTGTATGCAGTTTCTCAATTATTGAGGCTTTCTGTTTTCCTTTTCAGGAGCTCCTACAATTTTGTTTCCTCTTCTGGCTATATGCAGTACTGTTGTTCTTACTCTCCCCTCATTTTCCTCATGTAGATGTATCAAAATTTAAGGTTAAATCAATACTCAAAATATTCTTCTAATTGTGACTATGTGAATACTTTTACACTGAGCCAAATAGTATCCAATGATTACATTTCCTTTCTTATAAAATATCCCTTCCATATTCTCATTCTCAGTTAAAAATTAACTTTTTTTGTTTAGTTTTCTATGTAGTCATATCTAAATTTCTGAAGAACATTAACAATGGAAAACTCTTATTTATATAAAATTATTTTTCAGTGTAAAAGGAGAACGGGCTCCAGAAACCCATGTGGATACCAAAATCTATAGATGTTCAAGTCCCTTATATTGAATGCCATAGCATTAACAAATAACCTACATAAACCCTCTCATATACTTTAAATTTTCTCTAGATTACTTATAATACATAATATAATATAAACAATAGGTAAATAGTTGTTATATTATATTTTTATTTGTATTATTTTTTATTGCTATATTGCTATGTTCATTATTAGTTTCAACTATTTTGACCCATCATTGATTGAATGTGGATGTGAAACCCAGGGATATGGAAGGCTGACTGTCTCACCAAATTCTAGTTTAAGCGTGTTAGTTATATTAATTATGTCCTCTCAATAGCCTTTCAAGACAAACACACAGACACACAATATGTGTTATATAATAAGCAATTATTATTTAGTTTTTATTTTTATTTTATTTTATTTTATTTTATTTTATTTTATTTTATTTTATTTTTCAGATGGAGTCTCACTCTGTCGCCCAGGCTGGAGCGCAGTGGTGCAATCTCGACTCACTGCAAGCTCCATCTCCCGGTTCATGCCATTCTCCTGCCTCAGCCTCCCGAGTAGCTGGGACTACAGGCACCTGCCACCATGCCTGGCTAATTTTTTGTATTTTTTAGTAGATACAGTGTTTCACCGTGTTAGCCAAGATGGTCTCGATCTCCTGACCTCGTGAACCGCTGGCTTCGGCCTCCCAAAGTGCTGGGATTACAGGCGTGAGCCACCATGCCTGGCCTATTGTTTTTAACTTTAAAAAGTAATATGATGTTTTTATGTAATCTTTTTAAGCTTACTTGTGTTTTTGATATTATACTGCCAAGATTTATCCACATTGATGCATGCAGCTCTATTTCTCTCTTTGACTAATGTCTAATATTCCATTGTTTCAACAAACCACTACACTCCTCTTCATTGGCATTTATATTATTTCAGGAGTTATGCAATTATTAAGTAATCTTATGTTATGAATAGTATTGTACATGTCCTCTGGTGAATATATGTAAGTGTTTCTCTTCAGTCTAAAACAAGGAGTGAAAATACTCATATGGTATATGAGTATTCAATTTATAAGATAATAGCAAACATTTTTCCAAAGTGACCAAACTATTTAACAATCCTACCAGCAATATGTGTGACATACTTGATCCACATCTTCGGCAACGTTGATTATTAAGAGATATTCTTTTAGGTATATGTAAATATTATAGTCTTTTAATTTTTTATTATTTTTATATCTTGATGGCTTTTATAATGTCTTCTTTTAGTTCTAGAAAGTTACAGTTTTTTGGACATTTTTGTAGCGTGAGATTACTGACTTTTCTCTTTCTCCAATTTTCCTCTTTTCTCTTTTTTGGGTCTTAATATTCCATAATAAAACCTCTCTTCAAATATTTTATGAAACTTGGGTATTCGTTTATAGTTAAGAGTGATACACTAAAACCCAATCAAAAGCTTCATGTGCTTGGTCAAGATCTGTGTGTTTTGACAGGCTCCACCATAACACAATTGAGTACAAACCTGGCCATTTCACCAGAGACTTCCAATCATCAGTCTTTTTGGGGGTCCAGTTTCTTCAGATGGAATCTATATTTGCTTACCTGTTAAACTGTAAACCTGGTTTTCAGTGTTCTGGAAGCCAAAGAGGAAAAAGAGGACTTGGCATTTCACTAATCAGTACATTGGCTTTCATTAAATTGCCCTGTTTCAGAATAGCACCTCTAACCTCTCTTTTAATGTGTCTAGTCTGATGTTCCTGACTTCAGAGGCTCTGTGATTCTATTGCTGCAAGTGCGGGGAAGGAACCCTGAAAAGTAAGTTGCTCAATAGGCTACTTTTCAGCCACTCCTGTTTGACCTTCTGTTTCATCCCTGGCTTCTGAAGTAACTGATGCCTCCAGTTTTTTATGTTTTCTGGCATTCTGTATCCCAAATTAACTGTGTTTGTTTGGTATTTTCCTCTGCAAGCCTTTAGACCCCAGATTTCTCCAATCTCCTAAGTCATTACCATTCATCTGTCCACTGTATATCTTCTTCAATTATGCGGACACCTGTTACTGTAATATATTTGTATTACTGTTGTGGTTATATATGTATCCTCTTAAAAACTGGTATTTTTACCATTTTATTGGAGATTCTGGAGGCAGCAAATAATGAAGACCATCTTCAATGTTTAATCAGAAGATCCAGCTCAGTTAGTTCTTCAATTTATACTATATAAATCTTATTTTAGACCATGGCCAACACAGAATTCTGCATGTGATTCCTTGGTATCTGCTGCCAAGTGCACAATAGGTCAGATTATGAAGTAATTGATATGGTTAATTATGATGATAATCTAAATAAATGGTTTCACCTTGACATAATATATTTATCTCAAGATATCTGTATAAAAGCATTATTTTTTAGTACTAATCACAACTATTTTTACTACAGATACTCAAATCATTCCTTGTTGATTGAGCCTTCCTATGTAGGATTTTACTTTTATTTTCAGGTCAGATTTGACCAAAAAATAACTTTAAGGATGAGTATTAAGCATGCAGTCAGATTCTAATATTACCAAATAAAGTACATTGCAATCCTTTTTCAAGGCAATGTAAGGAAAGCAACAATTATAGGTAATTTTGGATATCTGACTCTCCAAACCTCATGTTATTGAAGGAGGGGGCTTAATGAGAGGTGTTTAGATCATGGGGGTGGTTCCCTCATGAATGTCTTGGTGCTGTTTTCATGGTAATGAGTTTCTCTATTAGTGCTTGCAAATGTTCTCTCAAGAGCTGGTTGTCAAAATAAGCTTAGCACCTTCCTTCTTTCTCTTGCCTTCTCCCTTTCCATGTGATCTCTACACATGCTAGCTCCACTTCGCCTTCTCTCATGAACAGAAGTAGCTGCAGGCCCTCACCAGAAACCAAGCAGTTGCTGGAACTATGTTTCTTGTACATCGTGAAGAAATGTGAGCCAAATAAACTTTTTTTATATAAATTATCTGACCTCAGGTATTCCTTTATAGTAACACTAAAAAAACTAAGACAATAGGCATTATTGACATTATAAAAATATATTGTACTTTCATTACAAGAATAATACATGCTTACTCTAATAAATAAAAAAACGAGGTGTATAACTAAAATATTTTTCCCATCTCACCTCTTTTCAGATAAGCAATGTGAATAGTTCTCAGCATTTTTTTGTGCTCACACAAAGATCTACAGTTTTGTGCACATGTAATATTTTTATGTTTGTTTTTACAAAAATGAGACCATATTATATGCATTATTTTACATAACCATGTGATATTGACATCTATGTCAATACATGTACAGCTTTATTTCTAATAACTGAAATATATGGACGCATTCTATTATATCTAACCACACAATCTATATTTCTTCATTGCTCATGTTTTGCCCTTAAAGCATAGAAACAGTGGCTTCTGCAAAGAGTCCTGTGCTTTAGAGGGCCTCACTTTAGCACTACTTCAGTTGCTTCACTCCCACAGAGTGAAGAATTGTAGGACCAAGGGGAAGTTCCCACTAAAATCCTGCAACTTCCTTTGAGATGACACTTTGTTCTTCAGGATCCCAGAATTTCCTTGGCAACTTTCCTAAGCTCTCTTCCAGGCCTCTCCAAATCTCTACCCCAAGATCTGTTTTCCCATCACATACACCACTATACCAAAGGATATTCAAGGGGCATCTGCTTGCAAAGGTTGTGATTGGACTGTAAGTGAACACATGTAATTGTCTACATGTGCGCACCAGGATTCTTTAGAGTGGAACAAAGTCGTATGTGGGAAGAAAATGGGAGTGTACCACAGGTCAGGGCACTGGGCAATAGTACTGGCTGCATTTCCATCTTCTGGTGTAGAATTCTGAGAAGTCAAAAATTTTAAATTTGTACCTGATGTTTCAGGTCATTTTAAAAGTATCCTTTTTAATGAAACTTAATAAAACATTTATTTAAATTTTTGTTAGTCATTTAAACAATACATGTGTTATTTAGGTATCCATTTTGTACTGTCTTGAGCTCCACAAATATTGGAGATATGCTTGCAAAATAAAGATATAGACTTGTGTTTTTCATATAACACTACTGTATTTTACACTATTTGTGGGAAAGGGATTTGTTTCGTACCACTTTTTATTTATTATGGAGGCTACCATAAAATCTTGAACATAGTTGATACTTAATACATGTCAGCTGAATGAATTTGTGAAGGAATTATCTTCTTTAGTACTTATTAGTTCAAACTTGTGGACATTCGGTATATGTTGTTGAGTTTAAAAATGAGTCTGTTTTTTACTATGGGAGGTTCTTTTTTTTTTTGCTTAAGTGTGTATACCTTAAGCAAAAAATAATATACCCAACTTCTCATTTGGATAATCAGGAAAACTAATTTTTAATTATGGGATACATTCCTTTCTTATAATTCATTTTAAAACTATATTTAATTGTAAATGCTAAATCAATCTTTTGCAAGAAGTACTTACACCTAAGGACGTACTTCCCTTGAGGTCATGCTTTCAAACTTGACTAAGAGCAATAAATCAAAGTATCTTCACAGATATACAGTGTGTTTCCATTCTATTGGATCAACTTGCCATCTCCAGCTTGTGATTTTACTAAAAATCGCCTATTTTTACAACCTTGACAGTTATAGACATGAATAAAAATACCACACTGCCCATTCTAGGCTATTTTGCATAACCCAACTGATTGGCAATGAAATAAAGAAAACCCAACAAATAATTTAAAATATGATTGGATCTTTGTTTTTATATTTATTTAAGTGTAAACTAAACTTTAAAAAGTTTAAAATAATTTATTTTTAAATACTTCATTTTAATTTTCATGAGAATATTGACCCTAGCAATGGAAAAAGTATATATCAAGTTGCCATATTTTACAATTGTGTTTTTAACTAATGCCTGTGACAGCATCCATTGGTTTTTCAGTCCACCTCTTCTAATAAAATCAAAAAAGGAAACAAGAGTCAAAGCCACATAAAAGAATACAAACATAAATACAAGAAATTTTTCTATTACATGATAAAAGAAAGGTTCAGGTAGTATCTGTCGCCTCTTGCTATTTATCACCTCCCTCTATAAGTCCTGTTCACCTCTTATCATGTTTTCTCTACTATGCAATTTCTTTCCAAGAGAAGAGAAAGCTACTCCTTAAGAGCTTGGAAGTGTTTATTGCTATTATTGTGAGAGTAAGAAAGTGATTAAGCCCCCACTACTTGTATACAAAGGTTGTGCTACATCTCATAGACCATTATGTCAAAAATTTCAAGAAGACCCCTATTGACTTCTTTACTACCTTTTACGTCTAACTTACCGTACTCATTGTCATTTGGCAAAATATCCCATATGGAAATGTAAACAGTAGATTAATTTGATGTTGGAATTATCTGACAAATTTTTCAAGCAGCCATCATATAAATACTTAAACAAACAATTAAAAACCCATAGGAAAAAATAGAAAATACTAGCACAGAAATAAAAGTTGTAAGACAGAACAAAAAGAAAATTATACAACTTGAAATATAATAACCAAACCAAAACAAAACAGAAACCTCAAAGTATGGTCACAATGGTAGAGCGGAGGTAGTAGAAGATAGAACTGATGAGCTTGAATAGAGATTAATTGAATTTATCCAATTTGAACAATAGAAAGAAAATAAACTGAAGAAATGATTAACAGAGTCTTCAGGATCTGTAGGTCAATAACAAAAAGAGCTAATATTCTTAGCATTGAAGTACCTAAAGCAAAGAAAAGAGAAAACATATCTAAAAAAAAATTTGAAAGAATAATAACAGAAAAGGTCCTAAATTTGGCAAAATATATAAATCTACAGATTCAAGAAGCTACGTGAACCTAAATAGGATAAAGTTAAAGAAATTTATGACAAGATACATCATATTTGAACTTCCGAAATCTAAAGACAAAGAACAAAATTAAAAGTAACCAGAGAGAAATAACACATCACTTACAGGGAAACACTAATTCAAATGGCAATGTATTTTTCATTAGAAACCATGAAGACATGAAGGAAGTGGCACACTGGTTTACAAGAACTGAAAGAAAAGAACTGTCAACTATAAACTCTATATCAAGCAAAAATTATCCTTAAGGAAGAAAGAGTTTGAAATAAAGACATTCTCAGATAAAGACAAACTAAGAGAATTTGTTGCCGGCAAACCTATCCTTAAAGAATGATAAAAGAAAGTATCTAAACTGAAAAGGTATGATAACAGGAAAAGTCCAGGAATTTCAGAAACAAAAAGAATATTGGACTAGGTGAAAATATGAGTAAATATAGTAAATATAATAAACTATTCTCCACACAATTTTTAAAAATCATAGTTAATAATTAAAACAGAAATTATAATGCCTTCTGATATGGTACTGAATCTAATTAGAGAAAATATTGAAGACAATTTAATTTTTAGAATGTGTAGGGCCAAGGTTAGATTTTAAAATGTGTAGGGCCAAGGTATGTGCATTTTTTGTTGTTATTAAAATGTTAGTACTGGCAGATTGTGGTGCATTATGTGTGTATAAACTAAAGCACTATAAATAAATCAAAGTGAAATCAGAAGAAAATGTTTATACAATCCCCAAGAAGGCAAGAAAACAAAAGCAGAGGGAAAAAAATAAGGGAAACACAAAAATCAAACTATAAAATGGCAGTTTTGAGCCCTAATATATCAATAATCACATTATGTCTAAATGGTTTAAATGCACCAGTTAAGAGAAAGAAATTAGTGGAGTGGAAAAATAAAAACAACTCTTCATAAAAAATTCACTTTAAACACTACGATATAAATAAGGTTAAAGTAAATTGATTAAGAAATATATATCATGATGCAAACATTAATTTAAAATGGTAGTGGGTATATGTATTCGTTTTTGCTGCTACAACAGAATACCTGGCTGGAGTAATTTATAAGAAATAGAAATTTGTTGGTTCACAATTCTAAAGTCTGGGAAGCTCAATATTAAGGTGCTGGCATATAGTGAGGGTCTTCTTAATGCATCACTACATGACAGAAGAACAGGACAAAGAGAGGGTGAGAGAGCAAGAGGGGGCTGAATTCAGTCTTTTGTAATAGCATTACTCCTAACAATGATGGAAGACCCCTCATGGCCTACTCACCTCTTAGAGGTCTCACCTCTTAATACTTTTACAATGGCAATCAAATTTTACCATGAGTTTTGGAGATGACATACAATCAAACCTTAGCATTTTAACCCTGTCTCCACAATACTCATGTAATTCTCACATACAAAATGCATTAACTCCATCTCAATATCCCTGAAAATCTTAACTCATTCCAGCATCAACTCAAAAGTCCAGAGTACATAGTCTCATCTAAATCACATGTGCGTGAAACTCAAGACACAGTTCATCCTGAGGGAAATTCCCCTCACCTTTAGCTGTGAGCCTGTGAAATCAAAATAAGTTACATGCTTCCAAAATACAACGGTGGGTCAGGCATATAGGATAGGCATTCCCATTGTTAAAGGAAGCAACAGGAAAAAAGAAAGGGAAAACAAGTCCCAAGTAAGTTTAAAAAAAATACAAAATAAAACAGGGTTAATTACATTAAGTCTTAAGGCTCCAGAATTATCTCATTTGACTCCATGTCCCTCCTTTGTGCACACTGGTGCATAGGTGCAGCATACAAGGCCTCAGGCAGTCCTGCCCCGTGGCTTTGCTAGGCTCAGCATACACAGCAGCTCTCACATATTAGTCTCTTGCCTACAGCTTTCCAAGCTTGGCATTGTATGCTGGTGGCTCTACAGTTCTAGAGTCCTGGGGGCTCTTCTTTCACAGCTCCACTAGGCATTGCCCTACTGGGAACTCTGTGGTAGCACTACCTCAGAGAGAGGACTGGTTGAAACCCAGGCTGTTCACAACATTGTTTGAAGTTTAGATGGAGGAAGCCATGCCTCCACAGCTCTTGCACTCTGCACACCAACAGAATGAGTACCATAAGGACATCACCAAAGCTCATGACTTGCACCCTCCAGCGCTCTGAGTCAAGTCACACCTGGACTCACTTGAGCCATGGCTGGGGTGGCTGAGGAGCTCTTTGCAGAATGTAGGGGGAGGAGACCCTGGGTATCCTGGGCAGTGGGCCCTGATGTCCCATAGGCATCGCAAACCCATCAACTAAAACCATTTTGCTTTAGCATATCAGGCTTGTGAAGGGAGGAACAGCCTCAAAGATGTCTGAAATACTTTTGGGATCATTCTCCCACTGTCTTGATAAATAGCACCTGGCTTCTTTTTATCTATACTAATCTCCTTATCAAATAGCTGGTTGGTCATAGCCTTGGATTTCTCTCTCATTTTTTAAATAGCCAGGCTGAGTGTTTTGCAAATCTTTACAATCCGCCTCCCACTTAATTACAAATTTTGCCTTTAAATAACTTATCTCCTCTTGCATTTTACTATAATCAGCTAAGAAAGCCATGCAGTAGTCTGAATGCTTTTTTGTTTATAGGTTTCTTCTGCCTAATATTCTAGTTTATTACTTTTAAGTCCTGCCTCCCACAAAATCCTGGGTACATACAAAATTCAGCCAAGCTCTTTGCCACTTTATAACATGGGTATACCTTCCTCCAGTTTTCAATACCTTATTTCTCATATTTGCCTGATACCTCAGCAGAATGGCCTTCATTGTCCATATTCCTACCAGCATTCTTTTCCCAATCACTTAAGTAATCTATAAGATTCAGACTTTTCCTATAGCTATTCTCTTTTTCTGAGACTTCACCCAAACACCTTTAATACCTAGTTCATGTGAATATAGGCTACTAACAAAATCATTTACTTCAAAATGTTACAGGTAGCTAGACAGGCATGAGCGGGGCAGGAAAGGGTTCCCCCCACAACCCCCAGGAATGTCAGGTGATGGAGTGATAGTTCAACAATTATCATGCTGCCTCTGTAAAATGATAATTTGGCAGCTGGCACCAGGGAGAGACAACCTCCTAATGTTCCACGGCTGCCACCGTAAAGCGTTAATTTAACGTAGGCAGCAGGGAGAAGCAACTTCCTGGCATGGGCATTAAGAGACAAAATGGGAGTGTATGACCTTCTGGGGGCACTCCACCAGAAAAGGAAAGAAACAAACAAATTAGCAAAAAAATAATAACAATAATCCTATCAAAAAGTGGGCAAATGATATGAATAGACAATTCTCCAAAGAAAATATACAAAGTCAACAAACATATGAAAAATGTTCAATATAACTAATTATCAAGGAAATACAAATAAAAACCATAACGAGATACCACCTTACTCCTACAAGAATGGCCATAATTAAAAAATCAAAAAATAACAGATGTTGGCATGGATGTGGTGAAGAGAAAGGAACACTTTTACATTGCTGATGGGAATGTAAACTAGTACAACCACTATGGAAAATGGTATAGAGATTCCTTAAAGAACTAAAAGTAAAACTACTGTTTGATCCAGCAATCCCACTACTGGGTGTCTACCCAGAGAAAATGAAGCCATTATATGGAAAAGACACGTGTGCATGCATGTTCACAGCAGCACAATTTGCAATTCCAAAAATATGAAACCAGCCTAAATGCCCACCAACCAATGAGTGGATAAAGAAAACGTATATACACACACACACACACACATACATATATGTATACACACACACACACCATGGATACTACTCAGCCATAAAAAGGAATGAAATAATGGCATTTGCGGCAACCTGGATGGAGTTGGAGGCCATTATTCTAAGAGAAGTAACTCGGGAATGGAAAACCAAACATCGTATGTTCTCACTTATAAGCAGAAGCTAAGCTATGAGCATGCAAAGGGATAATAATGATATAATAGACTTTGGGGACTTGGGGAAAAGGGTGGGAGGAAGGTGAGGGACAAAACACTACACATTGGCTACAGCATACGCTGCTCAGATGATGAGTGCATCAAAATCTCAGACATCACCACTGAAGAACTTTTCCATGCAACCAAATACCACCTGTTCTTTCAAAACAATTGAAATAAAAATAAATAAATAAACAATAAAAAGAAAACAGACTTGGAGTATACAGATGTCAACCGTTTAGAGAAAAAAGGTAGGCTTGTTCACCATCCAGTAGCGTATAGGTAATATCTCCCTTCCCAACAAAATTCAAGACGGCTTGCTTAAAAGCCATCATAAAATAAATATTCTGGTTTGGCCTGGAGCGGTGGCTCACGTCTGCAATCCCAGCACTTTGGGAGGCCAAGGTGGTTGAATCACAAGGTCAGGAGACTGAGACCATCCTGGATAACATGGTGAAACCCCGTCTCTACTAAAATACAAAAATTTGCTGGGCATGGTGGCGCGTGCCTGTAATCCCAGCTACTCGGGAGGCTGAGGCAGGAGAATCGCTGGAACCCAGGAGGCGGAGGTTGCAGTGATCCAAGATCGCGCCGCTGCACTCAAGCCTGGTGACAGCAAGACTCCGTCTCAAAAATATAAAAAGTAAATTTTATATTTATGTATATGTGTATATATATATATATATATATATATATATATAAAGTTCTTTAAACTCCAGGTTTCTCAGCTGTGATACAAGCTTACAATGTGTGCAGCATCCAAGTAGGTATCTCTGCATCACCTCCATGGCTGAGGGAAACCTATCTGAATATTAAGTTTATAATATTTGCTATGCCATAAATAATACTTTTTTTTCTCTCTGACCCAGGAGTCTCATGTCTTCTGCCAGCATCCGTGAAACTGTGGAAGGCTAGCTCATTAACTTTAGAGTAAAATTTCAGACTCTTGACAGTTCATGACAGTAGTTTTATCTCATTCTTTTTCATGGCTGCATACTTTTACATATACAAGTTATTTAATCAACCTCTTGTTCTTAGAAAATTAGGATGTTTAGAATATTTTGCTACTGCAAAAATTCTCCAATAAGTATCCATATCCATACATCTTTGTGCATATATGAGAGTGTTTTTGTAGGACAGAGATTTTTTTTGTAATAGAAATGCTTCTTATTAGATACACTCATTTATGTGCCAAAAAAGGTGTAATCATTTACACGTCTGTCAATGTTATGAGAATAACCCTTGCCTATAGTTGAAAAATATTATCTTGTTTTAATAATAATCTCTAGATTACTAGTGACACTGATTACCTTGTCGTACTTATTGACCGTATTTCTTCTGCAAATGTTTTTTTTTTTTCTTGTATATGATGCATTTTCTTTCAGGTAATTTATTTCTATTGAATTATAAAAACTATATATATATGAACTCTATATATATATGAGCTATATATAATATATATATATGAACTCTGTTTCTCTTTGTTGTATATTATGAAAATATACTTGCCAGTTATATCACTTGCCATTGCGGTATGCTAACAGGGTTTAAGTCAGATAGAAATTTAAAAATTTTATAGTCAAATTAGTCAACCTTTTTTATAGCTTATAGATTTTCTGTCTTACTTATGAATGACTTTGATATTCTAAGATTTTTCTCCTGTATGCCATTCAAATTTATTCTATTAATGCTAAATTATTTTTTGTTTGTTTTATGAAACCCATCATTTATTGCAGCAACACACAACCACGTATCATCTGTGAAAACTTCCATGTGAGGATTTAATTTTGTGATTATTATACATCGAAATTATTTCTTTTTTCAACTTTTAAGTTCAGGGGTACAAGTGCAGGTTTGTTACATAGGTAAACTTGTGTCATGGGAGTTTGTTGTACAGATTATTTTACCACCTAACCTCCTGCCCATTAGTTTTTTTTTTTTATCCTCTCTCTCCTTCCACTCTCCATCCGCCAATAGGCCCCAATGTGTGCTGTTAAGGCAGTTCTGAGAGGGAAACTCAGTTCTAAATTCTCACATTAGAAAATAGGAAAAGTTCCCAATGAATAATCAAAGTTTCTACATCAAGAAACAAGAAAAAGCAGAGTAAAATAAATTCAAAGCAAGAAAAAGAATAAAATAATAAAGATAAGAGAAGTAACCAATAAAATTAATATAGAAAAATAATTTTTACAATCAAGAACATAAGTAACTGGTTCTTCAAAAATGTAATAAATTTGATAAACATCTAACAAGCCTGGCAAAGACAAAAAAGGCACAAATTATCAATATCAATAGTGCAGTTACGCAAGATAAATAAGTCTAGAGAGCTAATGTAAAGCATGAAAACCATAGTTAATAATACTATATACTTAAAATTTGCTAAAAGAACACATTTTCGGAGTTCTTATCACATATCCACACAAAGGTAACTATGTGAGTTGATAGATATGTTAATTTAACTGACAGTTGTAATCACTGCATTACTTATATGTATATCAGAACATTATATTTTGGATGCAGCTGAAAACCATTATCCTGAGTGAATTAATGCAGAAAGAGAAAACCAAATACTACATGTTTTCACTTATAAGTGGGGGCTAAACATTGGGTACATGTGGTCATAAAAATGGAAGTAATTGACACAGGGGAATACAAGAATGGGAGGGAGGGAGGCAATAAGGACTGAAAAATACTACCTATTGGGTATTATGCTCACTATCAAGGTTACAGATTTATTTGTACTTCAAACTTCAGCATCATAAAATATACCTATGTAATAAACCTGCACACGTACCTCTGATTCTAAAATAAAAGTTGAAAAAAAAACAAAAAGCTCATTATATGAAAGAAAAATTATCTTGTAAAACACAAATAGATATAATAACAAAAAATTAGATAGAGAATATCATTAAAATCTTGTGTCATTAAGATAAAAATAAAGGGATACTTATACGTATTCATAATTTTAAACAAGTAATATAGCAATTTAGAAAGAACCAATTGCTTAAAACACACAAAGCACCAAATATCAAGCAAAAAAGAAAAATAGACAATCTGAATAGCTCTATAACCACTATAAAAATTAGATTCATAATTTATAACCACCCCTAAAGAAAGTCCCTGAACACAGATGATTTCAGTGAAAACTTCTACAAAAATTTAGAAAATTTAACATCAACTTTATATAATTAATTCAAGAAAATAAAAGAGGAAATAGCACTCCCTAATACATTTTATGAGACCGTGATTAGATTGTTACTAAAACTAGACAAAGAGAGTAACTAAAAAGATAATCTACAGGCCAACATTTCTGCTGAACATAAATGAAAAAGTCCTTAACACAATATTTGGAAATTTAATCCACCAATGTACAAAAAGAATCATGCAGCCTCATCAAGTCAGATTTATTACAGATATGCAAGTCCTGTTTGATATTCAAAATTCAATCAATCCTTTATATCAAAAGGTTAAAGAAGAAAGACTATATATTCTGTCAATTAAGATATGTATTTCCCCAAAAAGGAAATGCAGATGGCAAATAAGCACATGCAAAAATGCATTTGGCAAACCTAACACCTACTTCTGATAGTATCTCAGCAAACTGTGAGTGGAGTGGAGCTCCCTCAATTTGCTAAAGATTATCTGTAAAAGAAAAACACCCTACATCTAACACAATTAATAGTAAAAAACAGGATTTTTTTCTTAAGATTAGGAGCAATGTGAGGATGTCTTTCTTACCATTCTTATTTGGTAGAATAGTGGAAGTTTACCCACTGCAATATGATATGAAAAAAAAGTAAACATACACATTGAAAAGGATCAAACAAAACTATCCTGTTTGCAGATAACATAATTTTCTACATAAAAAAATGAACACACAAAAACCTCCTATAATTAATAAGTGAATATAGCTAGATTACAGGATACATGATCAACACACACATTTTTATTATTTATTTTAATTTTAAAAAACTAATGTTTAAGCTTTTATTTTACATTCAGGGGTACATGTACAGGTTTGCTATATAGGTAAATTGTGTGTCATGGGGGTTTGATGTACAGATTATTCCATCACCCAGGTAGAACACATAGTACCTGATAGGTAGTTTTTCAGTCTTCACCCTCCTTTCTCCCTCCACCCTCAAGGAGGCCCACTGTCTGTTGTTCTCTTACTTGTGACTATATGTACTCAATGTTTAGCTCCTACTTGTAAGTGAGAATATATGGTATTTGGTTTCCTGTTTCTGCATTGGTTCCCTTAGGATAATGACCTCTAACTCCATTCATGTTGCTGCAAAGGACATGATCTCATTCATCTTTATCGCTGTGTAGTATTCCATGGTGTGTATGTATCACATTTTCTTTAGCCAGTCTACTGTTGAGGTGCATTTATGTTGATTCTGATAGGGACAAGAGACAGAGAAATTCCTGGCAGAAGAGGGCAGGTCCCCAGTGAAAGCCTCACTCTCAAACCAAAAAGCCTGGAACCATGGCCCAAAGTGAGAACTGACATCCCTGTTTTCCCGCTCAAATGTTGCCTTTTCCAAAACCACCAATAGCCTGCCCTGCCCCCATCCTGTGTCCATAAAAAACCCAGGTTCAGCCGACAGAGAGTAGAAGCAGCTGGATATCAGAGACTATGGTCAGAGAGAAGCCACTTGACTTCAGAGGAACAGCTTGATGGCATAGCTTCAGAGAGGTGTCCGGCCAGGGACAGCCAGACTCTGGGAAAATATTACATTCACACTCCATCCCCTTTTCAGCTCCCCTTCCTGCTGAAAGCCACTTTCATCAGTAATAAAATCCTCTGCATTCACCACCCTTCAATTCATTTGTGTGACATGATTTTTCCGGGATGCCAAACAAGAGCTTGGGTACCATGGGTGTGGATGCAAGAGGCTGTCATAATGACCCTCTGCCCTCACTGGCAGAAAGCAGCTGCCACATGTAAAAAGGCAGAAGGCCCACTGAGCTGTTAACACTTAAGCCGTCTGTGGACAGTAGAGCTAAAAGATCCCTGTAACACACGCCTTCTGGGACTTCAGGGGTTGTGGGCACTCCCCGAGATGCTGCTGCGGGCCTGGTATGGAGTTCATTCCTGCTGGCACCCAAAAGCACTAGCCCCAGGTCCTGCACCCATTCACCTGCATGCTCCTTCCTGCTACAGATTGAGAACAGAGGGTTTAAGTAAATGGAGTTTGCCCTTGCTGGTGCCAAAGTGGCTGGGTAGCTCCAGTGCCCACACTCAAGTTCCCCCCTGCACAGGAGTCAGGGGAAATTTCCTGCTTCAATTCCATTTGTCTTTGCTATTGAACATACACATTTTTAAAAACTTGCATTTCTATATATCAATGAACTTCTGGAAACTAAAATTTTAAAATACAATACCATTTATAATCACTACAAACAAAGAAAATTGTTAGGTATAAAACTAGCAAAACCTGTATAGGATCTGTGTGCTGAAAATTATAAAATGATAATGAAGAAAATCAAAAAAAGGTTAAGTAAATGAAGACATTCTACTTTTGTATATAGGATGATTCAACATAGTAAAGATCCCTACTGTCCACAAATTGATCTATAGATTTAAGATAAGTTCTTTCAAAATTCCAGCAAGTTTTTTTGTACCTAGCAACCAGCTTATTTACAATTTATAAGGAAAACACGGGATGTGGAATTACTAAAAAAGCACATATTAAAATTTACTAAATAGATAGTGTAATCAAGACAGTATGATATTTGTGTAGAGATAGAGACATAGATCAAAAGAACAATATTGGGAACCTAGAAATTGACCTACATAAATAAGGTCAATGAATTTTTTACAAAAAAGCAAAAGTAATTTAATGAAGGAAAGATAGCCTTTTGAATGAAAAGTGCTGAAGCAATTGGAAATCCATAGGCAAAAAGCAAACTTTAACCTAAATCTCAGATCTAATATAAAAATTTACTTAAGTGAATAATAGACAAATGTAAAATAGAAGACTATAAAACTTTCAGAAACAAGACATTGTAAACATTCTTTGGAACTAGAGCTATGAGAAAAGTTCTTAGATTTGACACCAAAAGCATGATCCATAGGAGGAAAAAATGGTAAATTCAAGCTAATCGAAATGAAAAACTTGCTCTGTAAAGAACTTGTGAGGAGGTTCAAAATATAAACTAGAAACTGGGAGAAAATATTTGCACACTACGTAGCGAACCAAAGAGTAGTATATAGAATATAGAAAAGACTCTCCAAACTCAAGAATAAGAAAGAAATCCAGTTAGAAAGTGGGCATAAGACACAATTTCACTAAAGAGGATATACAGACGTCAAATAAGCACATAGGAAGATGTTCAACACTGTTACCTGTATTATTAATGGTTAGGGTTCTTTAGAGAAACAGGGCAAATTAGGGATGTGTGTGTGTGTGTGTGTGTGTGTGTGTGTGTAGAGAGAGAGAGAGGGACACAGAGAGAAAAGGGAGAAGAAGGGACAAGGAAGTGAGAGAGAGGGAGTTTTAAGCCTCATGATTATGGAGTTTGGCAAGTCCAAAGTCCAAAATTGGCAGAGTGGGCACTCAGGCTGGAAACCCAGGGAAAAGACAATGCTGCAGTTTTATTTTAAAAGCCATCTGCTGGAATAATTCCTTCTTGTTTGGAGGAGGTCAGTCTTTGTTCTATTAAGGCCTTCAACTGATTGGATGAGACCTTCCCACATTATGGAAGTAAATCTGTACTATTAAAAGTCCACTGATTTAAATGTTAATTTTATCGAAAAGAAAAAAATAAAACACTCTCACAGAAACATCCAGAATAGTGTTTGACTATATATCTTGGAACAGTGGCCCAGTCATTCTAACACATAAAATTAACCATGACATTGAAATGTAAATTAATACTACAATGTCATATCAGTGCATACATATCAGAATGGCTTAAAAAAACACACACAAAATGTTGGCCAGGATTTACAGAAATTAGATCACTTTTACATTGCTGATGGCAAGATAAAATGTTACTGCTACCCTAGAACACAATTCAGCATTTCCTAATAATATTAAATATATAGTTACCAAATTCCCCAGCAATTGCACTCCTGGGTATTAATCCCAGATAAATGAGAACTTTGTTCGCGCAAAAATTCGTACTCAAATGTCAGAGCAATTTCATCCATAATAAACCAAAAAAATGGAAACAACCAGATATCCTTCAACAAGTGTGTTATTAAACAAATTTAAGTATATACATACCATGGAGTACTATTCAGCAACAACAAAAAAATGAACTATTGATGAATGCATAAGCTTTGGTGAATACCCGGAATTATTCTGAGTGAAAAAATGCCAAATCCAAAAACATTGTATACTCTATCATTTCAGTTGTATAATGTTTTTGAAAAGACAATGTTTTAGAAATGAGAAACAGATTAGTGGTTTCCAGGGATTAGAAATGAGAGTGGGCTGATGCAGGAAGGAGGTGCATGTGGTTATAGATGGGTAGTATGAGAAACCCCTATGGTGATGGAACTCTCTGGAACTTGACTGTGGTGGCAAACCAGTTTACCCATGTAATAAAATTTATATTGAACTAAACACCTTCCTCTCTCCCACACAAGCACACACACAAATAAAAATGAAACTAAGAAAATCTGTATAATATTGGTAGATTGTATAAATGTCAATATCCTGGATATGCCATAATTTTTAAGACTTTACTATTGAGTGAAATGGTAAAAAGTACATAGAATCCCTCTGTGTTAATTCTTATCACATGTGAATATATGATAACTTTAAAATAAAAATTTTAATCAAAAATAAGCAAGGTCTTAGAAATACCATACACAGCCAGGTGTATTGCACGGCATTTGGATTAAATCTCAATAAAGCTGTTTTTTAAAGCATAGAGATCTAGAAAAAATAAAGCACTCAAAAATCTATTTCAACTATCCAATATAGAAATGAAAAAGCTAAAGAAAGGGGAAATTGTGTTAGTGAGCATTGAATCCTACCAAAAAACAGTTGTGTCTTAGATCATATTAAGAGTTATGACAAGACAAATCAAATGCCAAAAAATAGTTCTGATTTTAAACAGAAAGAATATAGACTTCAGAAAGCATGACTATAGTCAATAATATTTAATTGTACATTTTAAAATAACTAGAAGAGTATTATTGGATTGTGTGTAACACAAAGGATTAAATACTTGAGGAGATGAATACCCCATTTTACATGATGTGATTATAATACATTGCATGCCTGTATCAAAACACCTCATGTACCCCATAAATATATATACCTACTAATATATCCACAAAAAATAAAATAAATTTTAAAAGAATATGAAGAATAATTTAATGCAAATATTATTATACAAATTTCCAGTGATACCAACGAGGAAACAAAGAAATTGTAAGAGACCAAGTGAACAAAATGGTTCCATGCTAATGTCTCGTTTTCATATACATAAGTTAAACAGCCTGTAATTCCAGATAACTAGAAAGTATGTGTTCATATTTCAAATAAAAGGATGTGTATTGCCCAAATCACAAATAAGACATGTAAAAGCAATAAAGAAACCACTGTTCTTATATCAAAAAATAGAAAACAGAGGTAAAAATAAAAATGTGTAAAACAAAATTACACAACTAAAGCTCTCCAGCATAGAAATTGTAAAAATAAATGCAAGTGGGTCGAACTGGCCTACTGGAAGACAGAGTCTCAAATTTAATAAAACACAATATTCAATTATAGATCTTTATAAGATATGCAGCTACAAAAATATGCCTTAGGAAACAAAAATGTATATGGCCCAAGTTGTATTAGGAAAATGCAAATAAAATAACCAACAGGTCATAATACTTTTTAAACATAATAGTATTTAAGCCAAAATACAATAAACAGTTGAAAGAAGCACATGTAATCATAATGAACAATGGCCTTGAAATTTCATGCACCAATGTGCAATTTGGCATTGACGTATATAATCTTACGGAAAACAAACAAACACAAAGGCTGAAAACACTTCCATTGATTATAAACAGGAGAAAATTTTAAAGGACACACCATGTAACCATAATGTAAAAAATTAAGAAATTAGCATCAATCACAAGTAAATAACCAAACATTTCCAAACACTTTCCAAGATAGCTTGAGCTGTGTATGGGGGTCTGTGTGTATGTGTGTGCAAAGAATGTATAAACCCTAAGCTTTTACTGTAGAATATATATAAGGATGGGCTTACACAAAGTTTTAGTTTTCTTCCTCGTGAATCTGAAATGTAAAATTTTAATATCAGCTTGTATTAACTTTATTTTTTGTTAATTTTTGCATTATTAATTCATCCTATTTTTAATATAGCCTCTTAAATTATAGATGTCATTTTTAGTGTATTATATTTTAATTTTTTAATTAGTTTTTTTGATAGGGATAGCACGTAATATAACGTATTGCTATGGTCTGCATGTTTATGTCTTCCTCAAAATTATGGGTTGAAATTTTCACCCACAAGGTGATGGTATTAAGAGGATCATTTGGAGGTGATCAGATCATGGTGGCAGAACCTTCATGATAGGAAATAGTGTCTTTCTAAAAGTAGCCCGAGAAAAAACTCTCCTGCTTTCTACCATGTGAAGTTAGATTAAGCAGAAGGCTGTTTATGAGGAAGCAGGCCCTTATTAGTCACTGATTCTGCTAACACCTTGAACTTCTCAGCTTACAGAACTGTAAGAAATATATTTCTGTTATTTATAAGCCACCCAGTATATGGTATTTTATTATAGCAGCTCAAACAGACTAAGATACATGCCAAGCAATTCAGAGTTGTAAGAAAAATGTAGTAATTTGCTCCTATTCTCCCATAATAATAATAATAATCTGGTCCTACCTTTCCAAGGCAACCTATGTAAACATTTGACAGCTATTCTTGTATATTTTCTGTATGATCATTTAATTATATATGAAAATTCGTAGGTGTCTATAGTTTTTAATAATAAAAGAGAATCGTATGCATTGTATGCATAGTTCTGCAACTAAGTTTTCTTACTCCATATACAATAGACATATTTCCATGTAAACAAATATTATCCTAGTTATTTTAATACTAACAAACTCCATAAAGGACATGATTTATGACAACATTCCTAATGATTTCCCTATGGAGACACACAGATTATTTTCAGGTTTTTCCAATACAATAAGTATAATTGAACATATGCCCATGGTACAGGTACTTTTATTTTTATTATAAAATATATTTATTAGATTTTGACTACTGCATAACAAATTACCACGAACTTAGAAGCTTAAAACAACATTTGTTTGTTAATTCACAACTCTACAAGTAAGAAGTCCAGCATGCTGTTGCTTGGTTATCTGCACAAGACCCTTCAAAACTAAAGTCCATGTTGGGTTCTTTTCTGGAGGCTAGAATATGGAAGTATCTGCTTCAATGTTAGTTTATGTTGTTTGGAGAATCCAGTTTCTTGCAGATTTAAAACTGAGATTCCTATTTTCTTACTGGAGAAGAGGGCATCCCTTTTCTCCTAGAGGTCATTCATATTCCTCATCATGTGGCTCCCACTATCTTCAAATTGAGAATGTCGATTCCCTATTATGCTTTAAAACGCTGAGTTCCTCTGTCTCTGCCCAGATTTAAAAGGCTCATTCTATTTGGGCTGGTCCGCCCAGAATACTTCCCTTCTGACTGACTAAAGGTCATTTCAATGGTAATTTTAATCACATTTGGAAAATGCTTTTTGCCATATGTGTAACACAATCTTGGAAGTGATATCTCATCATATCCATAGGTTCTAGAAACAAACAATAGGAGGAGACTATACAGAGTAAAGCTCATGGGTGACAAGTTTAGAATTCTATCTACTACATAAAGATTCCCAAACATGCAATTGCTGAGTCTGTTTTAAACATTTATCATTTGGGCTCTATTTTCAATACTTTCTCATTTTCTCAGAATCAGAATATACTGGAGATGAGATGTGGAGTACTTTTTTTTTTTTACTAAATTCTATGCCGCTTTTGCGGAATGATAATTTATAGCAAGAAAATTCCAAGTGATGCCTATATTTCTATTATAAATGTTTAAAGAACATCAAAGACTCAGATATCAGAGTACATTCAAATCTAAGCTCCACCACTTACTAGCTTTGAGATCATAGTAGAAATGTTATTAAATCTCTCCAACAAAATAAATTGTCATAACGTTGTTTAAAGATGAAATGTGATGATGTGTTAAAGACCTTAAAACAGTTCATGGTATTTAGTAACTGCTCAATATACGTGAGTTCTTTCATTCTTCCTCTCGTTGTCCTTGTACAGTCAAGGGAAGGAAATTAAATTCAGCAAATGGTACTCACACTTCAGGAACCATGAATCCTTGGCAATTGATACAAGCACAGAAGAAATTGTTGCATTTAAAAAATATTCTCAGCAGTGGTCCCCTGATCTGTCACTACTTTAGGCTGTGTTAAGTTTATTGCTTATCAGTAATGTAGGAACTATATTGTTTCCTATTTTCAAACCTAGTTTGAAAGTCTTTCCATATTTTCTGTGTATTCCCAATACTTTTTCAATAAATTCTCATCTTTTAAAATTAGACAAGTTTTGCGTGGCTTGCAATGCTTCGTAGGTATATTTTAAAATTTGATAATTAACAATGTCTCTATGACATTGAGTTCTCTTACTCCTGAATATCGTACCTATTACATACTGAAAGAATTATGGTTACCAAATAGAAAGTATACTTCATAAATTAAAGCTAATATAACAAAAAACAGGAGATGGGGAAGAAATGTGAAGCATGCTACTTATCTTACTTTTATCACATGGCTTTACAAAATAGACTCAGCAATTCATAAGCACCAGTAATGCATGAAACTTCTTATTTTTCTCAATGCTCCTCAGCATCAGGTATTGCAATCTTTAAACTTAAATTAACCAAACACAACTTGTTCCCCAGAAGCCTACTGAAATAAAAAACAAACAAATATATTTTAACCATCTAAATAAAAATAATACCTCATAATTAGAATTTCCCCTACAACCAGAGTCACTGATAATTTTTCACATGGATTATACGCATTTTCCCATTTTCTTTCTATTTTCTATTGTTTTCATCATCTTTCTCTCACCAGTCTGTAGGATTTCTTTAAAAATATCAACACTCTTTCAGTCATACGTATTGCTAATACTTTTCTTTAACCCATTTTTTTTAACATTTTTTGTGGTGCCATATGTGACATCATTTTTATTGACAATAAACATTACAAAAAATTCAAAGAATAACAAGTAATTTGACAAATATATAAACAAGTTACCATATATACCATCATCCAGAAACAATAGTAATATGTGGTGAATATTATTCAATACTTACATCTCTCCACACAAATTCAGAATGGCAAAAAGATAGATACATGTATAGAGTTTAATGAAAATGAGCTTCTATCATACCTGATGTTTTTGAACAAAAACATTAAGATACATTCACTTGATTAAAAACAGAAACAATAAATAAAATGAAAACAATTTTTAAAATACAACTGTTTCTGCAGTGCATAAATTATTCATTATTAAAATATAAAAGTTTAAAGAAACCGTTAAGATAGGGATGCCATTTAAAGACTTATACTATAATTTTACCAATGGATTACTTTCTAATATGAAAAATAAGATAATTGGGATGCTTCACATTCCTTTCCCATCTAACAATTTTTGTTATATTAGCTGTAATTTATGAAATATATTTTCTGTTTTGTAACCAGAATTATTCCAGTACATAATAGGTACTATTTTCAGGAGTAAGAAAACTCAATGTCATAAGGAAATTATTTCTCCCAAATTAATACATGGTTCAAATGCAATTTCAGTCAAAATTCTAATGAGATTGATTTTTTATCTTGACAAACTGTAAAAGCTATGTGGCAGCTTAATACGGAAAAAAGTAAGGTGTGATTTCCTACTAGACATCAAGTTATAATAATTAAAGACAGTATAGCAATGAAGTATCACTTAAACACAGTAAAGAACTCAAGCAGGATTTGTGTTACAATTGATATATGCAACAGGTATAAACCACACTGGAAAATAAAGAGCTGTTGTATAAATGAGACTGGGGAAATTAACTTTCCATATAGAAAAAATATAACTTAGAAGATTTTCCCACACCATGCATCCCAACAAGTGCCAATAAATAAAAGACATAAGTCAAAGGTAGAATTTTTTGGAGACAAGGAGTTAAAAGTATTAGAAAATATATAAATGAGTATTCTTTGTTTTGAGATATAATTCTCCTCAGTTGCATACTATAAAAGTCACCCTTTCAAAGTGTACACTTCAGTTTTTTAGTGTATTTACAGAGTTGTGCAACCATCATTCCTACCTAATTACACAACATTTTCATCACCTCAAAAAGAAACCCAGCGAATAGGAACAGCTCCAGTCTATAGCTCCCAGCGTGAGTGACGCAGAAGACGGGTGATTTCTGCATTTCCAACTGAGGTACCGGGTTCATCTCACTGGGGAGTGCTGGACAGTGGGTGCAGGACAGTGGGTGCAGCACACCCTGCGTGAGCCAAAGCAGGGCGAGGCATCACCTCACCCGGGAAGTGCAAGGGGGCAGGGAATTCCCTTTCCTAGTCAAAGAAAGGGGTGACAGACGGCACCTGGAAAATTGGGTCACTCCCACCCTAATACTGTGCTTTTCCAATGGGCTTAACAAACAGCACACCAGGAGATTATATCCCGCACCTGGCTCGGAGGGTCCTATGCCCACAGAGCCTCGCTCATTGCTAGCACAGCAGTCTGAGATCAAACTGCAAGGTGGCAGTGAGGCTGGGGGAGGGGTGCCCACCATTGCTGAGGCTTCAGCAGGTAAACAAAGTGGCCAGGAAGCTCAAACTGGGTGGAGCCCACCACAGCTCAAGGAGACCTGCCTGCCTCTGTAGGCTCCACTTCTGGGGGCAGGGCACAGATGAACAAAAGGCAGCAATATCCTCTGCAGACTTAAATGTCCCTGTCTGACAGCTTTGAAGAGAGTAGTGTTTCTCCCAGCACACAGCCTGAGATCTGAGAATGGGCAGACTGCCTCCTCAAGTGGGTCCCTGGCCCCTGAGTAGCCTAACTGGGAGGCACCCCCCAGTAGGGATGGACTGACACCTCACACGGCCGGGTACTCCTCTGAGACAAAACTTCCAGAGGAACAATCAGGCAGCAGCATTTGCGGTTCACCAATATCCACTGTTCTTCAGCCACCGCTGCTGATACCCAGGCAAACAGGGTCTGGAGTGGACCTCCAGCAAACTCCAACAGACCTGCTGCTGAGGGTCCTGACTGTTAGAAGGAAAACGAACAAACAGAAAGGACATCAATACCAAAAACCCATCTGTACGTCACCATCATCAAAGACCAAAGGTAGATAAAACCACAAAGATGGGGGAAAAAACAGAGCAGAAAAACCGGAAACTAAAAATCAGAGCACCTCTCCTCCTCCAAAGGAACACAGCTCCTCACCAGCAATGGAACAAAGCTGGATGGAGAATGACTTTGACGAGTTGAGAGAAGAAGGCTTCAGAAGATCAAACTACTCCGAGCTAAAGGAGGAAGTTCGAACCAATGCCAAAGAAGTTAAAAACTTTGAAAAAAAATTAGACGAATGGATAACTAGAATAACCAATGCAGAGAAGTCCTTAAAGGACCTGATGGAGCTGAAAACCACAGCACGAGAACTACGTGACGAATGCACAAGCCCCAGTAGCCAATGCAACCAATTAGAAGAAAGGATATCAGCGATGGAAGACAAAATGAATGAAATGAAGCGAGAAGAGAAGTTTAGAGAAAAAAGAATAAAAAGAAAAGAAACAAAGCCTCCAAGAAATATGGGACTATGTGAAAAGACCAAATCTATGTCTGATTGGTGTACCTGAAAGTGACGGGGAGAATGGAACCAAGTTGGAAAACACTCTGCAGGATATCATCCAGGAGAACTTCCCCAATCTAGCAAGGCAGGCCAACATTCAAATTCAGGAAATACAGAGAATGCCACAAAGATACTCCTCGAGAAGAGCAACTCCAAGACACACAATTGTCAGATTCACCAAAGTTGAAATGAAGGAAAAAATATTAAGGGCAGCCAGAGAGAAAGGTCGGGTTACTCACAAAAGGAAGCCCATCAGACTAACAGCGGATCTCTTGGCAGAAACTCTACAAGCCAGAAGAGAGTAGGCACCAATATTCAACATTCTTAAAGAAAAGGATTTTCAACCCAGAATTTCATATCCAGCCAAACTAAGCTTCATAAGTGAAGGAGAAATAAAATACTTTACAGACAAGCAAATGCTGAGAGATTGTTTCACCACCAGGCCTGCCCTAAAAGAGCTCCTGAAGGAAGCACTAAACATGGAAAGGAACAACCGGTACCAGCCACTGCAAAAACATGCCAAACTGTAAAGACCATCAAGGCTACAAAGAAACTGCATCAACTAACGAGCAAAATAACCAGCTAACATCATAATGACAGGATCAAATTCACACATAACAATACTAACCTTAAATGTAAATGGGCTAAATGCTCGAATTAAAAGACACAGACTGGCAAATTGGATAAAGAGTCAAGACCAATCAGTGTGCTGTATTCAGGAAACCCATCTCATGGGCAGAGACACACATAGGCTCAAAATAAAGGGATGGAGGAAGATCTACCAAGCAAATGGACAACAAAAAAAAGGCAGGGGTTGCAATCCTAGTCTCTGATAAAACAGACTTTAAACCAACAAAGATCAAAAGAGACAAAGAAAGCCATTACATAATGGTAAAGGGATCAATTCAACAAGAAGAACTAACTATCCTAAATATATATGCACCCAATACAGGAGCACCCAGATTCATAAAGCAAGTCCTTAGTGACCTACAAAGAGACTTAGATTCCCACACAATAATAATGGGAGACTTTAACACCCCACTGTCAACATTAGACAGATCAATGAGACAGAAAGTTAACAAGGATATCCAGGAATTGAACTCAGCTCTGCACCAAGTGGACCTAATAGACATCTACAGAACTTTCCACCACAAATCAACAGAATATACATTCTTTTCAGCACCACACCACACCTATTCCAAAATTGACCACATACTTGGAAGTAAAGCACTCCTCAGCAAATGTAAAAGAACAGAAATTATAACAAACTGTCTCTCAGACCACAGTGCAATCAAACTAGAACTCAGGATTAAGAAACTCACTCAAAACCACTCAACTACATGGAAACTGAACAATCTGCTCCTGAATGACTACTGGGTACATAACGAAATGAAGGCAGAAATAAAGATGTTCTTTGAAACCAATGAGAACAAAGACACAACATACCAGAATCTCTGGGACACATTCAAAGCAGTGTGTAGAGGCAAATTTATAGCACTAAATGCCCACAAGAGAAAGCAGGAAAAATCTAAAATTGACACCCTAACATCACAATTAAAGGAGCTAGAGAAGCAAGAGCAAACACATTCAAAAGCTAGCAGAAGGCAAGAAATAACTAAAATCAGAGCAGAACTGAAGGAAATAGAGACACAAAAAACCCTTCAAAAAATCAATGAATCCAGGGGCTGGTTTTTTGAAAAGGTCAACAAAATTGATAGACCACTAGCAAAACTAATAAAGAAGAAAAGAGAGAAGAATCAAATAGATGCAATAAAAAATGACAAAGGAGATATCATCACTGATCCCACAGAAATCCAGACTACTATCAGAGAATACTATAAACATCTCTACACAAATAAACTAGAAAATCTAGAAGAAATGGATAAATTCCTCAACACATACACCCTCCCAAGACTAAACCAGGAAGAAATTGAATCTCTGAATAGACCAATAACAGGCTCTGAAATTGAAGCAATAATTAATAGCTTACCAACCAAAAAAAGTCCAGGACCAGATGGATTCACAGCCGAATTCTACCAGAGGTACAAGAAGGAGCTGGTACCATTCCTTCTGAAACTATTCCAATCAATAGAAAAAGAGGGAATTCTCCCTAACTCATTTTATGAGGACAGCATCATCCTGATACTAAAGCCTGGCAGAGACACAACAAAAAAAAGAGAATTTTAGGCCAATATCCTTGATGAACATCGATGCAAAAATCCTCTATAAAATACTGGCAAATCGAATTCAGCAACACATCAAAAAGCTTATCCACCATGATCAAGTGGGCTTCATCTCTGCGATGCAAGGCTGGTTCAACATATGAAAATCAATAAACATAAACCAGCATATAAACAGAACCAAAGACAAAAACCACATTATTATCTCAATAGATGCAGAAAAGGCCTTTGACAAAATTCAACAACCCTTCATGCTAAAAACTCTCAATAATTTAGGTATTGATGGGACATATCTCAAAATAATAAGAGCTATCTATGACAAACCCACAGCCAATATCATACTGAATGGACAAAAACTGGAAGCATTCCCTTTGAAAACTGGCACAAGACAGGGATGCCCTCTCTCACCACTCCTATTCAACATAGTGTTGGAAGTTCTGGCCAGGGCAATCAGGCAGGAGAAGGAAATAAAGGGCATTCAATTAGGAAAAGAGGAAGTCAAATTGTCCTTGTTTGCAGATGACATGATTGTATATCTAGAAAACCCCATCGTCTCAGCCCAAAATCTCCTTAAGCTGATAAGCAACTTCAGCAAAGTCTCAGGATACAAAATCAATGTGCAAAAATCACAAGCATTCTTATACATCAACAACAGACAAACAGAGAGCCAAATCATGAGTGAACTCCCATTCACAATTGCTTCAAAGAGAATAAAATACCTAGGAATCCAACTTACAAGGGATGTGAAGGACCTCTTCAAGGAGAACTACAAACCACTGCTCAAGGAAATAAAAGAGGATACAAACAAATGGAAGAACATTCCACGCTCATGGGTAGGAAGAATCAATATCGTGAAAATGGCCATACTGCCCAAGGTAATTTATAGATTCAATGCCATCCCCATCAAGCTACCAATGACTTTCTTCACAGAATTGGAAAAAACTACTTTAAAGTTCATATGGAACCAAAAAAAGAGCCCACATTGCCAAGTCAATCCTAAGCCAAAAGAACAAAGCTGGAGTCATCATGCTACCTGACTTCAAACTATACTACAAGGCTACGGTAACCAAAACAGCATGGTACTGGTACCAAAACAGAGATATAGACCAATGGAACAGTACAGAGGTCTCAGAAATAATGCCGCGTATCTACAAATATCTGATCTTTGACAAACCTGACAAAAACAAGCAATGGGGAAAGGATTCCCTATTTAATAAATGGTGCTGGGAAAACTGGCTAGCCATATGTAGAAAGCTGAAACTGGATCCCTTCCTTACACCTTATACAAAAATTAATTCAAGATGGATTAAAGACTTACATGTTAGACCTAAAAACATAAAAACCCTAGAAGAAAACCTAGGCAAACCATTCAGGACATAGGCATGGGTAAGGACTTCATGTCTCAAACACCAAAAGCAATGGCAACAAAAGCCAAAATTGACAAATGGGATCAAATTAAACTAAAGAGCTTCTGCACAGCAAAAGAAACTACCATCAGAGTGAACAAGCGACCTACAGAATGGGAGAAAATTTTTGCAACCTACTCATCTGACAAAGGGCTAATATCCAGAATCTACAATGAACTCAAACAAATTTACAAGAAAAAAACGACCCCATCAAAAAGTGGGTGAAGGATATGAACAGACACTTCTCAAAAGAAGACATTTATGCATCCAAAACACACATGAAAAAATGCTCATCATCACTGGCCATCAGAGAAATGCAAATCAAAACCACAGTGAGATACCATCTCACACCAGTTAGAATGGCAATCATTAAAAAGTCAGGAAACAACAGGTGCTGGAGAGGATGTGGAGAAATAGGAACACTTTTACACTGTTGATGGGACTGTAAACTAGTTCAACCATGGTGGAAGTCAGTGTGGCAATTCCTCAGGGATCTAGAACTAGAAATACCATTTGACCCAGCCATCCCATTACTGGGTATATGCCCAAAGGACTATAAATCATGCTGCTATAAAGACACATACACACGTATGTTTATTACGGCACTATTCACAATAGCAAAGACTTGGAACCAACCCAAATGTCCAAGAATGATAGACTGGATTAAGAAAATGTGGCACATATACACCATGGAATACTATGCAGCCATAAAAAAGGATGAGTTCATGTCCTTTGTAGGGACATGGATGAAGCTGGAAACCATCATTCTGAGCCAACTATCGCAAGGAAAAAACCAAACACCACATGTTCTCACTCGTAGGTGGGAATTGAACAATGAGAACACATGGACACAGGAAGGGGAACATCACACACTGGGGCCTGTTGTGGGGTGGGGGGAGCGGGGAGGGATAGCATTAGGAGATATACCTAATGCTAAATGACGAGTTAATGGGTGCAGCACACCAACATGGCACATGTATACACATGTAAGAAACCTGCACATTGTGCACATGTGCCCTAAAACTTAAAGTATAATAATAATAAAATAAAATAAAATAAAGAAACCCAATAACCATTGGCACTTAATCTTATTTCATTCTCTCTCTGAGCGCTGGTAACAATTCATCAACTTTTTGTCTGTGGATGTGCCTGTGTTTGACATTTCATAAAATTGAATCATTCATATGTAGCCTTTTTTTGGGGTCTGATTTCTTCCACTTACCATAATGTTTTCAAGATTCTTCCAAGTTGTAGCATGTATCAATACTTCATTTTTTATGGCTGAATAATATTTCATTATATGAATATATCACATTTTATTTATCCATTCATCAGTTGATGGCAATTTGACTGTTATAATTAATGCTGCTATGAACATTTGTATATAAGTGTTTTTGTGAACATACATTTTCACCTCTCCTGGTTATATGCCAAGGAGTGGAATTCCTAGGTCATTTGGTAAATCTGTATTTAACTTTTTGAAGAACTGCCAGACTGTTTTCCGAAGTGGCTGAGCCATTTGACATTACTCCTAGCAATGTAGCGTTCCAATTTCTCCACATTCTCACCAAGACTTGTTCTTGTCAGATATATAATTTGCAAGTATTTTTCTCCCATTCTGTAAATTGTATTTTCACTTTATTCGTGGTGTTTTTTGAAGCACAAATATTTCAAATTTTGATAGATTTCCATTTATCTATTTTTCTTTTGTTTCTTCATCTTTAAAGATCACGTCTAAAACATAATTGCCACATTCAAGGTAACAATGACTTTTGCCTGTGTTTTCTTCTAAGAATGTTATAACTTTAGCTCTTACATTTAGGCATTTGATCAATTTTTTTTTTTTTTTTTTTTGCTAATTTTTGTATAGGGTGTGAGGCAAGGGTCCAATAGTTACTTCATTATTTATTGAAAAGACTGTAGTTTCCCCAAAGTGTTATCTTGGCATCCTAGTAAAAATAATTAACCATAGTTTCTTTCTGGACTCTCAGTTTAACACCATTGATGTATGTGCCTGAGGATATTTTGATGATTTCATAAATGAAGTAGTTTCTTAATTTTATTTTCAGATCGTTGCTTATAGAGTTATCTTAAGATCCCACAAATTAAATACATATATATTTGATTAAACAATATGTGTAATCTTTGCATTCAAAATTGTATTAAGTGCTAATATATTGAATATACACAGTCAGGATGGGGCAGTGAGACTATCAAGTCTGGAGATGAGAGGCAAGTGAATTTCACTTCCACTGGCCAAGGCTGTTGCACTGGAACTGCCCCCTCTCCCTATGCTGAGAACTCAGCAGAGCAGCACTGATCCTCAGTCTGGTATTTTGCCACAAGCCTGAAGACGATCCTGCCCCCCGCCCCCATCAAGGTAGATGCCTGCATCTGCCATCGGGGGGCATGAGTGCAGGTTTCCAAGGTCCAGCTCTACCCGGCTTAGTCAACCTTCTCTGAGACAGAGGATGCCACCCAGGCCCCTGAGCATTCCTTGGTCTGACTCACCACCTGGGACACCAGAGCACTTCTCCTGCTTAACAAAGATCAAGCATAAAACCTATTGTGACCACCACAGCTGGTTTTTACCTACAGGCACCACCTACTGGTCTGGAGGTTGGCCTATACAGCCCATTACAATGACTGCTGACACAAGATTACAGTGCTGTGGAAGGAGACAAGTTACTTGCAACCACTGGTACCCCAGCTGCTCAGGAGGTCATGAATCTGCTCACCCACCCTGTACACTGCTACTGTAATCAGCATTTGAAAAAGCCACCATATGATGGGTAATTATAGCCAAAAAAATTATAGAGTCTTTGCCACTGCACACACACGGAAGTGAAGACAAAGAGCCCTACTCAACATGCATTACAGATACATCCTCGAGAAAAATAAGACCTGCCATAATGAAAGTAAGTTAAAAAATAACAAGAAGCAATTGTTACTCAATGTGTGTAGAAATCAGTGTAATAATACAGAAAGCGTGAAAAAGTCACGTATTATGACACTGCCAAATGAACACTATAACTCTCTAGCAATGGAGCCTAATCAAAAAAAAAAAACCCTCAAAATGCTAAATAAAAATGCAAAATATTGATTTTTTTTATTTTAATAGCTTTTGGGGCACAAGTGGTTTTTGGTTACAGGGATGAATGGTGTAGTGGTGAACTCTAGGATTTCAGTGTACCCATCACCCAAGTAGCATACATTGTACTGAATATGTAGTTTTTTATCTCTTACCCTCCCTCCCAATCTCCCCCTTCTGAGTTTCCAAAGTCCATTATAGCACTAGCTATGCCTTTGCATACCCATAGCTTCAGCTCCAACCTATAAGTGAGAACATATGGCATTTGATTTTCCATCCTAAGTTACTTCAGTTAGAATAATGACACCCAGCTCCATCTGAGTAGGTTTGAAAAACATTATTTCATTCTTTTTTTGTGGCTGTAGCTGAGTAGTATTCCATGGTGTATATATAGCACATTCTCTTTATCCACTCATTCATCAGTGGACACTTAGGTTGGTTCCATATCTTCACAATTGTGAATTGTACTGTGATTAACATACTAGTGCAGCTGTATTTTTGATATAATGACTTATTTTTCTTTGGGTAGATACGCAGTAGTGTGATTGCTGGATCACATAGTAGATCTACTTTAGTCCTTTAATAACTCTCCTCTACTATTTTTCATAGCGGATGCACTGCTTTTCACCACATCCATGCCAACATCTATTGATTTTTAACTTTTTAATAATGGCAATTCTTGCAGGGGTAAGGTACTATCTCCTTGTGGTTTTAATTTGCATTTCCATGAAAATTAGTGATGTTGAGCATTTTTTCATATATATTTATTGGCCGTTTGTACATCTTCTTTTGAGAATTGTCTCTTCACGTCCTTTGCCCACTTTTTGAAGGGATTATTTGTTTTTTTCTTGCTGATTTATTTGAGTTCCCTATAGATTCTGGATATTAGTCCTTTGTCAGATGTATAGTTTGTGAATATTTTCTCTCACTCTGTGGGTTGTCTGTTTAGTCTGCTGATTATTTCTTTTGCTAGGTAGAAGCTTCTTAGTTTAATTAGGTCCCATGTATTCATTTTTGGTTTTGTTGCATTTGCTTTTTGGATCTTAGTCATAAATTCCTCGCCTAGGCAAATGTCCAGGAGAGTTTTTCATAGGTTATGTTCCAGAATTTTTATGGTTTCAGGCCTTAGATATAGGTCTTTGAACCATTTTGAGTTGATATTTGTATAAGGTGAGAGATAGGGATCCAGTTTCATTCTTCTGGATATAACTATCCAGTTTTCCCAGCACCATTTATTAAATAGGTTATCCTTTACCCAATTCATGTTTGTGTATGGTTTCTCAAAGATCAGTTGGTTTTAATTATTTGGCTTTAATTCAGGGTTCTCTATTCTGTTCCATTGGTCTGTCTATGTGCGTACTTTTATACCAGTGCCATGTCGTTTTGGCAACTATAACCTTGTATTATAATTTGAAGTCAGGTAACATGATGCTTCCAAATTTGTTCTTTTTGTTTAGGATTACTTTGGTTATTGGGGTTCTCTTTTGGTTCCATATGAATTTTAGGATTATTTTATCCAATCCTGTGAAAAATTATGTTGGTATTTTTATAGGAATTGCATTGAATCCATAGGTTGCTTTGGGCAGTATGGTCATTTTCATAATATTGAGTCTTCCAATCCATGAGCATGAGATGTGTTTCCATTTGTTTGTGTTATCTATGATTTCTCTCAGGAGTGTTTTGTAATTATCCTTTTAGAATTTTTTTATGTCCTTGATTAAGTATATTTCAAGGCATTTTTTTGCAGCAATTGTAAAAGGAATCCAGTTCTTCATTTGATTCTCAGCTTGGCCATTGTTGGTGTACAGCAGTGCTACTTATTTGTGTACATTGACTTTGTAACCTGAGACTTTAGTTAATTCATTTTTTCAAATCTAGGAGGCTTTTGGAGGAGTGTTTAGGTTTTTTCTACATATATTATCATACAATAAGCAAACAACAATAGTCTGACTATCTCTTTTCCAATTTGAATGCCCTTTATTTCTTTATCTTGGATGACTGCTCTGGCTAGGACTTCCACTACCATGTTGAATAAAAATGGTTGAAGTAGGCATCTTTGTCTTAATCTGTTTCTCAGGGAGAATGCTTTCAGTTTTTCCCCATTCAGCATGATGTTGGCCGTAGGTTTTCCTATATGGCTTTTATTATTTTAAAGTACATCCCTTCTATACCTAGTTTGTTTAAGGTTTCTTATCATAAAGGGGTACTGGATTTTATTTTGTGTTTTTTCTGCACCTATTGAGATGATTACATGGTTTTTGTTTTTAATTCTGTTTATGTAGTGTATCAAATTTATTGGCTTGCATATGCTAAACCATCCTGGCATCCCTGGGATAAAACCCACTTGATCACGGTGTATTATCTTTCTGATGTGTTGTTGGGTTTGGTTAGCTAATACAAAATATTGACTTTAAAGAGGTTCAATGGTACAAGAGAAATCTGAAAGCCAATATAGAGAAATCATAAAATCAACTTGGGATACGAATAAGAAATTTACCAAACAGATAAATTCCAAACAAAAAACAAAAGCAAAAACAAAAACAAAAAACAAAAAAAATCTGAAAAATAGTAATTATGAAAGAAATTACAAAATACACTTGAAAGCTTGGACAACCGACTAGACAAAGCAAAAGACAGAATCTGAGTATTTGAAAACAGGCCTTTTGAATTAATTCAGTCAGACAAAAATAAAGTAAAAAGAATATAAAATAATAAACAGGGGGTTAGAGACATATGAGACTATATCAAGTAAATTTAAGAATTATTGGTGTTCCCAAGGAGGAAGAAAACTTTTTAAGTTTACAAAATCTATTTAAAGTAATAATTGATGAAAACTTCCCAAGTCTGACATGAGATATACACATTCAGATACATGAGGCCTAGTGATCCTCAGACACATAAATGAGAAGATGGACTTCACCATGCCATATAGACATTATACTGTCTAAAATCCACATGATGGAAAAATTCTAAAATCACCAAAAGAAAAGTATCTAGTCAGACGAACAGAAATCCATCAGACAAACGAGATCTTCTCAACAGAAACCTTACTAGCCAGAAGAAAATAGCTTGATATTTTCAAAGTGCTGAAAGAACAAAAATCAGCCAATAATTTTATATCCAGCTAGAATAAACTTCATAAATAAAGGCAAAAGAACGTCTTTACCAGACAAGCAAACACTGAGTGAATTTGTCACCATTGGAACCATCCAAGAAGAAATGCTCAAAGGACTCCTAAACAAAAAAACAGAAGGTTGATATTTGCCATCAGAAAAACACATGAAAGTAGAAAGCTCATAGGTCTCATGAAACAATCACACAAAGAGGAAGATAAATAATTCAATTGGCAAATTGACTGAATTCCACCTAAACACAAAGACAGACAGAGATATATAAAGGAACAAATAATCCATGTAACAACTGGATAACAATTAACTTTATGAAAGAAATAAAACTTCACATATCAATATTAATTTTGAATATAAATAGATTAAATGCTCCAATCAAAACATATAGTTTGGCTTAATGAGTAAAAAAAAAAACAAACAAACATGATCTAACTATACACTGCTTATAAGAAATTCACCTTGTCAGGACAGGCACTGGGAGACTGAAAGTAAAGGGATTACAAAAATACTCCATGCAAACGGAGAAGAAAAGTGAGCAGGAGTAGCTACAGTTACATCAGATAACAAACATTAAATCAAGAACAGGAAAAAGAGACAAAGAAGGTCATTATATAATGATAAAGAAATCATTTAGCAGGAGGATCCAGCAACCCTAAAATATATGCACCTAACACAAAAATACCCAGGTCCATAAGACAGACATTACTAGACCTAAAGAAAGAAATTGACAGTAGTACAATAATACTGGGAGACTTCGAGGTTATTATTACCGTAATTCCAAACCCAAAGACATAACAGAAAAAGAAAACTAAAGATCAATATCCCTGATTAATGTAGATGCAAAAATCCTCAACAAAATGCTAACAAACCAAATCCAACAACACATTAAAAAGGTAAAACACCATTATCAAATTGGTTTTGTACTAAGGATGCAAGGATGGTTCTACATACTAAATCAATAAATGTGATATGTCACATCAGTAAAATTAAGGACAAAATCCAAATGATCATCTCAATTGATGCAGAAAAACTTTTAGATAAAATCCAACATTCCTTCACAATAAAAATTCTCAACAAACTAGGCATAGCAGGAACATACCTCAAAATAATAAAGACCATATACTACAACTACCCAGCCAACATCATACTGAACTGGGGCAAGTTGAAAGCATTCCTTCTAAGAATTAGAACAAGAGAAGGATTCCAACTTTTACACTACTCCTATTCAACATAGCACTGGAAGTCCTAGTCAGAGCAATTAGGCAAGAGAAAGAAAAAAAAAGGCATCCAAATTTTAAAAAAAAGAATGTCAAATGATTTCTGTTCACTGATAATATAATCTTATATTTGGAACACCCTATAGATTCCATAATTAACTCTTAGATTTCATAAATGAATTCAGTAAAGTTTCAGGGTACAGCATCAATGTACAAATATCCATAGTGTTTCCATACACCAATGAAAATCTACTGGAGAAATAAATCAAGAAGGCAATCCATTTTACAATAGCTACCAAAAACCCTAGGAATTTATTTAACCAAGGAGAGGAAAGATTTCTACAAGGAAAACTACAAAGCACTGATGAAAGAAAATGTAGATGACACAAACAAATGGAAAACATCCCATGTTCATGAATCAGAGAATATCATTAAAATTACCATGCTGTCAAAGCAATCTACAGATTCAATGTAATCTCTATCAAAATTCCCGTGTAATTTTTCACAGAAATAGGAAAAACAATCCTAAAATTCATATGGAACCAAAAAAGAGCCAGAATAACCAACACAATCCTAAGGAAGAAGAAAAAAGCTGGAGGCATCTCATTACCTGAATTCAAATTATACTACAATGCTTTAGTAACCAAAACAACATGTTACTGGTATAAACATAGACACATAGACCAATAGAACAGAACAAAGAACCCAGACATAAAACCATGTATCCACAGCCAACTGATTGTTTACAAAGTCAACAAAAATATACACTGGGATAAAGTCACTCTTTTAAAATATAGTGCTGGGAAAGTTAGATGCCATGTGCAGAAGAATGTAACTAGACCCATATCTCTCACCAAATACAAAAATCAACTAAAGCTGGATTAAAGACTTAAATGTAAGAACTGAAGCTATAAAAATACTGAACAAAACCTAGGGAAAATCCTTGTGGACATTGGGGTAGGCAAAGAATTTATGACTATGACCCCAAAAGCCTAAGAAATGAAAATAAAAATAGGCAAATAAGACTTAAACATACAAAAAGCTTTTGAACACCAAAAGAAATAATCAACAGAATGAACAGACAACCTGAGAATGAGAGAAAATACTTGTAAGCTATGCATCCAACAGGAAACTGATATTCAGAATATGCAAAGAACTAAAAAACTCAACAACTCCCATTAAAAAATGGAAAAGACATGAATAAACATTTTTCTAAAGAAGACATACCAACATTACTAATCATCAGAGAAATGCAAAATAAAACCACAATGAAATACCATCTTATCCCAGTCAGAATTGTTATTATTAAAAAGACAAAAATAACATAGGTTGGTGAGGATGTAGAGAAAAGGGAACACTTATACACTGTTGGTGGAAATGTAAATTAGTACAACTTCTAGGGAAAACACTATGGAGATTTCTAAAAAATAACTAAAAAGAGAACTGCCATCTGATCCAGGAATCCCATTACTGGGTATCTATCCAAAGTAATAAAAATCATTTTCATAAAAAGATATCTGTGCTCATATGTATATTGCACCATTATTCACAATAGCAAATATATAGAATCAACCTAAGTGTCCACCAATGAATAATTGGATAAAGAAAATATGGTATATATACACAATGGAATACTTCAGCCATAAAAAGTATGAAATTAGGTACTTTGCAGGAACATGGATAGAATTAAAGAACAATATCGTAAGTGACATAACCTAGAAACACAAAGTCAAATGCCACATATTTGTACTTATAAGTTGTAACTAAACAATGTGTACATATGAACATAGAGTATGTAATGATAGACATTGAAGAATCAGAAGAGTGAGAGAGGTTCGAGGGGAGTGAATGATGAAAAATTACTTAATGGGTACAATGTACATTTTTCCAAGGATAGATACACTAAAAGCCCAGATTTCACCACTATGCAACAAATATATCCATGTGACAATTTGCACTTGTACCCCTCAAATATATACAAATAAAAATACATAAATAATAAAATAGCTAATTATATGTCTTTTCTAGAAAGTATAAAGTTTGTTTCTTCAGTGTCAGTTTTCCTTGACAGGGTTTATCCCTGTGTATGGACTATACAATACCATTTATTTGTATATCTCATAATTTTTGAAGAAAGTTTAACAATTTTAATAATATAATGTGGCAACCCTGGGAATCTCTTTCCCCTTTTCAGCTCCAGGTTATTTTGTTATTGCTTTTTGTTGTTATTGTTCTCGTTGATTGTTTATTGACTTTTCTGAGCTATTTTGTAACATCTGCATGCTTATGATATGTGAACACTTAAGTGTCTACTTGGTTAGCTTAGTGGTCTAGTAATATTTTACAGGGATTTCTGTAAACATCTTGGCCTGTGTGTCTTCCAGATTTTGTAGAGGAGCTTTGTGTGTGCATGTGTTGTGGTATGCCTTCAATGCTCAGGCAGGCACTTTACAATTCTGTCTAGCCTTCACTTCCTACTTGTGCAGAGATGCAAGGTAAGCCAGAATTGAGAGTTTAGGGATTTCTCAGGATTTATATGCACAGTGTTGGGCATGCACACAGCCCTGCATATGTGCCTTTCTACCTAGATTTCCAGGAATCTGTCAGAAATTTTTAATGCCCCCTATTGACATCTCATTCTGTTTCTCTTTTAAGGATTTTTTTGTCAGCTTCTTGTTTTCCCCAGCTCTTATAGTCACCTAAGCCACCTGCAATGTTGTAGATAGTTGCTCATTGTTTTAAACAAATTCCCCCAAAGCAAAAGTTGTTTGTGCTGAATCAGCTCTGAGTCAGATTAGGTGAAGACATGCCCTGTGAGTGAGGGTCGATAAGGAGATGCCAGTTAGTTCAAATAATGATAATTCTTTCAGAATGAGGTTTTTGGGGGGAGATCCAAGCCCATTTTGCTTTGTTCAGTAGTGCTAAACATCCGATTTTTGCCATGGGACTGTTGGTTTTCAAGGAGCTAATCAGAGGGGGATGCAAATAGGACAATTTAAATCACAACTAAGCTTACCATTCTTAGAAAGATTCAACAGTTTATCTTGAATAAGTGCTCTTTAGATTGTTGTAAGCCTTTTATTAACTTTCAGAGATTTGAAATTGTTGATTTTGCCTTTTTTTTGTTTTTTTTGCTGGTGTTTTCAGCTTTTATGGAAAAACGGATTCTCGGATGTACTTATTTTGCCACTTCTGATGATGTCAATCCTAGAAGAATATCTTTTATTAATTAGGTTAAAATAATTTCTACAAAAGTTATAAAATATAAAAAGCATATATCAAAAGGTAATAATTGGAAAAAATTACATTAAAATTTTAGAAAGAATGACATGTGCCAAGTGACTATTAACAAGCTTAAGAGACAACTCACAGACTAGAAGAAGATAATTGCAGCACACAGGACATACAATGGGTTAATATCAAAAATATATATAAATTACTCAAAAAAATTTAAGAAAAAAGACAATTCAAAAGGAAAAAGGAATGAGCAAAATACATGAATAGGCAATTCACAAAAGTAGAAACTGATATATTCAGTCTACATGTAATTATGACCTCCTCCTGACTATTGTACTGGCTGGAGTCTATTATTTTAAGCAACAGATTAAAAATTCTAGTGACTATAAGCAAAAACAAATAGCTGAATGTACAGCTCATAGAATCAATCCCTGGAAGACTAAGGATTAAAAAATAATCAGAAACAAAGGGAGCATACCCTCTGCCAAGACCCCACCATAGGAAAGTCTTAATAAGGCCCTGCTAATGAAAGAAACACATGTTATTATCACTGCTAGCATCACCGTTATGCACTCTTAAATTTAATGTAGCAGCTGTGGAAAGATATGAGAACATCCAACTGTTGGGCTTAAATAAAATTATTATTCCTTAGATGCCAGAGAACTGAGAAAAGAAACATCTGTTTCTGCTTCCCACTCTCAAATTTTGTAGTAGGAGGGAGATCCTGTCTTTAACCTATCTTGGTTTCCTCCAAATTTGAAATGGGTTTAGATACTAAAAATTCTCATTCCCCAAAATGAAAAATATCTGTTTCATGGATAATCATGGAAGTTGATGTTAAAACAACAATTAGATCTCATCTACTGTAGTAGCAAAAATTAAAAGTCTTACAACACCAGGAGCTAGTTGAAATGCAGAGAAATAAGGACTCTAATACATCTTTTGGTGGGAATGCAAATTTTTTACTAAATTTTTTATTTTTAATTTTTGTGGGTACATAGTAGGTGTACATATTTGCAAGCTACACAAGATGTTTTGATATAGGCATGCAACATGAAATAATCACATCATGGAGAATGGAATATCAATTCCCACAATCATTTATCTTTTGTGTTATGCGCCTCCAATAACACACTTTTAGTTATTTTTAAATGTACAATTAAGTTATTATTGAATATAGTCTCCCTGCTGTGCAGTCAAATAATAGGTCTTATTCATTCTTTCTACATTAACCATCCTCATTTCCACCCCCTCCTGCAACCTACTACCCTTCCAAGCTTCTAATAACCATCCTTCTACTCTCTATGTTTATGAGATCAATTGTTCTGACTTACAGATTCCACAGATAAGTGAGAACATGTGATATTTGTCTTTCTGTGCCTGGATTCTTTCTTTCTTTCTTTCTTTTTTTGAGATAGAGTCTTGCTCTGTCACCCAGGCTAGAGTGCAGTGGCACAATCTCCACTCCCTGCAACCTCCGCCTCCCAGGTTGAAGCAATTCTCCTGCCTCAAGCTCCCAAGTAGCTGAGACTACAGGAGCATGACACCACGCCCAGCTATTTGTTTTTTTTTCTTTTTCTTTTTTGTCTGTGTGTGTGTGTGTGTGTGCGTGTGTGTGTGTATTTTTAGTAGAGATGAGGTTTCACCATATTGGCCAGGCTGGTCTCCAAATCCTGACCTCAAATGATCTGCCTGCCTCAGCCTCCCAAAGTGCTGGGATTACAGGTGTCAGCCACCATGCCCAGCCAGCTTATTTCATTTAACACAATGATCTCCAGTTCCATGTATATTGCTGCAAATGACTGGATCTAATTCTTTTTTATGCCTGAATAGTATTCCATTGTGTATATGTATCATGTTTTCTTTATCCATTAATCTGTTGATGAATGTTTAGGTTGTTTCCAAATCTTGGCTATTGTAAACAGTGCTGCAGCAAACATAGAAATGCAAACATTTCTTTGATATACTGAATCTGTAGATTGCCTTAGGCTGTATGGACATTTTAACAATATTGATTCTTCCAATTAGTGAGCATGGAATATTTTTCCATTTTTGGTGTCTTCTTCAATTTCTTTCAACAGTGTTTTGTAGTTTTCATTACAGAGAACTTTCACTTCCTTAGTTAAGCTAATTCCTAGGTATTTAATTTTATTTGTGGCTATTGCAAATGGATTTACTTTCTTGATTTGTTTTTCAGATTGCTCACTGTTGGTGCATTAGTCTGTTCTCACATTGCTATAAAGAACTACCTGAGCCTGCGTAATTTATAAAGAAATGAGATTTAATTGACTCACAGTGCCACAGGCTGTATGCTAAGCATGGCTGGCGACATATCAGAAAACTTAGAATCATGGCAGAGGCTAAAAGGGAAGCAGGCAGGTCCTACATGGCTGAAACAGAGGAAGAGAGCAAAGGGGGATGTGATACACAGTTTTAAACAACCAGATCTTGTGAGAACTCTATCACATAACAACAGTAGGGGGATGATGCTAAACCATTAGAAACCACCCCCAGGATCCGATCACTTCCCACCAGATCCCACCTCCAACACTGGGGATTACAATTCAGCATGAGATTTGAGTGGAGACAGGGAGCTAGACCATATCATTCCACCCCTGGCTCTCATATCCTTCTCACATTTTAAAATACAGTCATGCCTTCCCAACAGTCTCCCAAAGTCTTAACTTATTCCAGCATTAACTAAAAAATCCAAGTCTAAAGTCTCATCTGAGATAAGGTAAATTCCTTCCACCTATATGAGCCTGTAAAATAAAAAAACAAGTTAGTTACTTTCCAGATAAAATGAGGTACAGGCATTGGATAAATGCTTCTGTTCCAAAAGGGAGAAACTGGCCAAAGCAAATGGGGCTACAGGCCATATGCAAGTACAAAATCCAGCAGGGCAGTTATTAAATCTAAAAGATTTAAAACAATCTCCTTTGACTTCATGTCTCACATCCAGGCCACGATGATGCAAAAGGTGGGCTTCCAAGGTCTTGGGCAGCTTCCCCACTGTGGCTCTGCAGGATACAGACCCATTGGCTGGTTTCACAGACTGGCATTGGGTGCCTGCAACTTTTCCAGGTGCATGGTGCAAGCTTTCTGTGGTTCTACCATTCTGGGGTCTGGAGGACAGTGGCCCTCTTCTCACAGATCCATTAGGCAGTGCCCCAGTGGGGATGCAATGTGGGGGCTCCAACCCCACATTTTCCCTCTGCAATGCCCTAGTAGAGGTTCTGCATGAGGGTTCTGCCCCTGAAGCAGACTTCTGCCTGGACACCCAGGTATCTCCATACATTCTCTGAAATCTAGGTGGGAGCAACCAAGCCTCAACTCTTACCCTATGCACACCCACAGGCTTAACACCATGTGAAAGCCACCAAAGATTATGGCTTACACCCTCTGTAGCAGTGGACTGAGACGTATCTGGGGCCCTTTCAGCCAAGGCTGGAGCTAGAATGGCTAGGATGCAGGGAGTAGTGTCCCAAGGTTGTGCAGGTCAGTGGGGCCCTGGGCCTGAGGCCTGGCCCATAAACCCATTCTTCCCTCCTAGGTATCTATGCCTGTGATTGGAGGGGCTTCTGCAAAGGTCTCTGAAATGGCTTTCAGGCATTTTTCCTATTGCCTTGGCTATTAACATTCCACTCCTATTTGCTTATGCAAATTTCTGCAGCCAGATTGAATTTCTCCCAAGAAAATGGGTTTTTCTTTTTTACAACATGGCCAGGCTTTACATTTTTAAATCTTTCACACTCTGCTTACCTTTTCAATATAAGTTCCAGTTTCAGATCATCTCTTTGCTCACACATTTAAGAATATGCTGTTAGAGGCAGCTAGTCCACCTCTTGAATGCTTTGCTGCTTAAAAATTTCTTTCTCCATATACCCTAAGTCATCAACTTCAAGTTCAAAGTTCCACAGATCTCTAGGACAGGGGCATAATGTCTCCAACCTCTTTACTAACACATAAAAAAGTAACATTTGCCCCAGTTCCTAATAAGTTTCTCATTTCCATATGAGACCACCTCAACCTGGACTTCATTGTCCAAATCACTATCAGCATTTTGTCACAATTTATCAAGTGTCTAAGAAGTTCCAAACTTTCCCTCATCTTTCTGTCTTCTTCTGAGCCTTCCAAACCTTCCAAACTGTGTTCCAATCTCTGTCCATTAACCACTTCCAAAGCTGCTTCCACATTTCCAGATATCATTACAGCAATGCCCCACTTTCAGGTCCTAATTTTCTGTATTATGCTATTCTCACATTGCTATAAAGAACTACCCAAGCCTGAGTGATTTATAAAGAAAATAGGTTTAATTGGTTCATGGTTCCACAGGCTGTACAGGAAGCATGGCTGAGGCCTCTGGAAACTTACAATTATGGTGGAAGGTGAATGAGGAACAGGCACTGCCTACATGACTGGAACAGGAGGAAGAGAGTGAAGGGGTAGGTGCTACACAATTTTAAGCAACCAGATCTCCTGAGAACTCTCTCATGAGACAGAAGTAGGGGGATGGGACTAAACCATTAGAAACCACCTGCATGATCTAATCACCTCCCACCAGGCCCCATCTCCAACACTTGAATTACAATTCAACATGAAATTGGGGTAGGGACAACAGAGCCAAATCAGATCAGTTGGCATACAGAAATGCTACTAATTTTTTGTTGATTTTGTATCCTGCAACTTTACTGAATTTGCTTATCAGTTCTAATAGTTTCTTGGTCGAGTCTTTAGGTTTTTCCAAATATAAGATCATATTATTTGCAAACAAGGACAATTTGACTTCTTCATTCTAATTTGGATGATCTTTATTTTATTCTCTTGTGTGATTTCTCTAGCCGAGATTTCCAATACTATGTGGAATAACCATGGTGAAAGTGGGCATCTTTGTCATGTTCAGATATTAAGGGAAAGGCTTTCAGTTTTTTCGTGTTAAGTATGAAATTAGCTGTGGTTCTGTCATATATGGCTTTTATTATAATGAGATATGTTTCTTCTATGCCAAGTATTTTAGGGTTTTTATCATGAGGGAATATTGAATTTTATCAACTGCTTTTTCAGCATCAATTGAAATGATTATATGGTTTTTATCCTTCACTCTATTGACATGAGATATCACATTGATTAATTTAAATATGTTGAACCATCCTTGCATCCCAGGGATTAATCCTACCTGGTTATAATGAACAATCATTTTAATGTATTTTTGTATTCAGTTTTCTAGGATTTTGTTCAGATTTTTCTTGCATAAATGTTCATCAGAGATACTTGCTTGTGGTTCCCTTTGTTTGATGTGTCTTTTTCTGATTTTTGTATCAGGGTAATCCTGGCTTGCAAGAATGAGTTTGGAAGTATTCCCTCCTCTTCTATCTTTCAGAATAGTTTGTGTAGAATTGATATTAGTTATTATTAAATGTTTGTTAGAATTCAGCAGTAAATCCATTGGGTCTTGGGCTTTCCTATAATGGGACACATTTTATTATGTATTCAATTCTGTTACTTGTTATTGGTCTGTTCAGATTTTGGGCTTCTTTCTAGTTCAATCTTGGTAGTTTGTATGTGTCTAGGAATTTCTCCATTACTTCTAGATTTTTCTAATTTATTTGCATGTAGTTGCTCATAGCCACTAATGATCCTTTGACTTTCTACAGTATCATTTGCAATGTCTACTTTTTTCTTTCTGATTTTATGTATTCAGATCTTCTCTCTTTTTTTATTTCAATAGGTTTTTGGGGAACAGGTGGTGTTTGGGTATATTAAGTTATTTAGTGGTGATTTATGAGATTTTGGTGTACCTATCACCCAAACAGTGAACACTGTACCCAATGTGCAGTCTTTTATCCCTCATACCCCACCACTCTTTCCCCCAAGTCCCTAAAATCTATCATATCATTATTATGCCTTTGCATCCTCGTAACTTAGCTTCACCTCATGAGTGAGAACATACAATGTTTGGTTTTCCACTCCTGAGTTGCATCACTTAGAATAATGGTCTCCAGTTTCATCCAGGTTGCTGTGAATGCCATGATTTCATTTCTTTTTATGGCTGAGTATGATTCCATTGTATATACATACCACGTTTTCTTTATCCACTCATTCATTGATGGACATTTGGGCTGGTTCCATGTTTTTGCAATTGCAAATTGTGCTGCTATAAACATGTATGTGCAACTATCTTTTTTAATATAATGACTTCTTTTTCTCTGAGTAGATACCCAGTAGCGGGATTGTTTGATCAAATGGTAGATTTATCTTTAGTTCTTTAAGGAATCTCCACACTGTTTTCCATAGTGGTTGTACTAGTTTTCTTTCCCAGCAACAGTGTAAAAGTGTTCTCTTTTTACCACATTCATGTGAACATATATTATTTTTTGTTTTTTTTTTTATTATGGCCATTCTTGTAGGAGTAAGGTGGTATCACATTGTGGTTTTGATTGGCATTTTCCTGATAATTAGTTATGTTGAGCATTTTTTTCATATGTTTGTTAGCCATTTGTATATCTTCTTTTGAGAATTGTCAATTCATGTCCTTAGCCCACTTTTTGATAGGATTGTTTGTTTTTCTCTTGCTTTTTCATTTGAGTTCCCTGTAGATTCTGGATATTAGTCCTTTGTCAGATGTATAGATTGCAAATATTTTCTCCCATTCTGTGGTCTGTCTGTTTACTCTGTTATTTCTTCTGCTATGCAGAAGATTTTTTACTTTAATTAGGTCCCATCTATTTATTTTGTTTTTGTTGTATTTGCTTTGGGGTTCTTGGTCATGAAGTCTTCAAATACACCAATGTCTAGAAGAGTTTGTCTAATGTTATTTTCTAGAATTTTATGGTTTTAGGTTTAGATATAAATTTTTGATCCAACTTGAGTTAATTTTCATATAAATCAAGAGATAATGATCCAGTTCCATTCTTCTACATGTGGCTTGCCAGTTATTTCTGCACCATTTTGTTGAATAGGGTATCCTTTCCCCATGTTTTGTTTTTGTTTGCTTTCTAAAAAATCAGTTGACTGTAAGTACCTGGCTTTATTTCTTGGTTCTCTATTCTGTTCCATTGGTCTATATGCCTATTTTTATAACAGTACCATGCCATTTTGGTGACTATGGCCTTATAGTATAATTTGAAGTTGAGTAATGCCATGCCTCCAGATTTGTTCTTTTTTCTTACTCTTGTTTGTCTATGTGGGCTCCTTATTTTATCTAGTTCTGTGAAGAATGATGGTGGTATTTTGATGGAAATTAAATTTGTAGGTTGCTTTTGGCAGTATGGTCATTTTCACAATGTTGATTCTACTCATCCATGAGCATGGGGTGTGTTTCCATTGGTTTGTGTCATCTATGATTTCTTTTAGCAGTGTTTTGTAGTTTTCCTTGTATAAGTCTTTCACCTTTTTGCATAAACATATTCCTAAGTATTTTAACTTCTTTGCAGTTGTAAAAGGGGTTGAGTTCTTGATTTGATTCTCAGCTTGGTCACTGTTGGTGTATAGCAGAGCTACTGATTTGTGTACATAAATTTTGTATCCTGAAACTTTGTTGAATTCATTGACCAGTTCTAGGAGCTTTTTGGATGAATATTTAGGGTTTTCCAGGTATACAATCAAATCATCACCAAACAGAGACAGTTTGACTTCCTCTTCACCAATTTGGATGCCTTTGGTTACTTCTCTTTTCTGATTGCTCTGGCTAGGAGTTCCAGTACTATGTTGAATAGAAGTGGTGAAAGTGGGCATCCTTGTCTTGTTCCAGTTCTCAGAGGGAATGCTTTCAACATTTCCCTATTCAGTATAATGTTGGCTCTGGGTTTGTCATAGATGGCTTTTATTATCTTAAGGCATGTCCCTTCTATTCTGATTTTGCTGGGGGTTTTAATCACAAAGGGCTGCTCAATTTTGCCTATGCTTTATCTGCATCTATTCAGATGATCATATGGTTATTGTTTTTAATTCTATTTATGTGGTGTATCACATTTATTGACTTGGATATGTTAAACTATCACTGCATCCCTGGTATGAAACCCACTTGATCATGGCGTATAATCTTTTTAATATGCTGTCACGTTCAGTTAGCTAGTATTTTGTAGAGGATATTTGCATCTGTGTTCATCAGGGATATTGGTCTGTAGTTTAATGTTTTTGTTATGTCCTTTACTCTTTGTGGTATTTGAGTGATACTGTCTTCACTGAATTCTGTACTATCATTTGTAATATCCCATGCTTTATTTCTAATTGAGCTTATTTAGATCTTCTTTTCTTGGTTGATCTTGCTAATTTTCTATCAATTTCATATATCTTTTTGAAGAACCAGCTTGTAGTTACATTTGTATTTTCTATTTTTTTGTTTAGATTTCATGTAGTTCTGTTCTGATCTTGGTTATTTCTTTTCTTCTGCTGTGTTTGGGTTTGTTTCATTCTTTTTTCTCTAGTTCCTTGAAGTGTGACATTAAATTGTCTATTTATGCCCTTTCAGAATTTTTTATGTAGGCACTTAATGCTATGACGTTTCCTCTTAGCACCACTTTTGCTGTATCTCAGAGGTTTTGATAGGTTGTGTTACTATTATTCAGTTTAAAGAATTTTTTAATTTTTATCTTGATTTCATTGTTGATCCAATGATCATTCAGAACCAGGTTATTTAATGTCCATGTATTTTTATGGTATTGAGAGTTCCTTTTGGAGTTGATTAACAAATTTATTTTACTGTGGTCTGAAAGAGTACTTGCTATAATTTCAATTATCTTAAATTTGGTGAGACTTGTTTGTGGCCCATCATATGGTCTATCTTGGAGAATGTTCCATGTGCTGATGAGCAGAATGTATATTCTGCAGTTGTTGGGTAGAATGTTCTGTAAATATCTGTTAAGTCCATTTGTTCTAGGTTATAGTTTAAATCCATTGTTTCTTTGTTGACTTTTTTTCTTGATGACCTGTCTAGTGCTGTCAGTGAAGTATTGAAACCTCCCACTATTATTATGTTGTTATCTATTTTATTTTTTAGTTCTAGTAGTAATTGTTTTATAAATTTGGGAGTTCCAGTGTTAGGTGCATCTATGTTTAGCATTGTGATATTTTCTTGTTGGACTAGTCATTTTATCATCATATAATGACCCTTTTTGTCATTTTTAACTGCTGTTACTTAAAAAATTTTTTTTCTGATATAAAAATAGCTACTCTTGCTCACTTTTGGTGTCCATTTGCATGGAATATCTTTTTCCACACCTTTACCTTAAATTTGTGTGAGTCTTAATGTGAAAGGAGTCTCTTGAAGACAGCAGATACTTGGTTGGTGATTTCTTATCCATTCTGCCATTCTGTATCTTTTAAGTGGAGCATTTAGGCCATTTACATTTGTGGTTAGCATTGAGATGTCAGGTATTATTCTATTCATTATGCTATTTGTTGCCTGAATACCTTTTTTTTTTTTCATTGTGTAATTGTTTTATAGGTCCTCTGAGATTTCCTCTTTAAGGAGATTCTATTTTGGTGTGTTTCCAAAATTTGTTTCAATATTTAGAGCTACTTGTATCAGTTCTTGTGGTGCTGGCTTGGTAGTGGCAAATTCTCTCAGCATTTGTCTGTCTGAAAAAGACTATATTTTTCCTTCATTTATGAAGCTTAGTTTTTCTGGATATAAAATTCTTGGCTGATAATTGTTTTATTTACGGAGGCTAAAGATAAGATCCCAACCCCTTCTAGGTGGCAGGATTTCTGCTGAGAAATCTGCTGTTAATCTGACAGGTTATTATTTTTTATACGTTACTTAATTATTTTACTTCACAGTTCTTAAGATTCTTTCCTTCATCTTGACTTTATATAACCATGATGACTATTTTTGCAATAAATTTCCCAGGTGTTCTTTGAGTTTCTTGTATTTGGATGTCTAGCTCTCTAGCAAAGCTGGGGAAGTTTTCCTCAATTATTCCCTTGAATATGTTTTCCTTACTTGTAGATTTTTCTTCTTTCTCAGGAACACCAATTATTCTAATGTTTGATAATTTAACATTATCCCAAACCTCTTGGAGGCTTTGGTCATTTATTAAATTCTTTTTTCTTTGTCTTTGTCTGATTGCGTTAATTCAAAAGGCTTCTCTTTGAGCTCTGAAGTTCTTTCTTCTACTTGTTTGATTCTATTGCTGAGACTTTTCAGTGCATTTTGCAATTCATTTCCAGAAGCTGTGATTGTTTCTTATTTATTCTATCTTTTTCTCTGGAGATGTTTCCATTTATAGCCTGTATCCATTTTTTCATTTTTTTAAGCTGGACTTCACCTTTCTCTGGTGCTTCCTTGATTGGCTTAATAGTTGACCTTCTGAATTATTTTTCTTGCAATTCAGAGATTTGGTCTTGGTTTGGATCCATTGCTAGTGAGCCAGTGTGATCTTTTGGGGATGTTAACGAACGTTGTTATGTCATATTACCAAAGATTGTTTTTTTGGTTTCTTTTCATTTGGGTAGACTATGTCAGAGGGAAGATCTTGTACTCAAGGGGTGCTGTTCATATTCTTTTGTCCCATGGGGAGTTCTCTTAATGTGATTCTCTCCCCTTTCCCTTAGGGATAGAGCTTCCTGAGAGTCAAACTTCAGTGATGGTTACTTCTCTTCTGATTCCAACCACCCAGTGAAGCTATTGGGCTCTAGGCTGATACTGGGGAGTGTCTACGGAGTCCTTTGATGTGATCAGTTTTCAGGTCTCTCAGCCATGGATACCAGCACCTGCTCTGGTGGAGGTAGCAGGGAATTGAAGTGGACTCTGTGAGGGTCTTTTGTTGTATTTTTGTTAAACGCACTGGTTTTGTGTTAGTTGGCCTCCAGCCAGCAGGTGGTGCTTTCAAGAGTGAATCAGTTGTGGTAGTATAGGGATGATCAGGCAGTGGGCAGAACTATAGGGCTCCCAAGAGATTATGTTATTTGTCTTCAGAGTTCCTTGGCTGTCCCACAGAGTCTGCAGTGGCAGTCCACTTCCTTCAAAGGCTCTGTGTATTCTCTAGGCTGTCTTGGTATGTTCCTGTGGTAGTTCTTGGAGCAAAAGTTCGTAATGTGGGTCTCCAAATGCTGCTCTGTCCATCCAAGTGGGAGTTGCAAGTTAGTCTTGCCTCCTATCAACCATTTTCCCAGAAGTGAATCTTCTTTTTTTTTTCTTAGTCTAGCTAAAGGTTTGTCAATTTTCTTTAACTTTTCAAAAAAAATCAACTTTTTATTTTATTGATCTTTTATAATGTTTTCTTCATTTCAAATTTATGCTCTGATCTTTATTTTTTTTTTCTTTTACTAGTTTTGGGTTTGGTTTGATTTTGCATTTCTAGTTCTTTAAGATGCATTGTTAGATTGTTTGAAGTTTTTCCTCTTTTTTGATGTAGGCACTCATAAACTTCATTTTTAGTATTGCTTTTGCTGTATCCCATAGGTTTTGGTATGTTATGTTTCCATTATCATTTGTTTCAACAAATTTGTCAATTTTCTTCTTAATTTCTTCTTTGATCCACTGGCCATTCAGAGGCATATTGTTTAATTTTCATGTATTTCTATAGTTTCAAAAATCCCTACTTTCATTAATTTCTAGTTTTATTCCACTGTGTTCAGAGAAGATGCTTGAGAGTATTTCATTTTTTTTGTGAATGTTTAAGACTTGTTTCATCACCTTACATATGGTCTATCCTTGAGAAGGATTCATGTGCAGAGGAAAAGAATGTGCATTCTGCAGCTTTTGGATGAAATGTTCTGTAAATATCTGTTAGATCCATGTGGCCTATAGTGCAGATTAAGTCTGATGTTTCTTTTTTTTTATTTTCTTTCTAGAAGATCTGTTCAATACTGAAAGCAGGAGGGAGTGCAACTTGATGCAATCACTTTGATTAGTAATTTGATATTATCAGATTAATTTGAAAATATGTGTAGCCTATAAACTAGATATTTTGGTTATTGATACATGTCCTTGATTAACTTTTTGTACGTGTGTACCTGGAGATCTATCCAAGGACACAAATTGTAAAAGTGGAAAATTGGAGAACAAATAAATTACGGTTTACTTAATTGATGAACTACCTGACTCACTTATAATGAATGAGCTTAATCTAAACATATCAATAAAGGTAGTAATCAAAACATAATTTTGAGTAAAAACCAAGTTGCAGAAACAAATATAGATTGTGATAACATGTGTATAGTTTTTAAAAATATATATAGCAGGTCAAGTGTGTTGGCTCATGCATGCAATCCCAGCATGTTTGGAGGCTGCCGTGGGAGGAGATTGCTTAAGGTCAGTAATTTGTGTCCAGCCGTGGGAACATAGCAAGACATGATCTGTTAAAAAAACTGAAATAAATAAATAGCCAGACATTGTTGTGCATGACTTTAGTCCTAGCTAATCAAAAGGCTGAGACAAGAGGATTGTTTGAACCCAGGAGCTCTCCTGGGTCTCAAGCTTTTCAACTCACCCTACACACGTCTTGGGATTTGTCAACCTTTTTAATGGCATGAGCAATTTCTTAAAAAATCAAGATTTCACTCTTTCTCTCTCTCCCTCTCCCTCTCTCTCAGAATTTACAATGATATCTGAGAGACAGTATGTGTAAAATCAGAGAGAAAGTAAAAGCTATAAATAGATACAGGTAGCTAACTATATTTAATCTCTCTCTCTCTCTCTCTCTCTCTATGTATGTATTAGTCAGGGTTCTCTAGGGGGACAGAATGAATTTTATATATATATATGTGTATATATATGTGTATATATTTGTGTGTATATATATGTGTATATATATGTGTGTGTATATATATGTGTATATATATGTGTGTATATATATGTGTATATATATGTGTGTGTATATATGTGTGTATATATATGTGTGTATATATATATGTGTATATATATATATGGGAGATACATATGGGAGATAGACACACACACACACACACACACACACACACACACATTAACTTACATAATCACAAGGTCCCACAATAGGCTGTCTGCAAGCTGAGGAGCAAGGAGAGCCAGTCTGAGTCCCAAAACTGAAGAACTTGAAGTCCGATGTTCAAGGACAGGAAGCATCCACATGGGAGAAAGTTATAGGCTGGGAGACTAGGCCAGTCTAGTCTTCACATTTTTCTGCCTGCTTCATATTCTAGCTATGCTGGCAGCTAATTAGATGGTGCCCACCCAGATTAAGGGTGGATTTGCCTTTTCCAACCCACTGACTCAAATGTTAATCTCCTTTGGCAACACCTTCACAGACACACCTAGGATCAATACTTTGCATCCTTCATTCCAATCAAGTTGACACTCAGTATTAATCATCACGCTCTCTCTCTCTATATATATATAGAGAGAGAGAGAGAGAGAGAGAAATAGATAGGTATAATCTCTCCTATTGGTTTTGTTTCTCTAGAGAATCCTGACTAATACAGTAGGACATATGACATGATCATGAAAGAAGATGATTCAGGGGAATTAGGGAGGGAGGATTATGACATTGGTTAGGAGAACAGCAAAACTCCAACTTTACTTTTATGATATTTGTTTCCAAATAAAAAATTGAAACAAAAATTTAAAAAGTTAACTTCTTTATTATGCAAGAATATTTTATATTATTCTCTGTGTATTTCTGGATTTTAAAGATTTTCTTAAAAATGTTTCTCCACATAGTGTTTTATTGATAGTAAATTATAAATATTCTGTAATTTTCATTGTAATTTTTTATTTAACCTATAAGTTACTTAGCAGTGCATTTTGGGATTTTAAAAATTCTTAAATGTTAGCTTCTAATTCATTTACATCATGTTTAGTAACTTTGATGTGCATGTTACCTATTCTTAGAATTTTGTTAAGGTATTCTGGTATATACTCAGATTTGTAAATCTTCCTTGTGTAACTGAAGAAATGCTCTATTTGTTGAGCATTTGATAAAGCTTATTATATTTACATTTCTAGTATTTTATTTACTAATTTTTGTTTATCTGAGCTATCGGTTTCTTATGAAACTGTGATAACATTACCTACTATTTGTGTGTCTGTGTGTGTCTGTGTGTGTCTGTGTGTGTCTGTGTGTCAGGTTATCCATGGATCAATAATTGTTTTATCCTGTTTCTCTGTGAGCAGTAGGATATTTCCCATATGCATGGTCCAAACTCATCACTTTGATAATATTGCAAGTAGTAGAATAAAGGAAAGGAGAAAGACACGGGGTGTTTACTAACTTTAAGGATGCATCTCAGAAATTTCACGCCTTACTTCTTCTCATGTCTTTAGCCCAGACTTTGTTACATGACCACACATAGATGTAAATGAGACTGAGAAAGTTAGACTTTATTCTCGATAAGCATGTGTGGAGCTCACATTAGTGGTAGTAACACTAAGAGAGATGAGAATCTAGAATTTAAGTAGCAACTAGCAGTCTCTGTTGCAGTCATTTTGGTCAGGAGTTAACTGCTGTGATGAATGAATGCCAACTGTTTTTACTACTTTTGTCTTTTAGCTCAAGTAGAATTCCAGAGAGGGAACAGCTAATTGCACAGTATGTACTCATTCTTTTGCTAGGGGTGTGGGTGTAGGTGGATGCTGATTTCTTTTCCACCAGATTGCATCTAGTGGGGAAGAGGAAATTGATCAAAATGAAATTGGAGGGCTCTTAGAAATAATAAATGAATACTAAACAATTAATACCAGGATATATCTAATATAAGAACAGATAAAGTTATTAACCATAAAAAATTTGTTAAGCTACTACTATTCACCAAGGATGATGCTCTATGCTTAAAAAAAGTAAAGTGCCACTTCTATTGTCATAAAACTCATAATCTTATTCAGAAGCTCAGAGTTCTATAACATAAGGAATTTTATAAAGATAAGTAACTGATAATGTGAATAAACTGGACATGCATATTACGTGGCACAATGTAACCTCTGTAACCATTTTGTAAAGTCTATAGGGGAAAAACCACTTGGGTTTACTAGAAAATTCAGTTGACTCAATCCTCGAGCATTTTTTTTTCTCTGCAAATCATGTGTTATTTAGAGGCTTTTTAAAAAAATATATACACACTATATATTTTGCACTAGTTATTTTTTCCTTTTCTATCTTTTATTTTGAAATAGGTTGAGTAACGAAGTTGCAAAACTGGTACATCAAGCTTCATTTCCTCGAATGATAATAACTTACAAAATCACATTATACTGCTTGGGTTTCTTTTTGTAAAACATATTTTTATTGCTGAGAGTACATATATACAAATGTACACCTTAGCTGTCTATCCTACTTTTGTCTTATCATCATTCTCTGGCAAATTTTAATTACATTAGCTGGCATGGTTAGGAATGCAAGAGTTGCATATTATATTTCCTAATTATTAAGAGTTTTGAAAAGAAAATAAGTTAGTAAGATTTGGTTGTCCAGCCTGCAGCTTTTCCACTTAGTGCTCTCTCTCTCTCTCTCTCTCTCTCTCTGTGTGTGTGTGTGTGTGTGTGTGTGTGTGTGTGTGTGTGTGTGTAGACACAAAGAAAAAGAGAACGTTTACAAGCATCATTCTGGCATAACCTTCTCTAATTTTTAAAATACATACATTTTGACCTAGTTTTTGGAATAACTCTTTTTTTTCTTAAACCCAAACAAGGATGTGTAAGGGAAAATTATTTCAATTGGAACATAATAGGGACAGATGTTAAAAAATACCTAAATTTTATTAGTGCTTGCTCAATAGTTTGTGTGCTTCCAAGAATTACCAAGAATATCATTATTTATGCTTAGACTAAAATGAATAAAGGGATATTGGCTTATTGACTAAATAATCACAGTGAACAACCTACCCTGTTTTAGTAAACCATGGTCTGTGTCAGCAAATATGGCTAAGATTACAACTTAGATACTTGTGTGTTCACTGACTCCCTCACCAATTCATTAACTCACATACAGAGGGTGTGACTGGGAGAATAATGAAACCATAATATCTGATCTTTTTAAAAAATCTCCGTAGTTATTGAGGAACAGGTGGTGCTTGATTACATGAGTAAGCTCTTCAGTGGTGACTTGTGAAATTTTGGTGCATCCAGCACCCGGGCAGTATACACTGCACCCTATTGGTAGTCTTTGATCCTTCACCCCCTTCCCACCCTTTCTTCCTGAGTCCCCAGAGTCCATTGTGTCATTCTTATCCCTTTGCATCCTCATAGCTTAGCTTCTATTTATGAGTGAGAGCATATGATATTTTGTTTTCCATTTCTGAGTTACTTCACTTAGAATAACAGTCTCCAATCTCATCCAGGTCACTGTGAATGCCATTAATTCATTCCTTTTTATAGCTGTGTAGTGTTTCATTGTATATATATATATATATATATACCACAGTTTCTGTATCCATTCATTGATTGATGGGCATTTGGGTTGGTTCTACGCTTTTGCAATTGCAAATTGTGCCGCTGTAAACATGTGTGTGCAAGTATCTTTTTCATATAATGACTTCCTTTCCTCTGGGTAGATACCCAGTAGTGAGATTGCTGGGTCAAATGGTATTTCCACTTTTAGTTCTTTAAAGAATCTCCACACTGTTTTCCATAGTGGTTGTACTAGATTACATTCCTGCCAGGAGTGAAGAAGTGTTTCCTGTTCACCACAGCTACATCAATACCTACTATTTTTTTATTTTTTTGATTATGGTCATCTTGCAGGAGTAAGGTGGTATCACATCGTCGTTTTGATTTCCATTTCCCTGATTATTAGTGATGCTGAGCATTTTTTCATATGTCTGTTGGCCATTTGTATATCTTCTTTTGAGAATTGTCTATTCATGCCCTTAGCCCACTTTTTGATGGAATTGTTTGTTTTTTTTCTTGTTGATTTGTTTGTGTTCATTGTAAATTCTGGATATTAGTCCTTTGTCAGATGTATAGGTTGCAAATATTTTCTCCCGTTCTGTGGGTTGTCTGTTTACACTGCTGACTGTTCCTTTTGCTTTGCAAAAGTTTTTTGGTTTAATTAATTACCATCAATTTATCATTGTTTTTATTGCATTTGCTTTTGGGCTCTTGGTTATGAAATTATTGCCTAAGCCAATGTCTAGAAGGGTTTTCCAATGTCATTTTCTAGAATGTTTACAATTTCAGGTCTCAGATTTAAGTCCTTAATCAATCTTGTGTTGATTTTTCTATAAGGTAAGAGATGAGGATCCACGTTCACACTCCTACATGTGGCTAGCGAATCATCCCAGCACCATTTGCTGAATAGGGTGTCCTTTCCCTACTTTATGTTTTTGTTTCCTTTGTTGAAGATCAGTTGACTGTAAGTATTTCAGTTTATTTCTGGGTTCTCTATTCTGTTTCATTGGTCTATGTGCTTATTTTTATACCTGTACCATGTTGTTTTGGTGACTATGGCCTTATAGTATAGTTTGAAATAAAGTAATGTGATGCCTCCAGAATTTGTTCTTTTTGCTTAGTCTTGTTTTGGCTACGCAGGCTCCTTTTTGGTTCCATATGAAGTTGAGAATTGTTTTTTCTATTTCTGTGAAGAATGATGGTGGTATTTTGATGGGAATTGCAATAAGTTTGTTGATTGCTTTTGGCAGAATGATCATTTTCACAATATTAATTCTACCCATCCATGAGCATGGGATGCGTTCCCATTTGTTTGTATCATTTATTATTTCTTTCAGCAGTATTTTGTAGTTTTCCTTGTAGAGGTCTTTCATCTCCTTGATTAGGTATATTCCTAAGGATTTTAATTTTTTCCAGCTATTGTAAAAGGGGTTCACTTCTTGATTTGGACTCTCAACTTGATTGCTGTTGGTGTATACAAGAGCTACTGATTTGTGTACATTAATTTTGTATCCAGAAACTTTGCTGAATTCATTTATCAGTCCTAGGAGCTTTCTGGTGGAGTCTTTAGGGTTTTCGAAGTAATCGATCATATCGTCAGCAAACAGTGACAGTTTGACTTCCTCTTTACTGATTTGGATGCCCTTTATTTCTTACTCTTGTCTGATTGCTCCGGTTAGGCCTTCCAGTACTATGTTGAAGAGGAGTGGTGAGAGTGGATATTATTGTCTTGTTCCAGTTCTCAGAGGGAATGCTTTCAACATTTCCCCATTCAGTATAATGTTTGCTGTGGGTTTGTCATAGATGGCTTTTATTATATTAAGGTATGTTCATTGTATGCCGATTTTGCTGAGAATTTTAATCATAAAGCGATGCTGGATTTTGTTGAATGCTTTTTCTGCACCTATTGAGATGATCGTGTGATTTTTGTTTTTAATTCTGTTTATGTGGTTTATTGCATTTATTGACTTGCATATGTTAAATCATCCCTGCATCACCACTTGATCATAGTGGATTATCTTTTTGATATGTTGTTGAATTTGGTTAGCTAGTATTTTGTTAAGGATTTTAGAATCTATGTTCATCAGGGATATTGGTCTGTAGTTTTCTTTTTTGGTTATGTCCTTTCCTGGTTTTGGTATTAGGGTGAAACTGGCTTCATAGCATGATTTAGGGAGGGTTCCCTATTTCTCCATCTTGTGGAATAATGTCAACAGGATTGGTACCAATTACTCTTTGAATGTCTGGTAGACTTACTTTTTTGCTGGTAATTTTTAAATTACCATTTCAACCTCATTGCTTGTTATTGACCTGTTCAGGGTATCTAATTCTTCCTGATTTAAGCTAGGAGGGTTGTATGTTTTCAGGAATTTATCCATCTCTTCAAGGTTTTCTAGTTTATGTGCATAAAGGTGTTCATAGTAGCCTTGAATAATCTTTTGTATTTCTGTGGTGTCAGTTGTAATATCTCCCGTTTTGTTTCATATTGAGCTTATTTGGATTTTCTCTCTTCTTTCTTGGTTAATCTTGCTAATGGCCTATCAACTTTATTTATCTTTTCAAATAATCACCTTTTGTTTTATTTATCTTTTGTATTTTTTTTGTCTGTTTGTTTCAATTTTATTCAGTTCTGCTCTGATCTTGGTTATTTCCTTTATTCTGCTGGGTTTGGGTTTGGTTTCTTCTTATTTCTCTAGTTCCTTGAGGTTTCTCTAAACAATCTAGACCTTAGATTGTCTGTGCTCTTTCTGACTTTTTGATGTAGGTGTTTAAGGGTATGAACTTTCCTCTTAGCACCACCTTTGCTGTGTCCCAGATGTTTTGATAGGTCATGTCACTATTGTCATTTAGTTTGAAAGATTTTTTAATTTCCATCTTGAGTGCATTTTTGACCCACTGATCATTCAAAAGCAGGTTATTTAATTTCCATGTATTGGCATGGTTTTGAAGGTTCCTTTTGGAGCTGATTTCCAGTTTTATTCCACTGTGGTCAGAGAGAGTGCTTGATAAAATTGCAATTTTCTTCAATTTATTGAGACTAGTTTTGTGACCTATCATATGGTTTATCTTGAAGAAAGTTCCATGCACTGTTGAATAGAGTGTATATTCTGCAGTTCTTGGATGTGATGTTCTGTATATATTTTTAAGTCCATTTGTTCCAGGGTATAGTTTAAATCCATTGGTTCTTTGTTGACTTTCTGTATTGATAACCTGTCTAGTTCTATCAGTGGAATATTGAAGTCCCCTACTATTATTGTGTTGCTATCTATCTCATTTCTTAGGTCTATTAGTAATAGTTTTATAAATTTTAGCACTCCAGTGTTAGGTAGATATATATGTGTAGGATTGTGATATTTTCACATTGGACAAGGCCTTTTACCATTGTATAATGTCCCTCTTTGTCTCTCTTAACTGCTGTTGCTTTAAAGTTTGTCTTGCCTGATATAAGAATAGCTACCCCTGCTTGCTTTTGGTGTTCATTTGTGTGAAATGCCTTTTTCTACCCCTTTACTTTAAGTTTCTGTGAGTCCTTTTGTGTTAGCTGGGTCTCTTGAAGGCAGCGGACAGTGGTTGGTGACTTCTTATCCATTCTGCAATTCTGTCTTTTAAGTGTAGCATTTAGGCCATTTACATTCAATGTTAGTGTTGAGATGTGAGGTACCATTCCATTTATCTTACTATTTGTTGCCTGCATACATTTTTTGGTTGTTTTTTAAGTTGTATTTTATGTTTTATAGGTCCTCTGAGATTTATGCTTTAAAGAGTTTCTGTTTTCATGTGTTTCCAGAATTTGTTTCAAGATTTAGATCTCCTTTTTAGTGGTTGCTTGGTAGTGGTGAATTCTCTCAGCATTTGTTTGTCTGAAAAAGACTGTATTTTCCCTTCATATATGAATCTTAGTTTTGCTGGATACAAAATTCTTGGTTGATAATCGTTTTGTTTGGGGAGGCTTAAGATAGGGACCCAATTCCTTTTAGCTTGTAAGTTTTCTGCTGAGAAATCTGCTGTTAATCTGATAAGTTTTCTTTTATAGGTTTCCTCGTACTTTTGTCTCACAGCTCTTAAGATTCTTTCCTTTGTCTTAACTTTAGATAATGTGAAAATAGTGAGAGCTAGCACCTGGAATAGGTGTCTCTAGGTGATGATCTTTTGGGGATGAATTTCCCAGGTGTTCTTTGTGCTTCTTGTATTTGGATGTCTAGGTCTCTAGTGAGGCCAGGTAAGTTTTCCTCTATTATTCTCTCAAATATGTTTTCTACAATTTTAGATTTTTCTTCTTTCTCAGGAACACCGATTATTCTTAGGTTTGGTTATTTAACATAATCCCAGACTACTCAGAGGCTGTGTTCATATTTTCTTGTTCTTATTTCTTTGCTTTTGTTGAATTGGGTTAATTCAAATACATTGTCTTTGACCTCTGAATTTTTTCTTCTACTTGTTCAATTCTATTGCTGAGACTTTCCAGAACATATTTCCATTTCCATAAGCGTGTCCATTGTTTCCTGAAATTTTGATTGTTTTTTATTTATGCTATATATTTTCTTGAATGTTTCTCCCTTCACTTCTTATCATTTTTTGGATTTTCTTACATTGAGCTTTACCTTTCTCTGGTGCCTCCCTGATTAGCTTAATAACTAACCTCCTGAATTCTTTTTCAGATAAATCAGGGATTTCTTCTTGGTGTGGGTCCATTGCTGGTGAGCTAGTGTGAATTTTTGGAGGTGTTAAAGAACCTTGTTTTGTCCTATTACCAGGTTTGGTTTTCTGGTTTCTTCTTATTTGGGTAGGCTCTGTCAGAGGGAAGGTCTAGGGCTGAAGGCTGTTGTTCTGATTCTTTTGTCCCACAGGGTGTTCCCTTGATGCAGTACTCTCCCCTTTTACCTATAGATGTGGCTTCTTGAGAGCCAAGCTGCAGTGATTGTTATCTCCATTCTAAATCTAGCCACCTAGCAAGTCTACTAGGCTCCAGGCTGGTACTGGGCGTTGTCTGCACAGAGTCTTGTGATACGAACCACATGTGGGTCTCTCAGCTGTGGATAACAGCACCTGTTCCAGTGGAGGTGGCAGGGGGCTAAAATGGACTTAAGTTCTTAGCTTTGTTGGTTAAGGCACTATTTTTGTGCTGGTTGGCCTCCTGCCAGGAGGTGGCGCTTTCCAGAAAGTATCAGCTATGGTTGTATAGGGAGGAACAGGCGGTGGGCAGGACCCTAGAACTCCCAAGAACGTATGCCTTTTGTCTTTAGTTACGGGGTGGGTAGGACCATTATTGGGGGCCGAGCTAGACGTGTATGAGCTCAGACTCTCCTTGGGTGGGTCTTGCTGCAGCTGAGTATTTGGGGTGTCTCCCAGGTCCTGCAGGACCAATCTGCTTCCTTTAGTGGGTCTGTGAGTTCTCTCAGGTTTCCTGATTGATTCCTGCAGTCATTCTGGAGCAAATATTTATGATGCAAGACTCCACATGCTGCTCTGTCCATCTGAGTCAGAGCCGCTATCTAGTCCTGCCTGCCATCTGCCATAATCAAAATAGCTCGTCAATCCCTGACTTTTGATAACTGTATGAACCAGTAATTAATACATCCTTCTGTTGCTTGAAATGAGCTGACCACATTACTCTTTAGCTCCCCTAAAACCCTTCATAAGAATTTGATGCCAACCAAAGAAAATAGATATTATAATTAAGAAGATTTTCTAAATACTTGAGTAGCCAGAAGGTAGACTACAGTGATAGGTTTTGTCATTTGAAATGAGTGTAGTAATGAGGCCTATTTCCTATTGGTAGACTTTTGGCAAATATATACACAAAAGAAGTGATAAGATAAAATGAGTATAGGGAGAAATGTGACCATTTTAATTTATAATAACATAAATACAAAATATTAGCATATATAATAGTTTATTTATAGTAATATAAATATAAAATTACCAAATTTATAATTTTGTTCTGCCCTACGTATAGTATATATCAATACTTTTTAACCTGTACCTAGACTCTATTGCCTTTGAGAATTATAATTTTTCTTTGATAAGTATGCTTGCGAGTGTGTGTGCACCTGTGTGTGAGACAGAGAAGAGATAACAGTTAAACCTTTGATGATCATGAGAAATTAGATTAGAGAAAACCATATGTTTACTTCAAGTAAATGGAGCTTGGTGAGAGGAAGCCCATCTTTGACTTTTTTGCTAGAGATTTTATGCTCCTCACCCAAACATTTTTTCCACTTCATCCATGGCTGTAAGTTTTTATTCATAACTCAGATTGTTGGGAAATATATGTTTTCATGATATTGTGTCCTTTGAATTACACTTGGCAGTAGTGGTCGGGGTAATGGAGCCTGGAGAGAAAGCCCAATTCTTAGCTAGACTGAGGTTTCCCAATAGTTGAAAACTGGTACTGTATACTCTTTAAAAGGAGAATTCTCTTAATAGAGAGTAGAAAGACTAAACCTTGAAGCATAATAATAAGGCTAGGAACTATTGGAGCCCATGAATAATAAACACATGGAGGGAAGGGGGAGCAAGATGGCTGAATAGAAGCTTCTACCTAGCATCACCACTGTGGGAACACCAAATTATAACAGCAAACTACACACACAACAAGCACTGCCATAAGAACTGAAAATCAGATGAGCAATCATAGTACCTGGTTCTAACTTCATATCACTGAAAGAAGCACTGAAGAGGGTAGAAAAGACAGTCTGGAATCACCAACAACACTCATCCCCTAGCGGTGGCCACATGGCATAGAGAGAAAAACTGCGCACTTAGGAGAGGGAGAATACAGCAACTGGAGGGCTTGGCATTGAGCTCAGTGCTGACCTGTCACAGCAGACAGCAAAGCAGCGCTGGGCTCAGTTGGCATCCAACCACGAAGGGAGGATTTGCAGCATCCTTAGCCAGAGGGGAATTGACCATCTCAGTGGTCAGAACTTGAGTTTCAGCAAGACTCACCACCACAGGCTAAAGCGCTCTGGGGTCCTAGATAAACTTGCATGGAAGTCTGTAATTCCATAGGAATTACAGTTGTAATTACAGTTGTAATTCCATAGGAATTACAGTTGTAATTACAGTTGTAATTCCATAGGAATTACAGTTGTAATTACAGTTGTAATTCCTAGGGAAGTCCTAGTCCTGGGATGTGTTTAGAGCCAGAGAACTAGGACAGCACATGACCACCCCTCCCTTGACCCCAGGCAGTACAGCTTGCAGCAATGAAAGTGAATCTTTCATTCCACTTGAGGAAAGGAAAGTAAAGAGGAATTTTGCCTTGTATCTTGGAAACCAGCTCAGACTTAATAGGATAGGGCAATGAGCAGAGTCATGAGACACCAGGGGCTAGCTCTCAAATAACGTTTCTAGACACACTCTGGGCCACAAGGGAACCAAGTGCCTTGATAGGAAGGACCCAGTCCTGGCAAGATTTATCATCTTTTGACTAAAGAGCCCTTAGATCCTGAGTAACCAACAGCAATACACAGGTAGTATGCCATGAAACTTGGGTGAGACTCTTAAATGTGCTGGCTTAAAGGTGACACAAAGCACATTCTCAGCTTTGGTGGCTACAGTGAGAGACTCCTGCTTGAGAAGAGCGGAGATAAAAGTAAAACAGAATTTGTCTTGCACCTTAGGTATTAGCTAAGCCACAGTGAGGGGCTAAGCCAAGCAGGCTTCTGGGGTCCGCAAATACAACTATGCTCTTGGACAGGATTCCTGGACCTGACCTGGGCCAGAGGGAAGCCCACTTACCTAAAGGGTGAGTACCAGACCTGGCAGCATGCACTACAAGCTGACTCAAGAGCCACTGGCCTTTAAGTGAATATTGATGGTGACCTAGCAGAAACCCCCATAAGTTGGTGGTGGTGGTGGCTAATGGGAGAGGTTCTTATTCCCATAGAAAGGGGAGAGAAGAGTGGGATGGGGTTTGTCTTATGGTTTGAGAGCCAGTTTAGGTGCAGTAGAATAGAATATTTTGTAGATATCTAAGGTTCTTGACACAAATGCCTGGCTCTAAGAAGGATCTCTAGACCTACTCAGGGCTAGGGTAACCTTGCCACCATGAAGTGAAAGACCTGGCTGGCTTCCCTGCCTGCTCACTGTTGAACCCTAGAGCCTTGAGTGATCATAGGCTATAGCCAGATAGTGATTGCAGTAGGCCTTGGGTGAGACCCATTGCCATGTTGGCTTCAGGTCTGACTCAGAATAGTCCCTGTAGTGGTGGCCACAGGGGTGCTTGCATCACCCCAACTTCAGCTCCAGGTGACTCAACACAGAGAGAGAAACTCCATTATTTTGGGAGAAAGTAAGAGAAGAGAATAAGAGTCTCTGCTTGTTAATACAGATAATTATTCTGGATCTTACCCAAGACTACCAAGGCAGTGTTTCTAAGAGTCTGTCAGAACCACAGCATCATTCAGCTTGGGGCCCAAGTCTCTTTGAATACCTACAAAGTCTTCCCAAGAAACAGGGGCACAAACAAGCCCAGACTGTGAACACTGAAATAATACCTAACTCTTTAATGCTCAGAAACCAACAAACATCACAAGCATGAATATCATCAAGCAAAACCTGACTTCATCAAACTAACTAAATCAGGCACCAGGGACAAATCCTGGAGAAACAGTGATATATAGCATTTCAGACAGAGAGTTCAAAATAGCTGCTTCAAGGAAACTCAAAGAAATTCAAGAACATGCAGAGAAGGAATTCAGAATTCTATCAGATAAATTAAACAAAGAGATTTAAATACTTAATAAGAATCAAGCAGAAATTCTAGAGTTGAAAAGTACAATTGACATAGTGAGAAATTAATTCTTCTCTTAATAGAAAAATTGATCAAGGAGAAGAAAGCATTAGTGAGCTTGACCACAGGCTTTTTGAAAACACAGTCAGTAGAGACAAAAGAATAAAAAAAAGAAGCACCCCTAAAAGATTGAAAAGATATCTTCAAAATGGCAAATCTAAGAGTTATTGGTCTTAAAGAGGAGGCAGAGAAAGAGATGGGGTAGAAAGTTTATTTAATAGGATAATATCAGAAAATTTACCAAACATAAAGTAAGGCACCAAAATTCAAGTACAGAAAGTTTATAGAACACCAAGCAGATTTAATCCAAAGATGACTACCTCTATACATTTAATAATCAAACTCACAAAAGTCAAGGATAAAGAAAGGATCTTAAAAGCAGCAGAAAAAAACAAACAGATAACATACAAGGGAGCTTCAACACATCTAGCAGCAGATTTTTTGGTGGAAACATTACAGGCCAGGGGAGAGTAGTATGATATATTTAATGTGTTGAAGAAAAAAACTATAACCCTAAAATAGTATAGCTGGTGAAAATATCCTTCAAGTATGAAGGAGAATAAAAGTCATTTCCAGAAAAACAAAAGCTGAAGCATTTCATTAACACCAGTTATGTTCTACAAGAAATGCCAAAGGAAGCTCTCCAATCTGAAAGAAATGGACATTAATGAGAAATAAGAAATCATCTAAAGGTATAAAACCCACTGGTAATAGTAAGCACACACACACAAAAACACAAAAGAATATTACACTGTAATTGTAGTGTGTAAATTACTCTTAAGTAGAAAAACTAAAAAAAAGAACCCATCAAAAATTATAGTTACTACAACTTTACAAGACATAGATAGTACAGTAAGTTATAAATAGAAACAACAAAAAGTTAAAATGCAGGGGAATGAAGTTAAAAGTAGAATTTTTACTAGTTTTCTTTTGACTTGTTTATTAGTTTGTTTGTTGTTTGTGCAATCACTGTTAAGTAGTCATTAGTTTAAAATAATGGGTTATAAGATAGTATTTGCAAGCCTCATGGTAATCTTAAATTGTAAAACCTACAAGGATAAAAATTAAAAAGCATGAAATTAAATTATACCAGTAGGGGAAATCACCTTTACTAAAAGGAAGATAGGAAGGAAGGAAAGAAGGAAGAGAAGATCACAAAACAGCCAGAAAACACATATCAAAATGTCAGAAGTAAGTCCTTATTTATCAATAATAACATTGATTGTAAATGAACTAAACTCTCCCATCAAAAGCCATAGAGTGGCTGAATGAATAAAAAAACAAGACCCATTGATCTGTTGCCTACAGAAAACACACTTTACCTATGAAGACACACAAAGAGATGGAAAAAGCTGTTCCGCATCAACAGAAAGCAAAAAAGAGCAGAAGTAACATATGTATTTCAGAGAAATTGCATTTTAAGACAAGAACTATAAAAAGTGACAAGGTCATTATATAATGATAAAAGGAGTCAATTCAGCAAAAGGGCATAATAGTTGAACATATATATGCAGCCAAACTGGAGCACCCAAATATATATATTAAATATTATTAGAGATAGAGAGATAGACCATGATACAATAATATCTGGAGACTACAAGACCTTACTGTCAGCATTGGGCAGGTCTTCCAGACATAAAATCAACAAAGAAACATTGGACATAGTCTGCATGAGAACAAATAGATCTAATAATATTTACAGAACATTTCATCTAATGGCTGAATCATTCACATTTTTCTCCTCAGCACATGAATCACTCTCAAAGATAGGCCATATGTAGGTCACAAAACAAGTCTTAAAATATTCAAAAACAAAAATAATATCAAGCATCTTCTCTGACCTCAATGAAATAAAACTACATATCAACAACAAGAGGAATTTTAGAAAATATACAAATACATGGAAATTAAACAATCTGCTCCTGAATAACCAATGGATCAATGAAAAAATTAAGAATGAAATTTAAAAAATTTTTGAAACAATGGTAATGGAAACACAGCATACCAAAACCTGTAAGATTCAGTGAAAACTGTAGTAAGTGAGAACTTAATAGCTATTAGTGCCTACATCAAAAAATTGGAAAAACTTCAAATGAATAACCTAACAATGCATCTTCAAGCACTAGAGAAGTAAGAGCAAACCAAACCCAAAATTAGTAGAAGAAAGAAAATAATAAACATCAGAGCAGAAATACATGACACTGAAACAAAGAAAACAATACAAAAGCTCAATGGAGTAAAAAATTGGTTTCTTGAACAGATAAATAAAATTGGCAAACCCTATCCAGACTAAGAAAAAAAGAGGGACAATCTAAATAAATATAATCAGAGTTGAAAAAGGAGACATTTAAACTGAGGCCTCAGAAATTTAAAGGATCATTAGCAGCTACTGTGAGCAACTATATGCCAGTAAATTGGAAAATCTGGAGGAAATGGATAAATTCCTAGACACATACAACCTATCAAAATTGAAAAAAAAAATCCAAAACCTGAACAGACAAATAACAAGTAATGAGATCAAAGTTGTGATAAAAAGTCTCCCAGCAAAGGAATGTGCAGGACCCAATGGCTTCACTGCTGAATTCTACCAAACCATTAGAGCGAGTACCAGTCCTACTCAAACTATTCCAAAAAGTATTGGAGGGAATACTTCCAAACTTATTCTATGAGGCCTATATTACCCTGATTCCACAACCAGAAAAAGATACATCAAAGAAAACCACAAGCAAGTATCTCTGATGAATATTGATACGTCATATATACAATAATACATTAAAAAGATTATTCATCATGACCACATGTGATTTATTCCAGAGATGCAATAATGGTTCAACATATGTGAATTGACTAATGTAATACATCATATCAACAGAATTAAGAACCAAATCCACATGATCATTTCAATTGATTCTGAAAAAAAAATTGATAAAATTCAACATTCCATCACGATAAAAATCCTCAATATACTGGGTATAGGAGAAAAATACCTCAACATAATAACAACCATATATGACAGATCCACAGCTAATTTCATACTAAATGGGAAAAAACTGAAAGTCTTTTCTCTAAGATCTGGATCATGACAGGTATGCCCACTTTCATCACTGTTATTAAACATAGTACTGGAAATCTTAGCTACAGCAATCAGACAAGAAAAAGAAATAAAGGTCATCCAAATTGGAAAGGAAGAAGTCAAATTATCTTTGTTTACAGATGATATGATCTTATATTTGAAAAAAAAAAAACAAGTCCAGCAAAAAGCTGCTAAAACTGATCACCAAATTTAGTTGCAGGATGAAAAATCATTATTCAAATAGCAGCATTTCTACATGCCAACAGTGAGCAATTTGAAAAAAAAATAAAACAAGTAATTCCATTTACCATAGCCATGAATAAAATTAAATAAATAGGAACTAGCATATCCAAAGAAGTGAAAGATCTCTACAATGAAAATAAATTTTAAAAAACTGATGAATGAAATTGAAGAAGACACATGGAATAGAAAAATATTCCATGTTAACAAATTGGAAGAAACAACATTGTTAAAATGTTCATACTACTCAAAGCAATCTACATATTCAGTGCACAATCCCTATCAAAATACCAATGACAATCTTCACAGAAATAGAGAAAACAATCTTAAAATGTTTATGGAACCACAAAAGACCCAGAATAGCCAAAGCTAATTTGGGCAAAAAGAAGAAAACTAGATGAATTACATTACCTGACACCAAATTATGCTACAGAGGGATAGCAAAACAAACATAAATGAACAGAACAGGATAGAGAACCCAGAAACAAATCCATACACCTACAGTGAATGCATTTTTGACAAAGTTTCCAAAAACATACATTGGTTGCTGGGGAAACTGGATATCCATATACAGCAGAATGAAACTAAACACCTATCTGTTGCTATATACAAAAATCAAATAAAAATTGATTAAAGACTTAAATCTAATACCCCAAACTATAAAACTATTTTGTGAAAACATTGGGGAAAGTCTCCAGGACATTAGTCTGGGCAAAACATTTTGAGCAATACCCCACAAGCACAGGCAACCGAAGCAAAAATACACAAATGGGATCACATCAAGTTAAAAAGCTTCTGCACAGCAAAGGAAACAATCAACAAGGCAAAGGGACAACCCACAGAATGGGAGAAAATGTATGCAAACCACCCATCTTACAAGGGATTAATAACCAGAATATACAAGGAGCTCAAGTAACTAACTCTTTAGGAAAAAATCTAATAGTCTGATTAAAAAATGAGCAAAAGATTTGAATAGACATGTTTCAGAAGAAGACATTCAAATAGCAAACTAGTATATAAAATGGTGCTCAACATCGATTGTCAGAGAAATGTAAATCACAGCTGAAATGAGATATCGTCTCACCCCAGTTAAAGTCGCTTATATCCAAAAGACACATAAGAAAATATGCTGGCAAAGATGTGGAAAAAAAAGGGAATGCTTGTACACTGCTGATGGGAATGTAAATTAGTACGATCACTATGGAGAAGAGTTTGGGGGTTCCTCAAAAAAACAAAAACCAAGAGCTATAATCTTATGAGCATATGATCCAGCAATACCACTGTTAATTATACACCCGAAATGAAATCAATATATCAAAGGGATATCTGCACTTCCATGGTTGTCGCAGCACTGTTCACAATAGCCAAGATTTGGAAGCAACCTAAGTGTCATCAATAGAAAAACGGATAAAGAAAACGTGATACATATACACAATGGAGTACTATTCAGTCATGTGAAAGAATGAGATTCCGTCATTTTCAACAGCATGGATGGAACTGGAGATGATTATGTTTAGTGAAATAAGCCAGGCAAAAAGAGACAAATTTCACCTGTTTTCACTTATTTATAGGTGCTAAAATTTAAAACAATTGAACTCATGGAGGTAGAGAATAGAAGGATGGTTACCAGAGGCTGGGGAAAGTAGTTGGGGGGGAGGCGGGATGGCCAATGGATACCAAAAGTGATTAGAAAGAATGAATAAGACTATGTACTTGATAGTACAAGTGGGGTGAATATAGTCAATAATAATTTTATTATACATTTAAAAATAACTACAAGAGTTAATTGTATTTTTTGTAATACAAAAGAGAAACACTTGAGGGCATGGATAACCATTTATCATGATATGATTATTGTGTGTTGTATGACTGTGTAAGGGTATCTCATGTACCCCGTAAGTATATACATCTATTATGTACCCCCAAAATTAAAAATTAAAATAAGTAAATAAATAAATAACACACAAAGGGCTTAAGATACTTTTCATTTGAACTATTTGTATATGGTCATACTTAGTATACACTTTTACATTTTTCTTTCATATATTGTAATTTCCTTTTATTACCTGCAATTTTTATTAAAGTCTACTAATGTATGTTTTAAATACTTAGAACTACTTTATTGTGTAGATGTAATAAAGATTAAGTAAATGTTTCTACATCATCTCCTCCACATAAGCAAAAGTATTGGTAGCAGGGTGACATCAAGGAGTAAATTGTCCCAAATTTCCAGGCAGCACTATGCACCAAAACAAACAATGGTTATTCAGTGAAGGTAAGAGCAACAAGGAAGAATATATCGGATTGAGAAGCAGCTATTAAGTGGATAATTAAGGAAAGAGTAGAGGCAGAATTTTTTTTCCAGTTATACTAGGTGAAGGTGACTCTTGGTGGGGCTTGGGGAAGAGTTGACTTTGGATTACCAAATCTAGTCCTCCATATTCAGTAACTTCCTCAAATAAACTTAATTTAACGAAGACAGTGACACTCACAGTGATGCACCTTTTTGTGCTTTTTGAAGCTTCCCACAGTCAAGAATAAAATACTTTGTCTTATGAGTCAGTGAAACTGGCCCCAGGACTATCACCCCTATAATGGCAGCTTTGTGTCATGAAAAGAGCTGGGGACCAATGTATAAGGCAGAGTCCAAGGCTGCCTACTTTGTTCAGAACTGCGTTTTTGTCTTAATTCCTAGTTATGAGCTCAAAGAATTGTAGACTTTGGTGATATTAGCTGTGAACATGTACTAAATGATATTCAGGTGGCTAGGTGTGAATTCCTTTTTCTTTATGTACAAATCCCCTCCCTTGTTATGAACTTTGACACAAAACAGGACCCACTCATTCTTTTCAGTAGCCTTTGACCATTATTAATATATTCTGTATTGCCATTTGGGGTAAAACCAGGACTAATAAGAACCTAAATAATTAGTGCCTGAATTTAATTCAGTTCTTATTCTATGGTCTATGTTTGTGAGAAAGAAACAAACCACAGGAAAATAAGTCAACATCAGGATTTTATAAGTTTTGTTTATTTGTTTCTTCTATAGCCTTCTTGCTTTGGAGAGATCTGATTCAAAACTCTGCACTTTTTGTACTTAAAAACTCTTTGAGCAAAATATTTAATTTCCCACATAATATACCACCTACCAATCGTTCACCTTTACATTTCATCTTTTTAGTGCCTTCTCTTTCCCCCTCATAAAACACCAATAACACCGAGAGGATATGTGCCTTAAACTGGTTATTTTCTAACATCCCAATTATGAGGTATCTACTGAGTTAACATCCAGGTTAGGACAGAAGCTGGTTAGAAAATAGGCAGCTGGGTAGGGATGGGAGCATGCCAAAAAGAAGATGCCAGTGGGGGTCATGGGTATAGGAAAATAGCCAACGAGAAACTTGGTTTTCTTCATAGTTTTGTTGGCATCCAGGCCCTGTTTATATCAGCAAGAGCTAGTATAAGCAATGTCGAGTCTTCTGAGCATGTTGGCTCATATCTGTAATGTCAGCACTTTGAGAGGCCAAGGTGGGTGGATCATTTAAGCCCAGGAGTTTGTTTGAGACCAGTCTGGGCAACATGGCGAAGCTCCATCTCTACAAATAATATTTAAAAAACTAGCCAGGTGTAGTGATACACATCTGTAGTTCCAGCTGCTCAGAAGGCTGAAGTGGGGGGATCACTTCAGCCTGGGAGGTTGAGGCTGCAGAGTTGTAATCATTCCACTGCATTCCAGCCTGGGGGGCAGAGTGAGACACTGCCTCAAAAACAAACAAACAATAATAATAATAAAAAGGATGATCCTAAGGCAACTGATCAATTCCAATCCATTAATTAAAAAATTCAGTTTTGTTGGCTAGACAGTATTTATTAAGGTAAAAGGATGTATACATTACTTTCAGAACATGATTCTCAGCCGGGCGCAGTGCTCACGCCTATAATCCTAGCACTTTGGGAGACCGAGGCGGGCGGATCACAAGGTCAGGAGTTCGAGACCAGCCTGGCCAACATGGTGAAACCCCGTCTCTACTAAAAATACAAAAATAAGGCGGGTGTGGTGGCGCGCCTGTAGTCCCAGCTACTCGGGAGGCTGAGGCAGGAGAATTGCTTGAACCCAGGAGGCAGAGTTTGCAGTGAGCCAAGATCATGCCATTGCACTCCAGCCTGGGTGACAGAGCAAGACCCTGTCTCAAAAAAAAAAAAAAAAAAAAGACCCATAATCCTCAAGCCAATCCAAAAGAGACAATATAATTTGAAATGAATCTACATTAATATTGCTATTGCATTGGGGGACGGGTATATGATCTCTAAAATTTTTTTCTTCCCTTCTGCCACCACATAATGCATAAAATGTGTTTTAATATTAATTGCTCGGTATGTTTCTGCAGAAAATAGTTTAATAAATCCTACTCAACACCAAGTTACCATGTTCACTTTGAAATTCCATCATAAATAAGCCCTTGACAAAACATCGTACAAAGAAATGATCTATCACTGTGTAGTTTACACCATTTTTCCCATTCAGTATTTTATTTGAAATAGAACAAATATGTTAACATCTTCCACTTTTCAGATGATGATACTGCAACACAGAGAGACTTAGTAACTCATTCAAGTTTACTTGGCTGGTAATTAATAGAACCAGAGTTCAAACTTCAAATCTTTGACTCCAAATTTATCCTCTTTTCACCACACATTGCATTTTCTGTTAATGGTAAAAGATGATCGGAAGAAGAAACTTCAGGGTTTTTTTCTTTTTGATCAATATCAATTTTCCTAGGTTGGACCAGAGAGATAATGCCATTTTCAAAGTGAGATGACATTCTATAAAACCTACATGCAGGGCCTTCATTAACTAACTTGAACATACTCTGTTTTGAAAAAGAAAAGGCTAAGCAATGAACTTTGGAACTAAAGAACAAATGAGGAATATTGTCAGAAAGCAGCATCTACGTTAATTAGTGCCCCATCCTTAACTTTATCACAAAGGTTAAGTTTAACTAGGACCCTGTCCTTGATTTTTATTGTCATCTTGTGAAAACATCACCTGCTGTATAAGCCTCTTAAATTTACACTTGATTATGAAAGTCAAGCACACTTTCATTTACTGACAGCTACTGATGCTTCTAATGAAGTCAGGTGACTTTAGTTCAAATAAACAAATGATTATGGTTGACAGCAAGAGTGTAAACAAGTTCTAATTAAATTAATGAATATGCTCGCTGTTGTGGTTGTCTCATAGGACATAAAAACTTGTATTTGCTTATCAAGATATCCACACAATGGGAAAAAATGAATTTCCATGGTCAGAAAGTCAGTGCCCATAGGCCAGTGAGTAGGTAAAGGAGTAGAAATCACTGGCATTTCACCAGTTTATAGACTCATTCTACAGGTAGATGGATAGTTATAGTCTCTTGACCTTTTGAGCAAACTGCTCAAAACAGTGAGGACTAAAGTCAGGCTTGCATTATACTCACCCTTTGGTGTTGGGAAAAGAGCACATTACACAGCCCTGGTCATATATTCAAGTAAAATTATTGGGCTTTAAGCAAAAAAGAAGAATAAATGAATAAAAGTCTTCTGGGCATATAGATTTTAAAAAGAACACGTAACTTATAATGAAATGAAAATTATATTGTCATTAGATACTTTTACAATGCTTTATGGCCATAAGTAAATGGGATGACATATTTAAGGTGCTCACGAAAAGGAAATGTGGGCAAAGATTTTGCCTCCAGAAGAACTGACTTAAAGAGTAAAAAGCAAAAACTGTCATCAACATGTAAGAACTTGAAGAATATCTTTTTCAGATCACTTTCTGAGAAATCTGAAGAATAAGTTTCAAACAACAAAAATTACTGGGAGAGAGAGCAACAAATTTACCAGTGGTAATCATTTAATACATAAGGACCTGTGAAAGTGTGACTAAATGAAAAAAAGTATGTATGTAGATGGTTATATATTATATCAATGTAGATATAACACAATTACAAAATAAAATGAAGAGGATATGGGGAGATGACATATACAAAAATTTAAACATTTTCAATCACTGTATTGGAATGATAGTTTTAGTCTTGTTATTCTGAGACTGTTTTTATGTTATTGGATCAAGCAAATGAGCAATTGTGTGATAGTTCAATTCTATCATCTGCTGTGGTTTTGAGAAGCAGGGCTTTTCATGTAGAAAGAAGGAGATATAAAATAGTAAATAATAAATAGAAGCCTCATATTACTGCATTAGAATTGGAAGTACTAAAATGAAGTCACAAATAATTATGTACAGAGATGGAAAATTATATGTACAAGTCATATGTAAAATTCTGATACATGCATATTTCACATATTGTGAATATGTAATTTATATATAAGGTACATTGTCTATATAAATATTTATAATAGGTAATTATACTCTTACATATAACTTACATATGTTGATCCATATAACATATAAACTATATATGAGTATAATTATATATTATAAATATATAATTATATATATATATACACACATATATTATTTCCTATCTCTATCCATAGAAAAGGTCTAGAAACAATGGTCAACACTGTAGTGATGATCTTTAATACAATTTTCCACTAAAATAAAACAGGGCTTTTTGGAGAAATAGGTGATTCCATTTCTCTACACATAAAAGGTCTTGGATAGGAAGGGTACATGATAAGCTTATAATATGTAATTATATCAGATAACAAGAACGCCATAGGAATCTACTTTTGTTCTGTCAAATTGAACTCAGGAGCAAAATTAAAGAGGCTCCTACTGGGCAGAGATGGGACAATTTGAGCTTTAATAGAACTAGTAGTTAAAATGGTATGAAACCCATCAAATATATTTACATTCATAATTTCATAATGATATTAATACATAACAATTAGTAACCTAAATAACAGTTAAACACCTCATTTTCTGGTGAATAAAGGAAAAGACACAAGGATTTATCTTTCCTTTTCTATATTACCACTGGGTAACCAATTAGTATATTTGGAGCAGTGTCTTGTTATAAAAACATTGCAACTAATTTAAAAAGAAATGATAGAGTTAGAATATCACCGTATTGCAAAGGCAATGAATTCACAAGCATAGACATTGAGCATTAAGAGTGCCTAACAACAAAAAGAGAGATAGTAAGACCTTTTGTGTCTCCTGAGGAAAAACTACAATATGACTGGATTTTGCCAAAGAGGTAAAATTTGAGTCTTATCATGCATTTGGATCCAGTTGACAATTTTCAAGAAATATTAAAGAGAAAGGAATATATTAAACAGCACCATGAGAATGCATTGAACAAAATCTGGACTGTGGTAAACTACATGTCAAATTACCCAAGTTGTGCAACAGATAAATTTTAAAGGACATTTTATTTATTTATTTATTTATTTTTTATTTTTTTATGTACAGCTATAGCAAACTTTATTATTTTTTTATTTTATTATTATTATACTTTAAGTTTTAGGGTACATGTGCACAATGTGCAGGTTAGTTACATACGTGTACATGTGCCATGCTGGTGTGCTGCACCCACTAACTCGTCATTTAGCATTAGGTATATCTCCTAATGCTATCCCTCCCCCCTCCCCCCACCCCACAACAGTCCCCAGAGTGTGATGTTCCCCTTCCTGTGTCCATGTGTTCTCATTGTTCAATTCCCACCTATGAGTGAGAACATGCGGTGTTTGGTTTTTTGTCCTTGCAATAGTTTACTGAGAAGGATGATTTCCAATTTCATCCATGTCCCTACAAAGGACATGAACTCATCATTTTTTATGGCTGCATAGTATTCCATGGTGTATATGTGCCACATTTTCTTAATCCAGTCTATCATTGTTGGACATTTGGGTTGGTTCCAAGTCTTTGCTATTGTGAATAGTGCCACAATAAACATACGTGTGCATATGTCTTTATAGCAGCATGATTTATAGTCCTTTGGGTATATACCTTCAATAATGGGATGGCTGGGTCACATGGTATTTCTAGTTCTAGATCCCTGAGGAATCGCCACACTGACTTCCACAATGGTTGAACTAGTTTACAGTCCCACCAACAGTGTAAAAGTGTTCCTATTTCTCCACATCCTCTCCAGCACCTGTTGTTTCCTGACTTTTTAATGATTGCCATTCTAACTGGTGTGAGATGGTATCTCATTGTGGTTTTGATTTGCATTTCTCTGATGGCCAGTGATGGTGAGCATTTTTTCATGTGTTTTTTGGCTGCATAAATATCTTCTTTTGAGAAGTGTCTGTTCATATCCTTTGCCTACTTTTTGATGGGGTTGTTTGTTTTTTTCTTGTAAATTTGTTTGAGTTCATTGTAGATTCTGGATATTAGCCCTTTGTCAGATAAGTAGGTTGCAAAAATTTTCTCCCATTTTGTAGGTTGCCTGTTCACTCTGATGGTAGTTTCTTTTGCTGTGCAGAAGCTCTTTAGTTTAATTAGATCCCATTTGTCAATTTTGGCTTTTGTTGCCATTGCTTTTGGTGTTTTAGACATGAAGTCCTTGCCCATGCCTATGTCCTGAATGGTAATGCTTAGGTTTTCTTCTAGGGTTTTTATGGTTTTAGGTCTAACATTTAAGTCTTTAATCCATCTTGAATTAATTTTTGTATAAGGTGTAAGGAAGGGATCCAGTTTCAGCTTTCTACATATGGCTAGCCAGTTTTCCCAGCACCATTTATTAAATAGGGAATCCTTTCCCCATTGCTTGTTTTTCTCAGGTTTGTCAAAGACCAGATAGTTGTAGATATGCGGCGTTATTTCTGAGGACTCTGTTCTGTTCCATTGATCTATATCTCTGTTTTGGTACCAGTAACATGCTGCTTTGGTTACTGTAGCCTTGTAGTAAAGTTTGAAGTCAGGTAGTGTGATGCCTCCAGCTTTGTTCTTTTGGCTTAGGATTGACTTGGCGATGCGGGCTCTTTTTTGGTTCCATATGAACTTTAAAGTATTTAAATACTTTAAAATATTTCTTCCAATTCTGTGAAGAAAATCATTGGTAGCTTGATGGGGATGGCATTGAATCTATAAATTACCTTGGGTAGTATGGCCATTTTCACGATGTTGATTCTTCCTACCCATGAGCATGGAATGTTCTTCCATTTGTTTGTATCCTCTTTTATTTCCTTGAGCAGTGGTTTGTAGTTCTCCTTGAAGAGGTCCTTCACATCCCTTGTAAGTTGGATTCCTAGGTATTTTATTCTCTTTGAAGCAACTGTGAATGGGAGTTCACTCATGATTTGGCTCTCTGTTTGTCTGTTATTGGTGTATAAGAATGCTTGTGATTTTTGTACATTGATTTTGTATCCTGAGACTTTGCTGAAGTTGCTTATCAGCTTAAGGAGATTTTGGGCTGAGACAATGGGGTTTTCTGGATATACAATAAGGACTTTTTTTTTTAAATGAAGGAGAAACTTGTAGAATAAAATAGGCTTAAAGGACATATCAAGTATAAAAAATGGTAATGACTGAACAATGATGTCTAGCGATGCACCTTTGGATGATAAAAATGGAAAGAAGTGTGAGTAATTGTTTTACTTTTGTGGTTACTTTGGGGAGAAGGGGACAATGTGGTTAGGATGAGGAACATGGAGGGGCTACTGAGTTGATGTCTAAATTTTAGTTTTTGATTTGAGTGGTGGTTTATAAGGGTGTTTGCTTTATAATATTTTATTAAGTTACATTTGTGTGTAAATTTGTTTTCTATCTCTGTTTTATTTTACATTGAAATGGTTACTTAAAAAATGATGGCATTCTATGTGAATGCAACTCCAAAATATTATCAGATTGAGATCTTTAGAAATTAATTCGACGTAGCAGCAAATCTCAAACTAAAAGTTAAGTAGCAACCTCTAGGGCCAAAAGAAGAGATTTTGATGGAACAGGACACATGATTGGGTTCCCTAGAAGAAGACTCTGAGATAGAGACTGCAGGAGGTTTATTGGAGAGTGCTCTTTGGGTCTCCACCTGACAAAAGGAAAGAAAGGAAGCAAAACTGAGAAGAATAAGTTGGGCTGTAGTGTAGTATCAGGGAAGTCCTCAGGTGTCTTCATGGGAATTTTAGAATTTGCGATAGCCATTCAATGTTATACTACAGTAGACAAAGGGATCAGGGTTTTGTGTTTCTCCTTAATGGAGGACAAGCTGCTTTAGGGAGGACTGCATAGATTGGACACAGCCAAAACAATCCTGAAGTGGGCTGAAAGACGAGAGATGTCTGCTCACAACAGTCACAGAAGCTGAGGCATCTGAGTGGTAGAGCACTGCATCAACTACAGTGATTATTTCCTGCCTCTATCAGTATTTTTTTTCTGGCTTCTATATTTATCTGTCCCTAAACTATGCTACTAATTTTGCAAATACAAGGTTGTAAATCTCAGCATCCTTGCGATTTGGTGAAATCTTGTTTCCATTTTACAGATAAGGAAAAAAAAAAGCTCAGAAAGGTGAATAGTTATAGTAACACTGCATTGTAGTCTAACTTTGGGCCAGGCATACTACCTGCATTATTTCATTTCATTATTTCAATAGACTTATGAGTTAAGCACAGGTGGTTCCTTCATTTTACAGGTGAGGTAAATGAAAGCCATAGACGTTAAAAAATTATCCTGGTCAGTGGTGGAACCAGGATTCTAATGAAGTCTGTATGAACCCAACATTTTACTCTCAACCAATATGTTATACACCTCTGCAGAAATGGTCTAGACTCACAGAAGAAATAAAAGGCCAATTCAGGAATTTAACTCTGATTTCCTATCTCCAGATTTTCAGTCCCTCTCCTATAACTTGTCCAGTGTCCCATACCTTGAGAGAGGGCTTTATTTTAGAAGTTAATTAATGGTTGATGGTGATTTAATATATTACCACTCTTAACCAGCAAATAGGGATCTTCGATAACTTAAATAACTTCATTTAAAGAAATCACAAAGATAAACATTGTTTTCCAACTGATGGGCTACTAGAGAAAAATGTTTTGGGAGTATGGAGGCCTTTTGAATTCCTGAGATGCCACCAAGCATTCTGTGCCAATTCTTCTTATGCAGAGGTCAACTTCACAGGCCATAGAATAATTAAGGGAGTGCAGGGCATAATCAATAAGAAAAACTAAAAAAAAGATCAAAAGTCTTCAGTCTGGATGAAATGAAAATCAAAAGTGAATTATTCTAAAGTAAGTAAGAAGCAAGATTGTGTGGGAAAATGAGAGCAGACGTATCCCTTATGTCTCAGGGCATAAGAAATAAAGGGGAAATTTTTTAAGATTCAAGAGGTTAATTGGGACAAATAGAATGAAAGCATTACTCTAAACTCAAAGTAGCTAACCACCAAAACTTATTACATCTAAAAAAGCAGTATAGGCTGTCATAAATTGATTCAAGGTAATTTAAATAAATTTTTGGGTAAGAAATTTAGAATATGAGAATTGAGAGATAAGGCCTGAGTGTGAACTTGTGGACAATAACCCTATCCTTCCTTATGCTGTCCATTGGTATATCTGTCTCAGATGCAGTTCTGGACTATATGGACCATGGTCGCGATTCTTGCTATACATGGACTTCCTTTATCTTCCCTCAAAATACAAAACTTCTTGTGCTTAGGGCAGTTACCTCTGCTTGGCATGCCCTTTTCTTCACTTCTGTGTAGCTGGCTCCTCATTCTTCACATCTCAGTGTATTAACAACCTATTGCTCCCACCCAAGCCCTATCACTCTTTAACTACTTGCCTTCTTTTGTTCTCTTCAGAGCACAATCTTTGATTATCTTGTATCCTTTTTACTTGTTTGTGATCTGTTTCCTCAAGTAAAATGTAAGTTTTAGGAGGACAGGGCACTTAGGAGTTATGTTCACAATCATAGTGTGTCATCTAATCTAGTGATTAACATAGACATATATTTATTGAGCATATGAATGAGTGAATAAATAAATAGATGCTTCAAGAATCTCATTTTGAGTAAAGCAAAAATACTTCTTCCTAAAATAAAGGCAATCATTCAGAATTTAGTTCTTATTTTTGTGTTTGTTATAGTCTTGAGACTCATGCTTTTTTGTACTTTTTGCGATAACTAAGAAATCATTTCACGTATTACTGCACATGCACACACAAATAAAATGACAGAAATCATACTTTTGGTTTAGATGAAAAGTATTGGTGAGGTTAAGCAAATATGCATGCATTAGTTATGCATATTTGGCCCTAAGTGCTTTATGCAACAGTTTTTCTAGAACACTTATTTAAATCAACCACAAATTGACAACATCCAAGGCTCATCTGGCTGCTCAAGAACCTACACAGCTAGTGTATTACTGCAGAACATGTTGTAGTTCTTGGCAGTCTCTTCAAAGTACAATACCTGGAATGCCTAGGAAATCTGCTTCCCATAAGAATTCTTCCTGAATTGGAATAGACACCCAATTACTGTGGTTGCCAAAATGCATGCATCATCTGGTGGCAAAAGAGAGCGTTGTCAAGAGATAGTCCTTCAGTTTACAGCAAGTAACTAACTAAAAAACTAAGTAAAAAAGTAAACTAGGTAGAGTAAAATAAAAATGTTTCAACTTCTTTGCTGCCCCTTTCAGAGAATCACTTGAAGCTTTCATAAAAAGGCAGAAGGAAAGCAAGGTCTTGGGAGAGTGATAATATAAACCCAGTAAGCATCAGTATTTCAGTAAGTGTCCACAGTTAAAGGTTTTTTTTAATTACATGCCAGTTCATTCCTCTTTCAATCAAAATGTAAGGGTGGGCAAATACTTTAATTACTTTGTTCCTCAAATATGTTATATTCTACAGAGCATGAAGGAAAAAGTAATCAAGATGATATGTAGTAAATACATGTACAGAGATCTAAGTAAATGTGACTTGTGGTTTCGAGAGATTTCAATTGTTCAAAGTGAATTCTTATTTGCTCTTCTCCTTAGGATGGAGCAGCTGTGATTATTTATAAAGAGCAACATTGCAGTTTCTCCAGGTTGCTGCTCACGATAGACAACTCACAGAGCTTTTCAACTCACCAACAGTCATCTCAGGGCTGGTGTTGATGTGGACATGAATACTGAGAAAGAAATAGGCTTCAGAGAGATCTGCCTTCATAACTTTTTCAGTAACAAGCAGCTATACATGCTCCTGTGGGTTCCTTTGTTCTGTAGACTCTGCAGTCCCACGATGCAATTGGAGGGACCCTTAGCTCTTTAATGAAGTACACCCAGTGTGCAGTAGTGAGCACAAGATATTTTAGGCCCTGCTGTGTGGGTGTTAGCAACTAATTATGTGAAAATGGATCATTAAGAGTTAGCTGCGAAAAAATGCAAATCATTAGCAAGCTCCTTTGGTAAAGAAATGGTAGTACCCATCTGCTGAAGTTCAACCACTCAAGGAAGACGTTAGACAAAGTCTAATGGTAGGAATGGGACACAGGAATGGCAGGGAAATAGGATATAGAAAAGAGGTTTGACTTTTATAAAACTTATGTGTTTTATTTCTGCTTGTGCATTTTGCATCACTGAAGGGGTTAAGGGGTAAAGTAATTTATTTTTTTTTTTTGAGACGGAGTTTCACTCTTGTTGCCCAGGCTGGAGAGCAATGGCGCAATCTTGGCTCACTGCAACCTCCGCCTCGCAGGTTCAAGCGATTCTCCTGCCTCAGCCTCCCAAGTAGCTGGGACTACAGGCGCCCGCCACAACGCCCGGCTAATTTTTTGTATTTTTAGTAGAGACAGGGTTTCACCATGTTGGCCGGGCTGGTCTCGAACTCCTGACCTCAGTTGATCCACCTGCCTTAGCCTCCCAAAGTGCTGGGATTACAGGCTTGAGCCACCACGCCCAGCCAGTTAAGTAATTTTTATTTCAAATATTTTATGTACTTGGAACCAAATGCTAAAGTTCATGAAAAACTAAGATAAAATTATTTATAAATTTCAGAGACAATACATTGTTAACAGATCATCTTTTAGTCAAAGTGATGAAAAATGCAGGCAACTGTACTCTAAATTTAAAAGTTACAAGACATTTGCCAACATTGGACAATATACATGAGAGTAAGTGATGAATTTCTGCCCTGTTGTTACTCAATTTTGCTGCCCCTTTCAGAGAATCACTTGAAGCTTTCATAAAAAGGCAGAAGGAAAGCAAGGTCTTGGGAGAGTGATAATATAAACCCAGTAAGCATCAATATTTCAGTAAGTGTCCACAGTTAAAGATTTTTTTTAATTACATGCCAGTTCATTCCTCTTTCAATCAAAATGTAAGGGTGGGCAAATACTTTAATTACTTTGTTCCTCAAATATGTTATATTCTATAGAGCATGAAGGAAAAAGTAATCAAGATGATATGTAGTAAATACATGTGCCACTGATAAGACTGGTTGGAATGTTTTGTTCTGTGTAGTGAGAACTCTAAACCTAAGGACTTTGCTCTGGTGTGATGCAGAGCTTGAGTCTGAGCTTATTTCAGAATGTTACCAAGATGTCAAATGCTACTAGAGGCAACACTCTGACACTGGAGACATAACTTTTAAAAAGCACTCTCAAATGACTCCTTGGTGCATGTAAATCCAATGATACAACAAAAAGGGAACAGCATCAACTGCCTCAGTCCCCTAGGAGCATCAACCTCAATCCTTTTGAAAAAGTTTTATGCATCAAATACAAAACTAAATTTAGGAAGTTGGTGAAATAATTTTGTAGCTATCCCCATGTTGGACAAAACTCTAGGCCCAAAGACAGGTTTTGTCTCTGAATATTCATAGATTTTTCACTCAATGTGGAATCAGTCTGGGGTGAGAATAAAGAGCTCATTACATGTGAAGTGATACATGTTACACCAGTATAACAAATATGTGATAAACAGTCTTGTCCACTCATCTACATGGTATCTTCAGCAGCCGTGTCTGTACTGCCATCATTGGTGTTTTAATGATAAACTTAATTTTCCTCTTTTCCTTTGTTCTTTTCTCTATATTCCCAACACACACGTACACGCACGTGCACACACACACACACACACACACACACAAGAGAGAATATGTTTTTCCTAAGGATCAAGGCAGCTTTACTAACTTTCCCTTATTTTTTCTTAGATGTCGTAGGACAATTATTCTTTCCAGAAAACCTATCCTCAGAACGGTTTAGACTTTATCTCTCTGCTGTGCAGAACATAAATTAAAAGAATGAGAGTTGGTGCTAGGAGAGTTGCTGCACCTTCCAGAGAAGGAGAAGGCCTACTAAGTGATCATCAAGAGGCAGATGCTCTTTTTGTTTTATTACCATATAGAAGGAGCTGAATTTTTCACTTTGGTCCACAAATGCACAGCCTATTATCTAGACCATAGGGAGGAGAATTGGAGATTCTGCCTTACTGTAATGATGAGGAGCTTGAAGTTGGTGGTAATAATGTTGATGATGAGATTATTATCTTGATGACAATGAAGACATCAAAGACAAAAAGTGTCCAAGCCACTAAATGTTCAGTATTCTTATTAAACCACAGAGGCTGTTGGCAAAAGTGCAATTGGTCTAATTAATGACCGAATCGCTTCGTCTGCCTCTTATACAGATCTGCTTCTATTGTTTTTTTAAATTGGCTTCTTCCTTGGACTTCAGATTTAAGATCGTGGCTCTTACTTTCCCTTTCCTGAATCTCTGCTACCTGTCCCAGATGCTGCCTCTGGTAGTGTGCCCTAAATTCACACCCATCCCATGACCTGGGATGCTACTAGATTCTTCCTCTATCCATTTGTGCTCATCAGACTGAGAATGCTAATATTGCTTGTATTAATGTCAGTCTCTGCTTGGGAAAGTGTTTTCAAGATCCAATAATGTCAACCTCACGCATATGGTCAAAGGTTCACCTTGTATAATGTTGTTGATAAAGAACAACATTGCTTTTTCCTCCTGTAGTTGCATGCATGCCATTTCAGTGGCATTTCAGTTCACAGGACAGTTTCCTGGGAATTGTTATGTCTACATCTTTGGAGCCCAGAGCTCTACAATCAATCGCCATTGTGGAAAGATATATTGTAACTGTCGGAGCCAGTCTGCTAACTGTGTTGTGACTTTTCTGTTACCCCATCTATAAACCACAGGGTTTATACATGTCACCTCAGGAAGGTATTATGAGAGTTAATGAGCCAGAAGTTGTAAGGGGGATTTAGCCTGCCGGATAAAAGGTGCTGCTTAAGTATAGAGCATTCCCGTTTTATGTGACCTGATTCTTCAGGGCCAAAGCAACATATCAGGAAGTCACAGTGCTGCTATTAAAGGGCAGAGGGCACTATCAGTACATTCTCAATGTAAGGTGTAAACTCAGTCTCCAAAAGGAGCAGTTTGGGATTTTATAACTTACTGTTCAGTAGTGGCTCCTTTGCTGCAGCTGCCGCATCCCCTGCATGATAAAATTAGTCTCATTTTGCCCATTTTGTCCTTGGTTCCCTTGAAACAACATGTATTCCCTCAAAATCCTCTCTGGATGAAATGACTATGGTACAGAAATATAAGACGTACAAATACATCAGCTAAAATGGATGATAAGAGGACAAACCTGCAGGGCAAGTAGTGCCTCTGGCAGGTTTTTGCTGTTCCTTTTGAGATACAAAAGCAAGAAGACATCTGCAGCTAAGATGCATTAAAGGGTTTCTGTTATCACAACAGTGAGAGAAGGTACAGCAAGCCAAATGGGGCAAATGTGATATGCCACCTCCAAGTAGCATTGTAAGGTTTGTAGCACAGAAGAGACAAACACTCAGAATATGAGACCTTTCTAAAGACCTCACTTGGCTTACACTATTTAACACTGTGACAGTTCTGCAGGGCCTATTCTATTTGACTTGGGGTTCACTATCTGCTTAGTTGATCCCCTTATTGACCACATTACCTCTCATCTGCTCTGAGTTCAACCTTTTCTGTCCTCTACTGGCCACTATCAATAATGCCTCTCAAAAGGCTCCTGTTGAGGCACATAGAGCTTCACTGATGGGACATTTATTTATTAACATATTAAATTATTATATTTTCAATATATTCTTGCCCACCACCATTAAAGAAAAGTGTGCATTCATAATGGTATTAGCTGTGAGGGGCTTAGAATGCACTTAGTTTTGTTTGCAATTTCTACAGACACTTCTCACTTCCATAATAAAGCCTGTTTTGCTAACCAGGGGAAAAGACCATAAATATTCACAAATTTGGAAAAAAATATATTTTTTCTGAATAATGAAAGAAAAACCAGCATTAAGAAAATAAGGAAGTCACAGAACTGTGTTTCATGTTTGTTTGTTTTTTCCCCTCTGTGCAGGGTTCTTGCATTCTTTCCTTTACTTAGTCCTACCATCCTTGTAAGAGTAAGTAAAGCAGAAATAAAAGACTCCCTCTTGGTTTTCCCCCACTCTGAGATACCTTAAGGCTTACAGGATGATACTTTCTCCATTATAGCCAGTCGCTGTAAATCAGCTGTGTGAATAAGAACACCTGACTCCTTCTAGACCTGCATGTTTACTAAGTTTTACAAGCTGAAAAGCATTGGCTCTTGGGGTATTAGGGAGTGTTTTAACATTAAAACAGTTCTGCCTGATGCTGTGAATACAGCTACAAAAACACAAAAATCAGTTTTCTCCCTCCTTTGCCATGGAGCTGCAATTTTCCCCAGGAGCCTTTGACACTTTCTACTTTATGCACCAATTCCTCTGATAGTGTATAATCTCTTTCATATTCTTTTTTGAAATGTTTCTAATGTTCAACATTCATTTATGTTTCAGTGGGAAGACAACATAGTTATGCATGTTTTTCGGGATTAAGAGTATTTTACTCTCAATGATACATAGTTAAACCACTTTTGTTATTGCCTACATTCTGTCTCTGCTGCAGAGGCTGGGGAGATATCCATAGTGTTACCTCTCAATGCTTTAGGTTTCTATCCTGCTTTGAGGAAAGATTTCAGTCAGCTGTGATGTATATGGAATAGCAGAGTGGAACTTGTCTCTTTTTCAGAGCATGGGGCTTAGGGAACCTGATAAATGACTGAATTTTCAATGAGTCAAATATCAAGAAAGAAGCTGTTTCTTTCATTTTCCTTTGCACTAGTTAATTTGCAAAGGTGCTGATTTTTCTCTTCAGATTTATAAAGCCGAGGGACATATTTATGAAAAGGCACAAAAGAATCAGAAGACAGAAAACTAGCTAACTAAAAAGGAAGAGATGCATATATATCCTAACAGGTAAATTCTAGAGGGTGTTTAGGTTTGGTTTTGTTTTGCTTCTGTGGCTATTAAAGTTTGGATCTATAAAGGTGCCCTGTGCTTTTAACGTGCAGATCAAAGTCTTGATGGAGTTGTACCTTTGCTGCTTGGTGCTGTACATAAAACATCAGCAAAGCACTGTTATATTGTGCATGTAATTTCTTTGCTGCATTTAACTCAATTTGAGCATCAAGCCATTGGCTTGTATGTTTTTTATTTAAAATGTAAACAGAAAGAAGTGATCTTCCTGGAAAATAATGTACATGAAAGAAATGAGAGGTTACATACCATGTGTCTGAATACTACTCAAGCATCCACTGTAGTTCATAAAATGAAATCAGGGACCAATTTTCACCCGGAATTCTTGTCATTGAACAAAGAGAAAAAGCAGCTCTGGGTTGATTCATATTTTGGAATGTAAAGCTCTACAAGGATCTCAGATAGAGCTGTAAAATGTCCTTCCTAATCTGGAAGGAAGCATCTGTTGAAAAAGTAGTCATGGTACAGTACAAGAGGTTTCATGTTTTCTTTTCTTGATGTTTGGAAGCACAAATAAGAACTATTCATTATTTTTTAAACGAATTTATTTATATGACATTACCATGAATGTATGGACATGTTCTAGTGCCCACTAACTGTGTCCAAGAAAGAAGATATAAAATCAAACCCTTAACTCCATAACAACAGTGGTCAAATTTGGGACCTGCAGGGTGTGTTTCTTATTCAGTCTACATTCAGCTTTGCTTTCTCCCCTCTCTCCTGTGTTCCCCTTCACCCTCTCTCACTTTCTTCTTTCTTTCCCTTTCTTACTGTTGCATGTACATACTTATTCAACTCACTATCTTCTCAATGACCTTGAAACTAGTTCATTAACTGGAGTTCACAGATACAGGTAAGCAAAACAACATTAAGGGAATGAACAGAATACACAAAATAGATTGCTCATAGTCATTGTTCTAACAAAATTTTCAATTTTCTTCTGTTTTCTATTCATATTACCAAGTCTCTGTTATTATAACTCCTGAGGTACACCAACTATATGTCTGTTTGTGAGGGTAGATGATGAGAACTGATTTAGGGGACAAAGCCTATTATAAGTCTATCGGCATTCAGTTAAATGTTGCCAATAAGATAATTCATGGAAATCTGTTAGCACAATTCCTAGCACATGATAAGCATGCAGTAAATGGTAGTAGTTGTTTTTGTTACTGCTGCTGTTTTTTAGGTTTTCATTTTATTCTCCAAAATATAACATTTTTATTAGAGGCTCTTGGAGAAAAAAAGTAAAGGCTATTTATAGACTTACTAGTCTGTTACGTACAGTTGCTCTCCTCATCCATTGGACAGGCCCCTTTACAGTTCTTCATTAGTGAAATTACTGAAGACTTGTATGCACAGCCTGCTTTTCTCTTCCCCATTCACACATTTGCTCTATTGCCGTTCTATTTTCTCATCATAGGCTTCATCGTGTCAGAGGTGAGATGGCAAGTCTAGACAATATACAAGGAAATTTTCTTAAGTCCTCAGACTTAAAACATTGCTTTATTTCTTATCAAACTCTCATTTAAATAAGTAGAAACCTTTCCCAAACGTCTTGATGTTTATTTTAAATTAAATATTAAATTTAACAATTAGTAATCTTGATGCTAAAAACATTAAACACTGGTAGGTTTTTGTTTGTTTCGTTTTTTCATGAAAAATCTTCTTAGTAACTAGAACACCTAGGAAAATATGATCCACAGGGTTCATTCAACTGAACCAGAAAGTTAGGATCTCTAAGAAAATTAAGGTTACTCTGAGGTTCAAATAAATTCACACTAAGAAGTCCATATATCATTTTATGCTGCTCTGTGTCAAATTACTTTTGAATATGTGGTAGAAATCCATAAGGGCTTCTACAAAATAATATCCTGTGCATATGTATCCAGCATTTTTTGGCTGAAAGCTAACCTTGCATTTAGCTCAAGTATTTCTGTAATAAACAAAAGGTCTTAAGATTATAAAAATGTTGTACTTATGCTAACTAATCAGAGGAGACTTCAAGAGGAACATTTTGGCTACATTTCCACTGGTGTCTAACTATGAGTATTGGTGTTCTTTCCCTGAGTACTTACCTCAGAAAACATACACTTAATTTTTGCAATATTGATTTTTGTGTTGGGGTTTGTTTTACACACCATGAAAAGGAAAGCATTGGGCAAAATATTAAAAATAATCAGTGGGTTTGATTTGTCTTAAGTAGAAGGCTTTACAGTAGTTATCCCTGTACTCAACAAATCTGCTTATTAAATATGGTCTGTTATAAATTAACTTCTACAAAACTCAAGGCTTTCTAGGTTTTCACTAGCCCTTTGTCCCTTTGAGAATAAAACTGGGCAACAGAACCAGAAAGTGTGGCTTCTAATGGATGGAATAAAGGGATTTTTTAAGTAGAATTTAACTGGGATCAGCATTCTCTTGACTCTTGCTATTGAATTTCTTTTAATTGCCTTCTTCTTTCTTTTCTCATATGAGGAGCTGATGTAAGGTGAGCCTATGAGAGAAAATGTCTTCTTTACTTCCCACCCCAGCGTTAGACTAAGCAAGAACCAAGGAAGGCCCAAGGAAAAAGTAGAGTAGGAGGCTACTGTCTTTTTTTTTCTTTTTTCCATTGGTTTCAACCAATATTTATTGTGTACCAACTATGTGCCAAAAACTTATCTAGGCACTGAGATATAGCAGTGAACAAGATCACCAGGGCCTTCGCTTTTCTGAAGCTTAAAGAATACTTAGGAAGATGGGCAAGCCAAATGCTTCTACTCTAGTCCTGAAGCTAGAGAGAAAAATAAAAAATAAAAAAAAAAAGGATGTCAATGCTCACATTTAGTCTTAAGCTAGTTGGAGTTCAAAAAATTTTCAACTGGTATTAAGTATTTATTTGCCTATATTTATTTCTTAGTACTTTATTGTTGTAAGGGGAAAACTAGCTATCTCCAGTAACTCTAGGACAGTGGTCAAAAATTTGGGCAGTTTGGATCTTGGCTCTTTTTCTGAAGAATATTGTGACTATGAGTGATGGCTCTGCACCTGCTGAGATTAAAAAGAGTAAATGGGCACCTCCTTTCCTTCTCATGAGGATGTACAGAAGAGCAGTGGTTGAACAGAGGCATCTCATTTTTATGCTTCTAGGGGCTTCTGCTTGTCCTACCTCTGGCCCACATGGTGCTCCCAATCAAGGTAATATGAAAAACAAATGTTTAAAAAATTGTTTAACACTTTAGGACAACTTTTTTTTATTACAAGAGAGAATGGGATTTTATAGACGTATTTTGTTTAGTTTCATTCTTTCTGTTGCTTCTTTTAATTTTTTCTATAAAAAGCAGATTTTAGGAACTAAACAAGGGTCAGATGTATCTTTAATTTTTTTAGAGCATCATTCTCATGTTTTATTGCCCTCTTTTTCATTTCTTTAAATTCTACCTTCTTGCTTGTATTGTTTTGTTATTTTATGTTTCTTTGCACTTAGATATCAGAGGCACCTAAGTAAAGATTGTTTTTTCTAGAACTTGTTCATATGAAATAGTTGTAATATTAGCACAGGCCCTTTATTCTTTTTGGTCACAAATATGAGGACTTCAGTGATACTCTCCTTACTCCTGCATCAACTATTTTTATATTTTAAGCAAGAAATCTTAGTTTTCAAAACACATAAGTTTCATTCCTTTAAGTTTCCTAATTTTGAACATATTACTTTTCTCATCAGGCTAAAAATGTGAAACTGTTTTATGGGGAATTAAAAATTTCTATAAAAATGTCATTATTTTCTGTGGCTCAATCATTAGATAATTTACTGCGTGACTTAATTTGGCTCTTTTTCCTATTTGGCTTGCTTTGAAAAACAGTAAGAATATGGTCCTTTTTCAATTGCTAATATAAATAATGCAATTTTGATTTAAATTTCATAAGGCCCACTTGTATGTTCACAGTCGCAGCAAACAAATAAAATAAACAGCCAGGAAGACGAGATAGTCTTCTACATATTCAAGTTTGAGACATGTTACTAGGTGCCCATAACCAGTAGTATCTCCACAAGTGCCTGAAATTTCCACTACATTTCATTCTTTCAATCAATGATATTTTTATTAAATTTGGCACTTACTCTGTGCCTTTAGTGATTATAAATTTTGGAGAAAATACAAAGAAAGCTCAGAGTCTAGTAAGGCAGAGAGAGAGAGGTAAACAAGTAATAACGATTCAACAGTGTAATTACTATGATATAGGAATAAGGAAGGGTTTTTCAGGTCATGGATGGGTGGTGGAAAAAAGGAGGTTGTGGGGCTTTTCACAGGAAAATATTTGGATAACTTTATTCATATACTTTGCTGACTTAAGTGACATACCTATAGTTCCTCACTCAACCTTACCCTGACCTCATTTAATTAGTGCTAAATATATTAAAAACTATTACCCAAATATTTTCTTCATATTAAAAGTTCTAAGTTACATGTTACCTAGAGAAACATGCAGTTAAGATTACCCCAAAGGTGGAAATCAACAATCTTACATTTAAAGAAGTCTTTAGAGTTTAAATATATCAATGGAGTACAGTGCTATTAAAGACTTCAGTTTTATGGCTTCCTCAACTCATGACCCCATTAATGTTCTACTCTCTCCTATTGTGAAGCTTGTATTAAGATCTGGCAGGGTTATGTGATGGAGGATGGGTGTGAGACGATATTTGCTTTTGAAACTCAATAGCCTTACTCATCTAAAGAATGCAGTTTTCATTTAATACCAGTAAAAGATACTTTGTGCTGTTTTTTCAGTTGTACATATCACATTTGAGATAAAACTGAGCTCTATACAGACAGAGACCATGTATTATACAGTACTTATTTTTACCCTTCACAGATTGTGTCACAGTCACTTATACATAGTAGACTTGCAAAAATACCTGTTGTTTTTGGATAGCAACCCAAGAAGTATGATATAGAAATAGATTGACTTAAAGATGTGGTCTAAGAGCACAATGAAAAAAAAAAAATAGCTGCCAAGTTTGTCCTTTGAAAATATGGAGGCAATATTTTGAATATTCCAAGATTCATATTTAGGTTCGTCACATACTAACAAGAAATCTTTACGCTCCATCCACTAGAGGGCAATCAATACATTAGGCACTGACACTTACCCCCACCCTGACCTGGAACCTAGTAACTTTAAGAGGATTAGGTAGACACAAAGAAGAGGGAAATATGCATGGAACTCTTCTCATCAAAAATAGCATTGTAGTCTCTTTTGGACTCCCTTCATTGATAGTGGGCCTGGAAAAAAAACTAGACTCTTCCTTTTGGTGTTACAACTAAGTTTCTTCCAGACACTTAAGAAAACTCACAAGTAAATAAGCCTACCACCTGAGGGAAATGAGATTTCCCTCTAAAGCAGCATTTGAGTTTGTCATACAGTTCATGTGTCTGCCGCTTCTGAGAGGAGGCAATGGTAATACATATACAGAAAAAATGCTGGGCAACCTATCTTGGCGATTAGACGTTTTCTCTTCAGATGACTTTCTATGATAACATCTCACTAGCTTTTGCTAAGATTGACATCATGAATACAAAAATAGTTTAGAGACATTAATTTTAATGCTTTCATGATTGATAAAATACTGAAAGAACTAGTAATCAGGAAAGTACACATGATCTTGTTGTTATTACAGGCAGTAATCACATCAAACATGGTTGACCCTGTGGACAGTTTTTCTGGAGACTTCAGTAAATTTGTGACTCTTCTACTGATTCATTGTAGGGGTAAAGTCCCAAATAGGTTGTGGGTCACTAATTCCTCTTCTGTAAATGGATACAATAATATTTTTCCATCTCACTCATAGGCTTTATGAAATTCACAAAAGTCACAAAATATTTTGAGGTTTGTAGGAATGCCAAGGAGGTATCTTTCTTCAGTGTTGGCTATGAAATCATATGTGCACATAAGATTTTTTTTTAATCATTGACTTATTATGAAATAGTAGATGTGTTCTTCCACAAATACTATGCACCGTGATATAGCAAATATCTCTTAGGAATTTAGCAAATCTTTTAAGTGTGTGTGTTTAAAGTATATTAAATATACTTAAAAATAAAAAGTAATCATAATTCTCAAAATATTTTGTAAGATTATGGTGGTAGAATCTATGGAAATTGCTTTGTGAGACAAGTTCTTTATGATTTTTTGACTTAGTGACAGTGTTCCTTCATCCTGAGCCTGTTTACACTTTCCTAGGTATCTTAGGACTCCTTTCTTGGGGAATGGCTGCTAGATTTAATGCAGAAACCTAGTTTCCTAGTTTCCACTGGTGCAATATGAATCTGTAAGCTCCAGCTTTTCTCTGGACTTAGCTTATCTAATATTTAGAATTATAGGTGTGTGCTAAAACATCTACTATGCACCCATTCCCCATTTACTCAATGTTTCTAATTTTAAATCTAAGGTAAGCCTTCTAATTTTATTTCTAAGGTAAATGAATATATTATTTTTTGACACTTCCACTATTGCTTCTACACAGTGACTGCTTTCTAAATAGATTTAAGCTCCCAGCTTAACATAAAGTTTACAAAGAGGGAGGAATAGGTGTTTGTGTAATACCAAAATAATCACTGGCTTTACGATCAGACCCACGAATTTACTCAGCACTATGCTTTACTAACTGAGTGAACTTGGGAAAGTGCCTAGCCTTTCTGAGCATCTTGTCCCTCATTTTAAAATGAGGATTATAACACCATTGCATATATATGTATGTTTGGTATATCACAGGGTTTAAAAACATACAACAGATAATAAATGGTGAATTCTTTCCCTTTGCTAAACCCACATGTGCAACTATCTCAACAAAGGTTTTGTTTGCCTGTCAGTCCTTTTCTATCCCCACATTCACTGTCCCATAAAACCTTAGGCAAAATTTAAAATTGCCTCATATCTTTTTTCTTCTTCTTCAAAACAAACAAACAAACAACAAAAACATGTTATTGGCTGTCAACAAAAAATAAATGACTGCAAGACAGAAAATCCACTCCTCTTCATTTTTTTGTACTTATTTTGCTTAATTGTACAGACTTTATTAAATATCTGTAATGTACAAAAAAAACCACCATGCCAGGCTCAGGACAAAAAGAAACATTTTCCCCTGCCATTGCAGGAGGTCTTGATCTACTAAGGAAAGTTGACATCTGCATTGTGACTGGTTCAAGATATACTGGAGTTAAGCATTGTCATATGAGTGCAAATAAAGTGTTTTAAGAGTATGTATCTTCATCCATTTTTAATTTTCAGTGGTGTAAATCTGTGGAGAGCCAGAAATCAGGCTTTCTTTTCAATTAGAGACACAGAAATTACTATTAGGAGTTAGACAAACATAAGGTTGCTTCAGCACCTTTCTATAATTAGTGCTTTACATTTTAGTAAAATTACCTATAAAGCATAATATTCTTGTAGTGTGATACACTCTTCCATTAATTTTAAGACAATGTAGTCTCTCGACCATATTCCCCTGAGTGTCTGAAAACACACTGCCTTCTTCTCAGCAGATGCCTCTGTTGCAGTGAGTAGGCAATGTAGCATATTCCTATCTGTTCCCACAGTCACCATTAGCTGAAAGGGACAATTCTTAATGTGTAAAGCTAGCGATAGCCTTAGGGATGAGGGAGACAGTAATCAAATCTGAGCAGTAATCCAGGGAACAGCAGTAGGTGGCACTGAGGGTGTTTAGGCTGTCAGCTACTTATACTACACTGGCAGCTTCCAGAACTGGCCTGGATTTTAAGAGTTCCAGAGAGTGCAGCTTCTTTTTAGCATTCACAACTTTTTTCATGCTACACTGAAAAAAACGTAGCTAAATTTAGGTGCTTTTAGTATTTTTTCATACCTTTATGTATTACTAGTCCACTGCTTTGAGTTTAAACGGAAGGGAGAGTGCTTAGAAATTTTGTTTTATTTTGGTTTGGGTTTCTGCCTGCCCTCACCAGGAATTTACTTTTATAATAAAAATGTTTTGCATGTAACACTTCACATAAATTTGACGCTGTTGGACCATTATACAAGAAACTTAAACTTTTTTTTTTTAAACTTAAGAAATTGCTGAGAAAAACATGTATCTAAATAATATGCATAGATCTTCATCTATAAGTATGTATGCATTTCCACATGTATTTGAAAAAAAGTATTTTCAGGCCAAAGAGATTTCTCTCCCAATACTTGATGGTATGTTGATAGTATTTACAAGTCTTGGAGGAGGTCATATGGATTCTTACCAAACTTTTCCTGATGACTGGCTATATGGGCCTTAGTTTCCTATCTGATCATAGTAATTTTTGGCTTAGTTGCCTCATTGGGTTGTTGTAAAGATCAACCAGGAAATGTTTGTAAAAATGTTTGGAAAATGTATGTCTCTGAATAAAATGGTCAGACAGAAAAGGAACATCTACCTTGTGCCAGGCAATTATATTTTGCCACCCTGTATAACAGTCCTCTAAAGTAAGTGTTGTTATCTTCATTCACAGTGAGGAATTCATAGTGTAACTCGTGTTAGTTTATACAACTAGTAGATGAATGAGGTAGGTTTTGACCCAGATAGAGCTGATTCTAAAGCTAGCTAATACTCACTCCTAGCAACCAAAAAAAAATAACTGTTTTTGAAGAGAAAAATAAAAGCTACTTTCTTACTGACCATTACTAAACTTTGATCTCTCTTGTTTTTGGTGGCAGTATAGCAGGGAGTAGGTGATATTTGGTTTGGCTGTTATTCAAATGGGAGTTTAGCTTCAGAGGGTATTATGGTTATGTAATGCATACAAAATTAAGATCAAAATGTGCAGATTAAGATACGATAGAGACGTAACAATGGCACAATGCCTAGCATGCCTTCATTTATAGAGGGATGGTGAAGTAGAACTTCTCAGCATATCAACTTATCCACCACAAAAGCATTTTTCTCTTTAAAAACCATGCTTACACACACACACACGCATATACATGCAGACACACATGGATTTCAGATGTGTGCATGTGATTGCCCTGAAAAAAGTGACCAATGCAATAAAGAATAAAAATAGGCTTTTTAATGTAGCTCATCATTTTTTATATTAAGTGCAATAATTATAAACAAGGCTTTTTTGAACAAATAGTGTGTCACATCTACAGTATCATAGCGATACTAAAACACAGTGGCTGTGTGTTCTCAACATTAGCAAGCTACATTCAAAAATACCTTCTAAATATATGCATGTTGCCAATGAGTGGGATAGCAAGAAAGCCGAAGATGAAGAGTTTTAAAAAGCAACAGAAAAACTATCCTCAAACATTTATCATTTCTTTGTGCTAATTACTCTGATTTAATCATTGCACATTTTATACATGTGTAGAAATATCACATTGTACCCCATAAATATCTATCATTATTATGTGTCAATTAAAAATAATAGTAAAAGCCAAAAAAAAAATCCTGTCCTTATTTTCCTGAGATCCAAAAGCAAGGAGAAACCTGAAATTTTCATTTCATGTATAGCGTCTCAGTATACGAGGCTAAGAGTATTAATTTGCAGAGGGCCTCTAGATTCTTGTCAGAGATTTTGCCTCTTTGGGCTGATTTTTTTGTTCTCTTAAGTGGGGAATAAGCACGTACAAAGAACATCATTCTTAAGCATTTCACTTCATCAGAATTCATTAGAGCAGATTTGAAGGTTTCATTATTCTTTAAGAGTACATTAATAAAACCACCACATACTTATTTTTAATACTATGTATATAAATTATTCTGACAGTCAGTTGCAAAGCCAACATTTCAATCCTGAAATTAAAAATATACTAGGACAAATTATTATGTTCCAGCCACCACAGGCCAAGCTGAACAATATACTCTCTGCTTGGAACTCAGGACAGAACTATCCCACAGATCAAAAATAATAGTGACCACTAAAGTGGCAAGAAGCTAGAGCCTAATTGGCATCTGAATAAAAATTATGCATTTCTATATATCAAATGTTGTTTCTTTCTAGCCCTGTGGTTTACTATTCCTTTCACAAGTACCCTCCCAAAAGCAAACTTTCAGCTATGTAACTTGCTTTAGGAGTGTCCATTTGTGAAAATCCTGACACAGTGCTTACAGCTTAGACAATGCAGAATTGTCAATGGCAATCTTTTTGCCTTTTGTTTCCCTCCGTGTGTGTGTGACAAACCAGATTAAAAATATTTAGAATCAAAGACTGTTGCTAACTTCTTGCTCCATGAAGTAACATTCCAAACTAGGTTGCATCAGTTCTCAAGGCCTAATCTAGCTTTCCCCTGTGGCTCCTGGTGCCTGAGGGAGAGACACTGTATCTGTTCCATTTATGAGTAGAAAGATAAATGGTTTTGCCCTTAATAAATGTAGAGAACTAGATGAAGAGCTCAGGACAACCTGCTTTTTACTCCCTTAAGCAGCAAGACCTTTTTAATTCTCCTCATTCCTCCACTAATTTTGCACGAACTGTGCTGTTAGCCACATAAGATGATGAATGTTTAAAATAGTCTAGGAAGGCTGAGCTAATGAGAGGGTTGTCATTAAAACTGTGCACTACAGCTAAGAGGCAGTATCCAAACTTCTGAGGACATTTACATATTATAGTTTTTTTCCCCATGCTATTGATGCGGCATTACATATTTAGTCCTTTTAAGTGCTGGAGCTTACTTAGTCAATGGAGAAACAATTTCTTACCCAGTGTTAATATGTTTTTGACTGTACTAGCTAGAGTTTTACCTGCATTCACTGTACTATAGGGCTCTGAGTGTCCCTGTACAGCAGCTGTGTGTCAAGCCTGTCTCTACAGTGTCACACTATGAACTGTGACTATTAACAAAATATCTACTTTGTCACCTTTTGAAAGTTGTTACACTTTATGAGGTAGAAAGTACTAGATGGAGGGGTCAGGGATGAGGCTAAAATGCTTTATAATTGTTAGGGAAAATCATGTGACTGTCAGGGAGGCAGTTTCTAATCCTCTGCTTTAATCAGCTAGGACAGAAGAAAACATAATATTAATAGATTAAAATGAGTTGATCAGCAGTAATTATAATCATCAATTATGTTGGTTTATATATATATACATATTTTCGAATGTATAAAGGTACACATCATTTCACACCCTTTGGGCACAATTAAAGAAGTTAATTAAAGTGTTGTGTTGTAGAAGAGTTTTTTTTCTCTACTTCAATAAATCCTTTCTGTTTCAAGTCATACTAGTATCATAGCTCAACATTAAGTCTAAATGTTTACTCTTATGGTTTCTGTCTTCTTTTTAAAGTTAGTTACCTAGTGAGAAAATAAATGTAGATCTGAAAACTTGTTTACTCTCTTTTCTATTTAATACAATTACCTCCCACAAAGCTATTAGAGTATCATAGAAACAAAGAATGGAAGCCAATATTTAAAATTATTCTGATTTTATACATTATGCCACATCAGCATTAAGATGATTGATGGACAGCTATATATAGTCATATAGTGGAAAAAATTCAGAGCCATCTTAAATAGCCAACCAATCACACTGCTTATTTTGTGGTCTGAATTGGTGAGAGGAAAAGGATAAAGAGAGAGAAAGGGAGAGAGGGAGGAAGAAGTAAAAACCAAAAGTTTTTTCATCATATAGAACTAATTTGAGAAGACTTTCAGATTATCACATTAAAGCTAATTGAGGTACTTAGATTAATAATTCTAAGATTGCTATATAAGTCCTTTGATGCCTTAAGTCCTTAAATCTATGCATTTCCAAACTTTTCTTCTTCTTTCTTCCTCTTCCTCTCTCTCTCCCACTCCCTTTCTCTTTTAGGAACCACTATAAGGTTTCTCTAGATGAAACACAGGTTTTGTTTTTGTTTTCCAAAAAGGATACATGGAGTAAGAGAGGAAGAAGCAAAATATGACCTGTTCGGTCATACTAGTGAATTATTATTTTAATTGATCATGCAGCAATCTATATCATTCCTGTGATGAGCTATTGCAGCTGATAAAACTGCTAAAATAATTATATCAATCTGCTATTTGCAATTGTGTTCAACTATGGATATGTTGATATTTAGGTGATGAAGATGCAGCCTGAGTCAACAAAAACAAGAAATGAAATGAATAGTTAAATATCAGTCATTCAAGAAAGGCAAGCAAGTTAATTTGGACTTGCGACCAAGGGCCTTCTTTATGTACCTTACATAAATATTGATCAAATCAATAATATTCATACAATAACACCACATTTTTTCCTACGACCCAGTCTCAGTGAAGATCCAATTTTCGTATCCTACTTCTCTGATTTTCTGTTTAGACTGACCATTCATTTCAATGGTCAAATTAGCTGGATCCATTAAAAACAAAAACATATTTTGCCCTACTAGCCATAGTCTCAGTGAAGATCGAATTATCTTTGTCCAGCTCTCTGTCTTTTCATTTTGCAAGTTTCTTTCAAGTCATGAGTAGCTGGATATGTGGTAAATTGTGTTGTGAGTATCTAATACTGTTGTTAGCAACATATGTAGTTTTTTGTTGTTGTTGTTGTTGTTGTTGTTGTTGTTTTTTTGAGACGTAGTCTTTCTCTGCTTCCCAGGCTAGAGTGCAGTGGCGCGATCTCGGCTCACTGCAAGCTCCACCTCCCAGGTTCACGCCATTCTCCTGCCTCAGCCTCCCGAGTAGCTGGGACTACAGGTGCCCGCCACCATGCCTGGCTAATTTTGTGTGTGTGTGTGTGTGTGTGTGTGTGTGTGTGCGTGCGTGTGTGTGTGTGTGTGTGTTTAGTAGAGATGGGGTTTCACCGTGTTAGCCAGGATGGTCTCCATCTCCTGACCTCGTGATCCACCCGCCTCGGCCTCCCAAAGTGTAGATATTTTTGATAGTAGTCAATCAAACCATTAGAAGAATCAAAGGGGACATTGCCTCAGCTTTATATGAGACACCAGATGACATCAGTTTAGACATTAAAAGTTTTGTAAATGATAATTTGTCACAAATATTCCACTGGCAGTATTCCTATGAAGATCTTTTTAATTTTTTTAAAAAAATCTATTCAGTTTCTAAAAAGGAATATGGATAATTCAATGCAGTCACATATTTATTGTCTTCATGACAAAGCAAGATTATCAACAAAATGAAAACAATATAATCTTTTATTTTGAAACTGTATAGCCATTCTGGGATTTGCTTATGTCACCTGTTTTGGCTGATGCCAATCTGATATCAAACTAATATATCAGTTCTTTCAATACCACTCATCTCAGAGGAATAATGTTTTGTAATAGTTGATAGACTGAATTGACTATTTCCTGTCAATATTTAATCAATTTAGTAGCACCATTTCTATACATATAGAAATATATTCTAAAAGTTATTCTTAAGCTATGGCCGTGTATTAGTCAGGGTTCTCTAGAGGGACAGAACTAATAGGATAGATATACATATAAAGGGGAGTTTATTAAGGACTATTGACACACACGATCACAAAGTGAAGTCCCACAATAGGCCGTCTGCAAGCTGAGGAGCGAGGAAGCCAGTATGAGTCCAAAAACCTCAAAAGTAGAGGAGCTGACAGTGCAGCCTTCAGTCTGTGCTTGAAGGTCCAAGAGTCCAAAAGCTGAAGAACTTGAAGTCTGATGTTTGACGGCAGGAAGCACTCAGCATGGGAGAAAGATGTAGGCTAGGAGACTAAGCCAGTCTAATCCTTCCACATTCCTCTGCCTGCTTTTATCCTAGCAGCACTGGCAGCTGATTGGATAGTGCCCACCCAGATTGAGGGTGGGTGTGCCTCTCCCAATCCACTGACTCAAATGTGTCTCCTTCGGCAACATCCTCACAGACACAAGCAGGCACAATACTTTGCATCCTTTAATCCAATCAAGTTGACACTTAATATTAACCATCACAGGCTATAAGGAAAGAAATGAAACAAAATTAATCTTTTTAGTAGTATTGGCCACTGTAGCATTAAATAAGATGAGATCCAGACTCATGAATATGATTGGATTGTTGTTTAACCAGAAAATGGCCATATAGTTAAAGATGAGGCTCAATAGTATGCTAGCGCAAGAAAATAATAAACACAAAGAAATGAAAACTTATATAGAGGAAGATAATGGCCAACTTTCTAAATTATAACATATATAACATATATGCTGATATACAATTTTTATTATGCTCAATTTAGTGCTTTCTTATAAAATTCCACAAATTAATATTCAAGGTATAAAAAATGTTAATCTAAAGGATACTACTGTGTGTGACTTCAAGGCTTTGTATTTCTTTAAAAAGAAAAACATCTAACATTGATTGATTTGTATCATCTTCTTGGAGAGCAATGAAATAATCACATAACTTTAGAACATGAGCTTATTGTATAATGGCATTATAAGCCAGGTCCAAAATGGAGGTCACAGCTTAGAGAGTAAGCTATTGTGTAAAGATCACAATAACAGTGACTCAAGTACAGTTATATATTTCCCCGACAGCCCCATTCCGTGTGTTCTGAGGTGACTGTTTTACTGGACCAAGTTACTGTGAAGGCCTGTATATTTTATATCTCTAATGTATGTTTAAAAATAGCCAGGGATCCTGCTGCTGCTGATATTGATAATAATGATGATGGTGGTGTTGGTGCTGGTGATGTCAGTAAATGTTCAATTCAAAGTCAAATAAACAGAAATGTGTTTTTTAAATCAATTTTACTGTGTTTGATGAGATATGTACCAGAAGTTAATGTATTTGGAATTAAGTAAAACTAGATCTCAGACAGCAGTATAGATTGATTTTCTTTTTGCAGTAAACAGAAACTGTTACCAACAAGCATGTAGACAGCAAAGCCTATACCCCAATATCTAAACCAAGTTGCTTCCACTGTATGTTCTGATTCATTCTCAGAATTGATTTATTGTACCTAAAAATGATATAGCTAACGAGATAAAGGAAACTTATTCTAGAGCCAATCATTTTCTAAAATATACCTCCTGTTCTTGATCTTTGAGTCTATGTTTTCATTGATGGCTAGCACGTAACCAAGGACAGCAAGATATAACCCTATTAGTGCCTACTTAGAAACTCAAATATATAGCATTTCCAGTGGCAATTTTTTAAGCCTGAGCTATTGCCTCATATTTTTTCCAGATAATGCTCCCCACTCACTCACCCACTAACATCTGTAGTCATGTGCACATAAAAATAAAAATTTAGAGCAAATACAAGTGTATTAATAAGTGATTCTTTTTAGCTTTTAATTGTTAGTGAGTTTTCAAGTGGATATGACATGTTACCTTTTACTTATATAGCCATGATAGTTAAATATTATTCACTTAAACAACAACAAAATTAAAGGGAATTGCTTGAAAAAAATCTTAGCGTTATATACTAATACTTATTTTGGCTTTCTTCCCATTCTCTGGCAAATTAAAATTCTTATTTGCAGAGTTATTATTCAGAAAATCTCAACTAACTTTTTCCAACTGCCAATTCATTAAGATAAAATGCAGGTAAAAAATGTTCTAATGTTCTTTTTAAATGGATAAGTGAATCCTAGTGAGCCCGATTTTTCTAAGGTATCCCTGGGAAAGAGAAGGCTAAGGCCACAGGTAGAAAAGATATAAATCTAGCCAGAGGGGAGAGTTTGAGAGTGAACATAAACTGGAAGGCACTTACATCCTTTATGTTTACTTCCAATTTCTTTGGATCTAATCAAGAAAACCAAGCATATTCAGTCCTTACACTTTTGACTTCATGCTTCTGTCTGCAGACTCAGAAATTAATGCCATTATATATCTGTTACAACATTCCATATTTGTCTCTACTATCAAAATTACTAAGGGCCTTCCCCAACAAAACAATATTTTATTGTTTACCAGAAAAACTTTTTTATGATGGCATGACTTGACTGCTAAAAATGTCATGTGACTTATAATTGTGGACCACTTAGACAAAAAGGTACCAGATGTACCTTTCTACCTGAAATAATCAAAATAACTGGATGACAAAAATAAAGCAATGATTTTCAAGATACTGAAAATCAGGTAACAAAGGACAGTAATTCCTAATGTATAGAAAATACAGAAGGTCTGCTCTATGACTTCCCTTGATGAATTTCCAGGCTGCAGTGCAGGAAAGGCTTCAGTGCTAGATGGAGCCCTATGGGCCCCTGAATTGAGAAGACTGAGCTAAGAGTCCATAAAAGTCAAAGTAGATAGAAGTCACAGGACAGAGTATGAGAGAGGAGTGAGCTGCACAAGGAACTTCTAAAATTTGTGGAGGGCCTCCCTCAAGTATTCAGCAGAGCACTGTCCAGTGCTTGTACAGTGAAGAAACTCCAAATCCTCTCAAAAGGATAAGAAGGTAATGGTGCCTATACACACTCAAGGCCAGAAAAAGGGTCTATTCCCACGGACCAGACAGGAAAACCTCATGATTCACAAGGAATTAGGTAGAGTAAATAGTAGAATCTTGCTTCAATAGTGAAAAATAGTTAAGTAGACTGAGAACTGCTCTAGTCCACATAAGAAATCTTAAAAGTCAAACCAGATAGCATCAGACTGTTTCTAAGTAATTTTAACTGATCTCAGAACAAAACTCAAGACTATTTTTGGAATACTAAAATATATAATACCCAAACCTAGCTATGTAATTTACAGAATTCAGCAGAAAACAAAAAGTGGAGCCCCTAGTTAAAAGGAAGGGGAACATCACACACCGGGGCCTGTTGTGGGGTGAGGGAAGGGGGGAGGGATAGCATTAGAAGATATACCTAATGTTAAATGACGAGTTGATGGGTGCAGCACACCAACATGGCACATGTATACATATGTAATGTGAACGTTACATATGTAACCTGCACGTTGTGCACATGTACCTTAAAACTTAAAGTATAATTAAAAAAAAAAAGAGAAGGGAAAAGTGTCATTACTGGCAATAAAGTATAAAGCTTGTTTTTTCTTTCTTTCAATCTTCTATTATGGTGTGGTTTGTTTGCCATTTAATGTCTTTCTAAGTAAAGAAAAAATATAATTTTAAATTAGTAGCTGAGATTTTACCATTCATATTTATATTGTGCAATGACAGTTTTAAATATAAATATAAGAACATTTGACTCATAGGCAGAATCATCAAAGTTACCCAATTCTTCCTCAAGCCAGTCAAAGCAGACAAATGCAAGCCAAATTCAGAAACATTGGGAAAAAAGAGGATCCTACCAGGAATGGAGTCAGCCCAAGGGAACTCTTCCTTAGGCACAATACACCCTTGGGGACAGGAATTTTCCTTTAGGCACAGAATACACACCCTAACAGAATTTGGTGACCTTGTTCCCTGATTTGTGGCGTGCATACTCATTCAGGCCTGATAGCTGCTGTGTCTCCCCTTTCATCAGCTGCCAAACTTAGGTACTACATTAGGCTCTGGGGAAAGCCTGACAGGCATCTCCACTTCTTACAGGTCACCATTACAATCCACAATGAATGGGTGACTTTCAAGAGTTTTGAAATTTGCTGTGCTGGGGGTCACTGGGTACCTGAATTGGGGGTGAGTGAGAGATTCACCCCTCCTAGGCATAGCTTCTTCTACCAACCCAGGGCAGGGATGGCTGATGCCTTTCCCAGCTTAGAGACACCCCAGGGTGCACATGGCTGACCTCTCCCTAAGCTTATGCTCAGAGCCTCAGTGTTGTGAATTTTAAAAGAAATCAAATATCTAAAATTGATTAATGTGAAGATTCACATTAATGATTTTGTCAAAATGGGAGGTAGACATTTAATGCCCTGAAATTTCTCTGAAGAAACCTCAAGGATCCTTAGAAAAATTTTAAAAACATTGCTCTGACCAATGGCAAAGAATCAGAATTCCTAAAAAGATGCTTTGTACATTGCATTATGTCTAAGATTTCCAAGGCAATAGACTCTTCCTCTGTTCTGCATTAGAGGGTAATGTCTTTGCGTTTTGGTACACTTTCCCACACCTTTCATGTGCTTAATTGTTGTACACACTCTGTAGCTGTGCACTAGATATTTTCACCATTAATAGAAGCTGGTTGGACCAAGTGTGGATTAGGCTCTGGGGTTGCAAAGGTAGCATCAAAAGGATTATAAAGTGATCATGAAAGAGAACCTCTGCCTGACTAAGGATGAACTGAGCCAACCTGACTCTCATTTTCAAGAGTGAGAATTGAGAACTAATTAAGGAAGCAGGCATAAACTCAAGGTGAAAGAAAGCATACAAAGAGAACACGAGGTTAGGTAAGGGCCATGAGGAGTCATTATTGAAGAAAGATATCAAATTGAAACTACAAACAACAACTATACATTAGTGAAAAAAAATATGTATAGAGTCAGCAGAACCAATTTGGTCAAGGGAAAAGTAAGAATATCTATGTTTCCCACAACCAAAAGAGTCAAACAAATCAGATGTCTTTCAGAATGATCAGTGATGACTTCTAGCCATGAAGTACTGATAGATTTCTACCTAGGGAAGATTGAGGTAGAACGTGTACATGACCTGTTGACTCCAGGTCATTAAATGATCTCCTGTGGGTTCAAATGCAATCCTGGCTCTCAGAATATTGGGGAGGCAGTAAGGGTGAGTACATGAAAAATATTTTTTTTCTTATTTCTATGCTTAGAGAAATTATGTTCTCTAGCTTATGATGAAGAACCAGACTCTTTATGTTCTCTTATAAAGGACATCAATATTCTCTATTGAGCTAGTTTATCCAGAAGCTTATTATTTAAAATCTCTGTCATCTCTCATTTGGGCACCAGGCTGTCCAGCCCTAGGCATTATCTTTTCACACTTTGAATCTAACTATTTGATTTGTAGATCAGACATGGTACTTATGCAAACCTCCACAGTAGGTCTTCGCATAGAGCACATGGTGGTCAAAAGTGGGAAGAGGAGTTAGAGATTGGTGTTAGGCATCTAAGAAGTGGAAAAGAAGATAAGAAGTTGGCAGAACTGCTGATCTATACAAGTTGATGCTGCCCACTTAATTAATATTTCCCAGGGCCATCTCAGACTACTTTTACCTTGTTTCCTATATTCTAGTCACATTGGCCTTTTTCCATTTTTCTATTTTTCTGGAATATGCCATGTTCCCTCCTGCCTTAAAGACTTGAAGTAGTCTTGATCCTGCCCTGGATGTGATTCTCCTCTTTCAACCAGTGAACTGCTACTCATTCTTCAAATCATAGCACAAGAAAGCGTTCCCTCAAATTAGAACTTCTGTTACAGCCACCCCCACCCTCTTCTAGGTCAGAAACCTTGTTTCATTCTCCCAAAACATTTATCTCCATTTGTAAATGTACATTAATTCGTGTGACTTTAAAAATGTTAATATTTCTCAGTAGATTCTAAGCTAAATGACAAGAGAGATGTTGTCTATGTGTTTGTTCACCATTGCATTCCTAGGACTCAAAATGTATTTGTTGAAAGAAGAAAGGAAGGAAAAAGGGAGGTGCAAGAAAGCTAAGACAGGAACAGACAGCAGACAGATACATTATAGAATATATCAACTACAACTATGTCATTACAGAGAAAGGATTGGGAGCCAACGAGGGAAAAGATGCTCCTCTCACTCATTTACTCGGTTTATTGTAGCATAGTCTGTGGTACCGGAAGGCAATAATTAAGGAGCATCTTGCTTCTGCCATAGCACTTTCAGACAACTAAAATGCCCATTTACTCAAACTTTATCTTTATCACTTAATTCACAAACTTTGATACTGTTTTTGTGGAAATCACCATTTAATAATCATTAAATTATATTTAGGTGCATTGACAGCAATGAGTCTTGTCATGACAACTGAGCCATTGATATGTGAAGCTGTTACACATTTAGACTGCATTCTCCTTAGTCTCATATTATTTACTATTTGTACACAACATTTGGTGAAGCACTAGTTTTGGAAAAACACAATATGTTTTTTTTAGAGCCATCTTTTTTCTTTCAATACAAACCCATTTAGGGACATTTTATAAAACAATATTTTTCATAAAAGAGACTCTAATGACTTGTTTAGAGTCATCACAAGCCTTCAAGTCTAATGTTTCCTACATAATAAAGCAACTTTGTTTTCAATTACCTGATCTCCTACTGCCCCATGCTATAGAAGATGACTTCAAAGCAATGAAGTTTTTTTTTTTCTGTATTATTGTACTAACACAAATTACAGAGTGATATTTTCAGTGTGAAAAGACTAACAACACTTTTAATTCTAGTCACCCACAGTGACAATGAAGATAGTAGTGGCTGTATGGATGTTCTAGAGACTAGGTTGTCTAGGCCAAAATCTTGGCTCTATCATTTATTAGCATAATAATCTTGGGAAAGTTGCTTAACCACTCTGTAATTTGTTCATCTATAAGATAAGTATAGTAATAGCATTAATCTCCAAGGTTGATTTAGCAAATGATATAATTTGGCTGTGTCCCCACCCAAATCTCATCTTCAATTACAGCTCCCATAATCCCCACATGTTGTGGGAGGGATCTGGTGGAAGGTAATTGAATCATGGGGGTGGGTTTTTCCTGTGCTATTATCGTGATAGTGAATAAGTCTCAGGAGATGTGATGGTTTAATAAAGGGCAGTTCTCCTGCACATGCTCTCTTGCCTGCCACCACGTAAGATGTGCCTTTGCTCCTCATTTACCTTCTTCCATGATTTTGAAGCCTCCCAGCCATGTGGAACTGTGAGTCTACTAAACTACTTTTTCTTTATAAATTATCCAGTCTTGGGTATTTCTTCATAGAAGTATGAAAATTGATTAATACAGTAAATTGGTACTGGGAGTAGGGCATTGCTATTAAGATACCTGAAAATGTGGAAGTGACTTTGGAACTGGGTAACAGGCAGAGGTTGAAACAGTTTGGAGGGATCAAAAGAAGACAGGGAGATGTGGGAAAGTTTGGAGCTGCAGAAATTTGCGTAAGTAACGAGGAGCCAAATGTTAATTGCCAAGACAATGGGGAATATGTCTCCAGGACATGTCAGAAGTCTTCATAGCAGTTCCTTCTATCACAAACCAGGAGGCCTAGGAGGAAAAAATGGTTTAGTGGGCTGGGTCCAGGGCCTTACTGCTTCATGCAGTCTTGGGACATGGGGTTCTGCATCCCAGCCATGGCTAAAAGGGGCCAATGTACAGCTCAGGCTGTTGTTTCAAAGGTTGCAAGTCCCAAGCCTTGGTGGCTTACATGTGGTGTTGGGCCTGTGGTTTCAAAGAAGTCAAAAATTGAGGTTTGGAAACCTTCATCTGGATTTCAGAGGATGAAAGGAAATGACTGGATGTCCAGGCAAAGGTGTGCTGCAGGAGCAGAGCCATCATGGAGAACCTTAGCAAGGGCAGTATGGATGGGAAATGTGGGGTTGGAGCCCACACACAATGTCCCTACTGGGTCACTGCCTAGTGGAGCTGTGAGAAGAGAACCACCATCTTCCAGACCCCAGAATGATAAATTCACAGACAGCTTGCCCTGTGAGCCTGGAAAATCCACAGACACTCAATGTTAACCCATGAAAAAAGCCAGGAGGGGGTTGTACCCTGCAAAGCCACAGGGGCAGAGCTGACCAAGACCATGGGAACCCACATCTTGCATAAGTATGCCCTGGAAGTGAGACATGGAGTCACAGGAGATCATTTTGGATCTTCAAGATTTTATTGCCCTGCTCAATTTCAGACCTGAATGGGTCCTATAACCTCGTCATTTTGGCCAATTTCTTCCATTTGGAATGGGTGTATTTACCCAATGCCTGTATCCCCATTGTATCTAGAGAGGAACTAACTTGCTTTTGATTTTACAGGCTCATAGGCAGAAGGGACTTGCCTTGTGTCAGATGAGACTTTGGACTGCAGACTTTTGAATTAATGCTGAAATGAGTTAAGACTTTTGGGGACAGTTGGGAAGGCATGATTGGTTTCAAAATGTGAGGACGTGAGATTTGGGAGGGGCCAGGGACACAATAATACAGTTTGGCTGTGTCCCTACCCAAATCTTATCTTGAATTGTAGCTCCCTTAATCCCCACATGTCATGGGATAGACTTGATGGGAGGTAATTGAATTATAGTGGAGGGTTTTCCCCATGCTGTTCTCAAGGTAGTGAATAAGTCTCATGAGATCTGATGGTTTTATAAAGGGCAGTTCCCTGCATAAGCTCTTTTACCTGCCACCATGTAAGATGTGCCTTTGCTCCTCCTGCACCTTCCACCATGATTGTGAGGCCTCCAAAACTATGTGGAACTCTGAATCTATTAAATCTCTTTTTCTTTATAAACTACTCAGTCTTAGATATTTCTTCATCATAGTGTGAAAATGGACTAATACAGTAAATATTCAATAAGTTAATAAATTTGAAAAATTTAGGACAGTGACTGACACAAAGCAAGGGACTCAGTAAATATTAGTTATCTTCATCATTATAAATGGTACATAAAGTGGTGCCTGGACATAAGACAAATTTTCATAAATAAACTAAAATTATGTTGAATGGATAGAACTTGAAATTTGGTGACATATTTGAGGAATTTTCTTACCATCTTTTCCCAAGTGCAAGAGTATTGAACTTAGATTCAGGAGAACACGGTGGTTGAATGATAACTAATTTGCTGGAATTTATATAACCATTGAGTTTTAGTTTTTTCTTTCTCAAATGAAAAATGTAATTTATCCTATCTGTCATAAAGACTTGGGAGATCCAAGTAAAATAATATCTATGAAAACACTCTGTGTACTGTAAAGCTCTATACAAATTATAGGTGTTATCAAAATGAACTTAACTTCAATTACTCAAAGAAACATTGAGCCATTCAATGAAGTACAACATATGCATTCCTGTGATTGCACCTTCAGTTTGGAATGACTTTATCCTCCCTCGTGGGGTAAAAAAAATCACCAAAGTGACAGTTGATCAAGATTTTCTTCCTTTTACTGCCACGAATTAATTGTGTGACTTGGGAAAAGTCATGTACCTTCTCTATGCCTCAGTTTCCTCATGCAAAATGAATACTTGGAGTTAGTTAATCTCTAAGGTACTTTCCAGTTCTGACATTCTAGAATATTAATTAATCCCTGTGATAACCTCTGATATATTTTCAAATAATAGAGAGGGGTTAGTATCACCTGGGGTGTTTCTAAAGCCAGCAGTAAAAGTAAATTTTTACTTGAGTTCTTGAGTTCCATCAATTTTGGTAGTCAAAAGGGTACACACAAAATGTATTCGGGAAACCTCTTTTGGCAGCCATTTCAGGCTCTGATTATGCTCCAAGATTTGACCAGTGCCTAGGTAACAGGGCTAGTTTAATAAGTCTCCAACAAGTTTCACATATTGGAGGAGACTAATAAAGCCATTCTTATATTTTATTCGTGGATTGCTAAAGATGTGTAGTCCCCTTGATGCTTCCCTCATGGAATTAAAACCAGGTCTTATTGAGTGCTACTGAAGCTGTATTCATGGGAGCTCATTATGTGCTAATCCCCCCAGAACAGTATTTCTGTCTGAGCCTCCATGTGGTAGGCAACTTGAATGAGGAAGTTAAATATTGCTGGCTGCCCTGCTGAAGCTTGGCTGGGTCTTCCACAGTGTATGGGGTAAGTCATTTGGGGACTGAGGCTCTCGGTTGTCCTCTTAGAATAGTTGGAGCAATTACTTTAGCAGCAAATATGGACTAATCATTTTGAAATTCCAGTTTAAGTCCACAGCCTTTTTGAGTTACACAAGCACTAAAATGACCACAAGAGATTCATGTCTCAGGGCCTGGTGACAGCCTACAGCCCAGCACTGCTGGCAAATCTTTCAGTGCCACAAATGTGTAAAAGTGCTTTTCTTTGCTTCCCCACTCTAAAAGCATATTGCTAGCACTCCAAGTAGCTTTAATGGTGGGAACTATACAAAAAGAGTAACTCTAAAGTCAAAAGGAATATCTTCAATTCTGAATAGTTTTTAATAGAAAAGAGACATCCAGACATATTATTTAGCTCTGATAAGATTCATCACTCATTACTCTGAACTTACTAGATATATCATTTGATTTATAAACTCATTAGTGAGTCCTACATTTAGAAGAATAACTTCACTACCCACTGTTACAGTACACAATATTGAACAGGGATGTTAAAGTTAATTACAAGCACTTCAATAATGGAGCCCTCCTTTAACTTAGAAAATGTCATGGTAGTCTCATTCTCATGAGGAAAGCATCCAGTTATAAACATGAAAGGAATTTAAGTGTACATTTCTGTTGTTTTTCTGGAAGGGAATAATTCTTGTTTTAGGCACCAGAATGGGAACTGGGAAGTAGCCCTAAAGTGCCAGAAATGGCTATTTCAAGGTTTGGCTGGCCCAGTGAAAAACAGTGTGGGGCTTTCAGATGGGGGCTGCTAAAAATTAATTTTACACCTTTAGAGCATTTCTTCCACAAACCCTCCCCTGACAACTCAAATACCCATAAAAATATACTTTGTCTAACTCTAATTAAGTCTCAGCTTTATGACCCAAGGGTTACTTTACTACTTTTTTTTGTTCCTTAATTATTTCATGAACTGTTTTTATTTTTTCTCTAGAGCATGGGCAGCTTTTGAGAGGGAACATTTTGTGCTTCCTGTGTACCCTTGTTGCAGTGGTGCTGAGCACATTCTTTGACACACGGTAGTGTGAAGGAAAAATATCTTGGGCCCCCAACGTCACTAAGCTAAAAAGAAAATTCAAGCTGGTACCTGCTTAGGGAAAACCTACCTCCCATTCTATGCAAAGTCACCCCTGTGTTCACTGAGACAAATGCATATATGATTTCCTCCTTTGGAAAGGCTAATCAGAAGCTTAAAAAAATGCAACCATTTATCTCTCACCTATGTGTGACCTGGAAGCGCTTCCCCGCTTCAAGTTGTCCCACTTTTGCTTTGAGCTTTCCCGCCTTTCTGGACTGAACCAATGTTCATTTTACACACGTGGATTGATGTCTCATGTCTCCCTAAAATGTATAAAATAAAGCTGTACTCTGACCACCTTGGGCACATGTCATCAGGACCTCCAGAGTCTGTTTCACAGGTATGCATCCTCAACATTGGCAAAACAAACCTTCTAAATTAATTGAGAACTATCTCAAATTTTGGGGGTTGACATTTGGTAACCACAGAGGGATTCAGAGTGGAGATGCCCCTGACCTTTGACAAATTGGTGCTTGGTACCATCATTAACTAACTTTATAGCTCAAACCAATAGGACAATTTGCTGAGGTCTGAGAGCATCCCCTCCAGAGAATCCCTTATCTCCTAAAATTTGGTCAAGTTCTAAAGTTTATTTTGCTGTACAACTTCTCTTTTTTTTAAGTTTTAATTTCTTCTGACAAAGAAGGCAAGATTTCCTATTTCAATGATGATGGAAGGCAGGCAACTCCTTTATGGAGTTTGAGCTCACTTCTAACAGATAAGATGAGTTTTTTTTGTTTTTTTTTTTTGTTTTTTTCTGCTTCTAGGATGTTAGAGAGCAGCCTACAGTCTGAGACACATCCCCAGGTAAGTAACTGAATTGGGATTTGTCTTGGCTAAAGTTAAGTTTAAACAGAGACAGCTGGTCTCTGTTTGCAGATGACATGATAGTATATTTAGAAAATTCCATTATCTTAGCCCCAAAACTCCTTAAGCCGAGAAGCAACTTCAGCAAAGTCTTAGGACACAAAATCAATGTGCAAAAATCACAAGTATTCCTATACACCCAAAATAGACAAGCAGAGAGCCAAATCATGAGTGAACTCCCATTCACAATTGCTACAAATAGAATAAAATACCCAGGAACACAACTTACAAGGGACAGGAAGAACGTCTTCAAGGGGATCTACAAACCACTGCTCAAGGAAATAAGAGAAGACACAAACAAACGGAAAAAAAAATCCATGCTCATGGATAGGAAGAATCAATATCATGAAAATGGCCATACTGCCCAAAGTAATTTATAGATACAATGCTATCCCCATGAAGCTACCATTGACTTTCTTCATAAAATTAGAAAAAACTACTTTAAATTTCATATGGAACCAAAAAAGAGTCCATATAGCCAAGACAATCCTAAGCAAAAAGCTGGAGGCATCATGCTACCTGACTTCAAACTATAATACAAGGCTACAGTAACCAAAACAGCATGGTATTGGTACCAAACAGATATATAAACCAATGGAACAGAATAGAGATCTCAGAAATAACACCACACATTTACAACCATCTGATCTTTGACAAACCTAACAAAAACAAGCAATGGGGAAAAGATTCTTTATTTAATAAATGGTGCTGTGAAAACTGGCTAGCTATATGCAGAAAACATAAACTGGATCCTTTCCTTACACTTTATACAAAAATTAACTGAAGATGGATTGGAGACTTAAATGTAAAACCTAAAACCATAAAAAACCCTAGAAGAAAACCTAGGCAATACCGCTCATGACATAGGCATGGGCATAGGCTTCACGACTAAAAGACCAAAAGCAAGTGCAACAAAAGCCAAAATTGACAAATGGTATCTAACTAAGCTAAAGAGCTTCTGCACAGCAAAAGAAACTATCATCATAGTAAACTGGCAACCTACAGAATGGGAGAAAATTTTTGCAATCTATTCATCTGACAAAGGCCTAACATCCAGAATCTACAAGGAACTTAAACAAATTTACAAGACAAAAAAAAATCAAAAAATGGGCAAATGATATGAACAGACACTTCCCAAAAAAAGATATTTATGCGACCAACAAACATATGGAAAAAAGCTCATCATCACTTGTCATTACAGAAATGCAAATCAAAACTACAATGAGATACCATCTCATGCCAGTTAGAATGGAAATCATTAAAAAGTCAGAAAACAACAGATGCTGATGAGACTGTGGAGAAATAGGAATGTTTTTACACTGTTGGGAGTGTAAATTAGTTCAACCATTGTGGAAGACAGTGTGGTGATTCCTCAAGGATGTAGAACCAGAAATACCATTTGACCCAGCAATCCCATTACTGGGTATATACCCAAAAGATTATAAATGTTTCCACTATAAAGACACATGCAGGCATATGTTTATTGCAGCACTATTTACAATAGCAAAGACTTGGAACCAACCCAAATGCCCAACAGTGATAGACTGGATAAAGAAAATGTGGCACATATACACCATGGAATACTATGCAGCCATAAAACAATTGAATTCATGTCCTTTGCAGGAACATGGATGAAGTTGGAAGCCATCATTCTCAGCAAACTAACAAAGGAACAGGAATCCAAACCCTGCGTATTCTCACTCATAAATGGGAGTTGAACAATGAGAACACATGGACACAGGGAGGGGAACATCACACACCAAGACTGTTGGGGGGTGGAGGGCAAGGGGAGCCAGAGCATTATGACAAATACTTAATGCATGTGGGGCTTAAAACCTAGATGATGGATTGATAGGGGCAGCAAACCACCATGGCACATGTATGCTTATGTAACAAACCTGCACATTCTGTACATGTATCCCAGAACTTCAAGTGGAAAAAAAAAAAAAAAAAACCCAGCTGGTCTTAATTTCTACTTACCATTAGAGCACTCAGTAATCATATAAGTTGTGCAATCATTTATTTTGCTTAACTTTTTTTGTCGTTTGTTTGTTCTTATTTTGTTGTTTTGTTCTTTCTCCAATGGGGTTTGACCAACTCTATCTGAATTTATCAAACCCAAAGGAAAGCTCCAAATGATGGGGAATAAGGCCTCTAAAGTGGTTAAATTCCCACGAAAATTGTGGTATGATGTGGGGAGGAAAACAGCCATCAAAAGAAAAAAAATGACATTTGATATTAACTACTTAACGGGCTTTATTTACATTACAAGGCCACGTTTTTGCTAGCCAAGCCAAACTGAAAGACCAATTGATGTCACCCCACACTGCAGTCTGATAGCTAAGGTTCTTCTTCTTTTTTTTTTTTTTTTCACCATGACAGCCTGGTTCCTAAATCAAGCCCTTTCTGTTTTGATACTTAGTACTTCTGAAATAGCAGCAATTTGTCCTAGCTAAAATATGTAATGAGATTTGAAAGGATTTTTTTTAAAGGAGCTCAACGGTTAAATGTCAGCTTAATTAAAAAGCTAACGTTCAAGATGTGTGTGTGTATTTGCGCATATGTGTATGTTTGTATTTAAAAGGCCTTCATATTTTTTGTTTTTTGTTCATTTGTCTCTCCTAGGATCTCGTCTTTTTTTGAGCAAATTTGTTTTTTTCTTCTCAGTCAACTGAATTGTGTTTTCACCTGATTTTTTGACTAAAATAATTACTGTAACAGAGGCTACTCTTGAGTTTTTAAGGAAGAGTGTAGTTTAGACACTTAGAAATGTCTTTGTTTAAAAAAACTTCTAAGTGCCCTGTAAAAGCATCACATGGTCTAGTCTCATAATAATTCTCCCTTTTGGGGGCCCAGGATTCAGTGTGGGCTCTGCCCAGAGCTCACAGTTCCAGTTAAAAAAATAGGTAGTCCCTATCTAAATAAAATTGGTCTCCTTATACAATCCCATGATACATTTCTATAATTTGTGTTTGATTTGGTGTCCATCTTTAATCTCCCTCTAGCACCATCAGACTTTTTCTCTCTGTACCTTAACATGTACATTTTGCTATTTAACTTTCACCTGAGTTGTTTCCTTTGCTATGCAAATTTAAGGCTATTTAGCTGACAACTGTCTAGGTTTGTGAAACAGGTTATCAATAATCTGAAAGTCTAAGACAGGAAGAAAAAGTTTTTATGAATCTATAAGATATAGTTCTATTGGCATGCCTAATACATCTATGTATTTATGTGTTGTATATACAATGTTTTACTACTGAAAATATATGAAATAACTCTAATTAATTGGCCCAAAGAAAAATAAAAGCATTTAAATACTTTATCAGGAAAAAAAGAAAAGACTGGTCGAATACTTTTTCAAGTTTACATAACTTAAATAGAATCTTTAATAAATAATCTAGCTTTAAAATTATTGGTAAAGTAATATTAGAAATGTCTTAAGAATTGCCAGCATACATTTTTGTTTGCATTTATTAATCAAGCAATTTTATATTTATCCCTGCCAAATATCATAAGGTGTCAAAATTTGGCATAAAGGTTTGAAAACTATAAACTCAGCCCAAAACAGAATGATTTTTGCTTGTGTAATTTTTAATAAATAAGACATTGATGTTGGTTTAATGAAAATAGCTACATCTTGCATTAGTAAGATTACTGTAACTTCTAATCCTGTGGCTTTGGGCAGTCTATTACACAGAGAGTAGGGAGATTTGTTTTGTGAAAGGACTGTTATTGTCTTTGTTTCAAAGCTAAAATATGAACTAATTTCCTCCCAAAGTTAGTTTGGCCTATGCCCAGGAATGAACAAGGACAACTTGGAAGTGAAAAGCAAGATGGAGTCAGGTCAAATCTGTTTCAGTATCTCAGTTATAATTTTCCAATGGTGGTTTTATAACTTTAAATCATGACTATCACGGTTTTCATAAATAATCTAAGTAAACAATTAAAATAAAATAATTAGGTAAATGTGATGGGATACTACTTGCAGAGGAACTAGTTATAATACAGCATATAGAGTTATATTAAATTAAATAACAAATATTTCATTATTTGGGTATCTTGCAATAAAAATATATGGTAGGAAAACTTTCTAAACAAACGTATCCTTTGTTTAAAAGGGTGAACAATTTTTGTTTAATTCAAAGCTTATTTAAAGGTTATATATAAAACAAGGTAAAACCAGGAAATAAGAGAGATGTAAAGAAAGTTAAAGAAATAAAGAGGTATTTTTTTCTTGTAGAAAGCTTAAAGATAAATAATTTTATATGAGAAAGAACCTTTTATGGTAAATTTAGAGCTAGAATGAAATGACTGGTTGTTTAAGAAAGAGAGATGTTTAGGACAAACCAGAAAGTCCAAACATGTCATGAATGATCTGCATAAATCACAATAAGAGGACTTATAAAAAAACAAATACTTTTATATGATCAAGTTGTCTATAATTAAAGGGAAATTATAATGGTCTTTCTAAAGTTTAAGTTTGATGTTAAAAAAAACACTGAATAATTAGTTAGAACAATAATATTTTCTTAAGGGATTGATTATTCTTAATAAATTATAACGTATTTTAATTTTTCAACCCAAAGTTCAACTTTTATTGCATCTCTCCATTTTCAGTTTTCTCTCCCCTTTTAAAGAGAGTAAAATAGTAATGCTCTCCTTTAACACATTTTCAGCTTATACAAATATTTTTTTCCTGGAGCTCTGTTGCAGTGGCCTGATATTAACAATGTTTTCTTAAAGGTTTAAAGGAAATGTTTTCTCCAATATAACATTCTTTGCAGTGCGGAACGTCTTTTGCCTTTTGGTAGCTGGCCTAACAGGTTTACCTTTTATCAAAACAATTCTTATGCCATTATTACTAAGTATTTTTTTTTTTTTGCTTATGACAAAAACAGATTAAACTTTTTAAAATTAAGGTTATTACATCCGTGTATCTCTCTGCATGTGTTTTTAAAGTACTTGGGACATTGAGTTACTGAGCTTTGACTCTGGGTCTAAAAAGGACACCAAGTCCTGCTAAATTTTAAATGCTGACAGCAATTAAAGCCCCATCTTCACACCCCATAGAAAATGCCCATCAAAATAAACTGTATTCCTGAGACACAGGGCCAGAAATTAAAGCTATTTCAACTCAAGGCCCAGGTACTGTTGTGGAAGAGGTGGGAGTGTGAGATTGTGTGAGCATATTTTGAAAGATAAAATAAATTCAGTTTCTCTATAAATTAATCATTAATGTTAAAGGCACACTGATGCAAGACCAGCATATTGGCCCCTGCGTCAAATTAACAAGATTTTCTTGAAGCATTAACCAATTCTTTAATAAAGGTTATAAAGGTTGTAAAAGGCTTATGGAAGTTATATCTTATGGTCAAGATTAAAATTTTATAGATTGTATATAAAATTTTGAAAAACAAATCTAATTGGCTTCCTGCTGTTTCTATTAGGGCTTATCATTTGGAATATTAAGCCTTCTCTCTCAAAGAATGAAGGTTTATGCCATTATTTGAAATCCTTGAATTATCACTTTGCTTAAATGAATGACTTATTTTACAATGGCCTGTGATCCCATTTTGTGATATCAAGTGTTTTAAACCTTTGATATTTGACAAACTTTCCAAAATCAAATTATACATTATGCCTTTTTCTGACCTAATGAATCCTTTAAGATATTAGGTTCCCTGAAGTCTAAAAATGACATAATTAGGCTTATTTAGTGTAGAAATTATACAGGAAGCATTGTCAAATGTGAAATGATGTTTGGTTTTCTTTAGGCTATATTTGTTTAAATATGTTATTAGTATGTGTTCCAAAATTATGGGAAACTCCTATAATTCTGATATAATTTAGTGTATATTATCAGTAAAAATTATAATTGTTATGGTAAATTATTGTGTGCCACAGAGGTAACAAATTACCTTTTCAATTGTTTCTTTGACTACGGCTCCCCTAAAACTTTTGTCATCCATAGAAAATTGTCTTGCTTTGGTCCTTCTCTAGAAGGTGGTTTTACAATCGGCTATAAAACTCTTAACAGGTGCTCTTGAATGCAGGTTTCTGATAACTTTGGAGATTGTGACATCAGAGTAGAGAAAAAACTTCCAGGACTCATTTAGAGCTAAAATGTTCATGAATATCAAGCAGAACAGGAATTAACCGCATGGAGTAAACTAATATTTTTCTACTTTTTGCTTAAAATATTGCTGATCCTTTGTTTTGTTTTTCAGAGTCTTGGAACTTTTGAGCTATTGACAGCTTTTAACAATTTAGTATACTCCTATGAATAAAATTTGGAGCATATTTGTTTCTCTCAGCCTGATTTCTCCAGAATTTGGAGACTATTTGTGTTTTTAACTTATGGCAATACTGTTATTTGCATAAGTGCAATAAGAATCTGTTCTCATTTGTAACAGGGCACAGTTGGAGAAACTGGTTGTTTTACTATGGCTTTGACTGGAATGGTGTGCTTTTCTTTAAGAAATCAAACTTGACATATGGAGCCAAGAAAAGCCACTGGGAAAACTGAACATATTTCATGTACACAGTCCCTGTACATGAACATATTTCATGTACACAGTCCCTGTAGAGGGTTTCTGACCTATGGTAAGTAAAGAATGTTACTTTCTGACAGGCCCAGGAGCCCCAGGTTTATATTGAAATCTCAAGAGGAGAGGATCACCCAACCTCATAGATATTTGATGGCACAAAAACATGGCTGGACTGGGCTTTTAAAAAGTTTTATCTGAGGTCCTTTCTATGGAACAAACTTCCAGCAAAGCCTATTTAAAAACCTATGTAAAAAGTATTCTTGCTGCACTGTATACAAATAATTAGGCCAAGTATAATAAAACTAACCAGTCCTACCATGATTTATCTTTAGCAAAAATGGGAAACTGGAGAGAGAGAAGTTATGTTTCAAAAATTATAGTACCCTTGTTGTTAGATTCTAGTCTTGTCCAATGTTTTTCACATTTTATTATTTTCTACAGTTTAGACAGAATTCTAATTTTTCTTGGCTATGAGTCTTTGAAATAATGTTTTCTTTTTTTTTTTTTTTTTTGCTTTTTTCCCATTTTTTTCTAATTTGGAGTCACTGAAAACTAAGCTGTGTTTTTGTAAAGCCCTGTGAATTGAAACTAGAAAACTTAAACTTCAGAAGAAAATAACAGCAACCTATTTATTTATACAAGCCACTTTCATAACTGCCTACTGATGTATAGACTTCAGAGTAAAGTGGCCTATATAAATTTTCCAGGATTGTCCTTTGGTTTGTTGTTGTTCTTCTCCCTCTCTCCCCCTATTTTCTCTTCATAGGACACTGTAAGGTATTCTGTTACTGGCTGGATCTCAGTGCCTTAGAGTAAATGGCAAGCTGAATGTCATCCAGTTCACAAGATTCTAATCATGACTGGCTGGCATTTATAGGTCATGCCAATAAAGGAGTTAAAAAATGACAAATGTAACTGGATCAGAGAGCATCTGTCTCCCATTCACTATCAATTAGAAACAAAATTATAGATTCCGAATTTTTTTCTAAATTGGTATGTATTTCAAATTTCTATACCCACCAAAACAGTCTCTGCAATGCAATTAGAAAAGGTATTTGAAAACTCATTTAGGACGAGGAGAGAAGGCAACTTTATTTTCTCTATATATGCATTTCTAGATGTTTTTTGCAGTCTTTCTTTCCAAAGCTTAATATTTTCCTCTTAATAAAGATAGACTTGAGTGAAGAAGAGGAAACAAATTTTTAACTTGGCTTCCAAAGACGCAATACAGCATGAAGAAAAATGGGTGAAGGATTTGAGCTCTTTGTGAACAATTATGACAAAGCTAAATCTTGTGGAATGTTTCAATTCCTTTCTTTTGAATTGTTACTGACAAAGCCAGTCCCCCAAAATATAGAGTCTTTCCCTGTTTGGTGTTGCAAAGTCAATAAATAAAACTGAAAGTGAGTGCCAAGAAATACAGGGTTTATTTAATGGCCATGGAATTGAGAAGTGAGAATATGGTTCACAAATCAACTTCTCCACTAGTGAGGGGTGAGAGAGTTAAAATATAGGACTTCTCTAATGAAGGGGCTGGACATTAAAAGCAAGTGGGGAATATTTATGTCTTTTCTAGAAATGGACGGTGAACTTCCCAGAACCTGAGTGTTACCTTCCTTTTGTCTTTTCATAACTTCTTCTGGTCACTGTCATGGCAATTGTCAATTGTCATGGCACTGGTGGGAGTGACATTTAGCATGCAAATTAGATTATAATGAAGCCTGAGGTCTTTTTGTAGTCATTTGGTTTGCTATCTTAGTTCTAACCCGTCTCAGCTGGTCTGGTTGCCATGAGGACTTTTTGTCGCAGGTGTCATGTTTCTTAAAAATAAGCAGAGTTAGGGCAGGGTAGAAATTTAGCTATGTCATATAATAGGCATTACACTGGGTAACAATATCAATGACTGGTTAAAATTTAGTGATATATTTTAACTGTTAATAAACATAGTCCTGTGTGTTATGGAGGCACACCTAAACAATATAAAAATTAGTTTCTGTCCCTGCAGAAGAAAATAATGAGATTTGAGAGAGAAGGAGGAACATTTAAAGATAAACTAATCAATAAGTACAGATTCATATTTGGCACTGGGAAATGAATGTAAATGGAGTTCTTAGTGAACAGAAGGGGGATCAATCATGGAAGGCTTTTGAAATAACTGTTGAATTTCTTACCTTCTATCCAAACCTACCACCAGGACACTAGTCCAGTTGGCCATTGTTTCACATAGGCTACTGAAAGAGATGCCTAACTTGTGTTAATTTCCCTTGTTCTGCATCCCTATTGATTCCCCACATGGTAGTCAAACTAGATTTTCTACAATATAAATTTTATACACTTGTCACTCCCTTTCTTAAACCCTTATAGAGCTTCTCATTTCTTCCAGGATAAAATTCCAGCTCCTTATCATCTGCCTCCCACAAAACCTCAAAAAAATTCTTTTATGGTATGATCATAAAAAGCCTATTTATTCTTCCTTATGTCTTATTTTTCCCATTTTTTATATCTACTTAACAAATATTTATTTAACACCTACTATGTGTCTGTTTTACATGCTGTTTACAAAGCACTGTTTTACATGCTGAAGATACAACAGATATAAAAACATTTAAAAAATATTCTATACTCACTAACATTACATTCAAGTAAACAGTGGAAGAACATACACAAAAATAAGTACCTAAAGCATTTAAGTTCCCAGATGGTGATAAATTCTGTGTAGAAAAAGCATGGAAGAGGCATTGAAAGCATCAATATAAAAGGGTTACAATTAAAAGTAAAGCATGACTAAAGAGGTGACATTTAACAAAAGACTTAAAAGAAGTACAGCTATGTAGATGAAGTGCATTCCAGGAACAGGAAACTGCAAGTTCAAAACCTCTTGGGCAAAATATTTTTTGATATATGTAAGAAAGAGCAAGGGGTCAGTGTGGTTGGAGAAGCATGAGTGAGGGTGACAGTAATAGGTGAGATGGTCAGAGAGGGGGCAGTTTGTATAGGACCCTGTGGGCCATTATGATAACTTGGCTTTTCTTCCTAGTGAACTGGCTAGCCATCACACATTTTGAGAAAAAAAAATGATATGATCTGACTTGACTTGCTTTTTAAATCTTGTTTCAGGATGTTGGAGCAAGGTGGTGGAATAGAAAGCTCCACCGATCATCCTCCCCAGAAAGACATCAATGTAACAACTATCTACACAGATGAAACACTTTCATAAGAACCAAAAATCAAATGAGTACTTATAGCACCTGGTTTTAGCTTCATATTGCTGAAAGAGGCACTGAAGAGATAAACAGTCCTGAATCTCTGATGCTACCCTTCCCCCATGCCCTGCAGTGGTGTTGTGGTGTCTAGAGCATCTTTGGGCACTGAGGGAGGGAGAACACAGAAATTGTAAGGCACTGAATGCGGTGCTATCCTGTTAGAGCAGTAAGGAAAGTCAGACCAAATTCAGCTGATGCCTGCCTAAAGGATAATTTAAACCAGCCCTAGCCAGTTGGTTGCCTGTGAAAGAATATAGACCCAGAATTTTTTCTTTAGTTGGAGATTTTTGTGTAAAATTTTTAAAATGGATATGAAACTATTCAGGGTATCTATTTCTTTCTGGAGTAAGTTTTGGTAGTTTGTTTCTTTGAGTAAATTAGTCTATTTGTTCTGAAATGTAAAATTAATGGGCATAAAGTTGTTCTTAATATTCTACTTTTATTCTTTAAATATCTGTAGGCTCTATTGTAATGTTCTGCCTTGTGTTTCTCATATAGTTGATTTATATATTTTTTCTTTTTTAATCGTGATAGAAATGTACGAATTTACTAATCTTTTCAAAAAGTCTTTGAGTTACTTTATTGATTTTCTGCTTTCATTTTCATTGATTGGTGATATTATCTATATTGTTTCATTCTGTCTGATTGCTTTGGATTTATTTTGCTCTTATTTTTCTAATTTTTTAATGTGAAACTTTAGGTCATCGATTTGAGGCATTTATTTATTTTTTTTAGCATGAGCATTTAATACTATAAATTGATCTTAAAGCACTGCCTTACTTTGCATTCCAGATATTTTGAATTGTGTTTTAATTTACATTGAACTATTAATATTTTTAAACTTTCCTTGGGACTCTGCTTTGACCCATGAGTTACTTTTTCCCTGGATAAGATAGATATTTAATGAATTTATATTGAGAATAAAAAAAAAGTTGAGCTAGTGGATTTTTAAAAATTATTATACATTCAGGAGGTGCAGGTTTGTTACATGGATATATTGAGTAATGCTGAAGTTTGGGCTTCTAGTAAACCCATCCCCCAAATAGTGAAAGTGATACCCAACAGGTATGTTTTCAACTCTTGATTTTCTCCCACCTTCCCCACTTTTGAAGTTCCAAATGTCTATTTTTTTTTTTTTTTTTTTTTTTTTTTTTTTTTTTTTTGAGACAGTCTCACTTTGTCGCCCAGGCTGGAGTGCAGTGGCGCGATCTCGGCTCACTGCAAGCTCCGCCTCCCGGGTTCACACCATTCTCCTGCCTCAGCCTCCCGAGTAGCTGGGACTACAGGCACCCGCCACCATGCCCAGCTAACTTTTTTTTTTTTTGTATTTTTAGTAGAGACGGGGTTTCACCGTGTTAGCCAGGATGGTCTCGATCTCCTGACCTCGTGATCCACCCACCTCGGCCTCCCAAAGTGCTGGGATTACAGGCGTGAGCCACCGTGCCCGGCCCCGAGTGTCTATTATTTTTAATTTAATGACCACATGTACCTATTGTTAAGCTCCCACTTATAAGTGAAAACATGCAGTACTTGATTTTCAACTTCTGAGTTATTTCACTTAGAATAATGACCTCCAGCTCCATATATGTTGTTGCAAAGAACATTATTTCATTATTTTTTATAGCTGAATAGTACTCATTGGTGTATATGTACCACGTTTTCTTTATCCAATCCACCATTGTTGTATATTTAGGTTGATTTCATGTCATTGCTTTTGAGAATAGTGCTTTGATGAACATTTGAGTGCATGTGGCTTTTTGATCAAATGACTTTTTTTCCCCTTTGGATAGATATCTAGTAATGAGATTGCTGGGTCAAATGGTAGTTCTATTTTTAATTATTTGAGAACTCTTTATATTGTTTTGAATAGAGGTTGATCTAATTTACATTCCTACCTACGTGTATAAATGTTACCTTTTCACTACATCCTTGCCAATTTTTTTGACTTTTTATATATTTTCATTTTTATTATTTATTAAAAATTGCTATGATAATAAGATTATCAACCAAGCATATGGAAAATTTTCCTTTTACCTTTTTCTCCCCCTTTTTAAGCAGCTGATTCAGCTATAGTTTAAGGAAGGGAATTAGCAGACTCCAGTATGTTATTTTGCAGTCATCATGGGCTAGATTCCCTCTCTTTATGCAGGCATCATTCAGAATCATACTGTCATTAAGAAGTACTAAGTGGATCTATGGTTTATGTCGACTTTTGTTCCCAACACAGGTCACTTTAATCCTCAGTCTTCGTTACTCATCCGAGCTGCTATATTTGTATATCACACTTTCTGTAGGAGAAAGTTCTGTATTTGAAGGTAACCTTGGTCACAGTAGTAAAGCTTCCTTTTCAACAGGTGTGGTAGTTGTTTCACACCCCCTCCTGAGTGCTACGCTAATTAATCAACTTGCTCTCTCCTTCTTAATGCAATGGAATAACCCTGTTGAGTTCACCATGCCACTGGTGACAGCATCCTCAGCATGTTGATCACCTCAAACAAATGGGAAGTGGTTTCTAAAATCCTGTCATCATTTTACCCATTCGAAAATTTTAGAAATGTAGTTTTATATTTCATTGAATAGGATGGCATGTTAGTGTGGTGTAATACAATCCTGATGACCTTGCAGGATTAAAAAAAAAAATCTTCTATTTTAGGTTTATGGGCATATATGCAGGTTTGTTATATAGGTAAGTTCATGTCACAGGGGTTTGTTGTACAGATTATTTCATCACTCAGGTACTAAGTTTAGTAGCTAACAGTTCTTTTTTCTGATCTTCTCTCTCCTCCCACTCTCCACCCTCAATTAGGTCACAATGTCTGTTGTGTCCATGTGCTCTTACCATTTAGCTCCCACTTAAAAGTGAGAACATGCAGTATTTGGTTTTCTGTTCTTGCTTCAGTTAGCTAAGAATAATGGCTTCCAACTCCATTGATGTCCCTGCAAAGGACATGATCTTGTTCTTTTTCATAGCTGCACAGTATTCCATGGTGTATATGTCCCATATTTTCTTTATCCAGTCTACCATTGATGAGCATTTAGGTTGATTCCATGTCTTTGCTATTGTGAATAGTGCTGCAATTAACGTATGCATATGTGTATCTTTATGACAGAACAATTTATATTCCTCTGGGTGTATATCAAGTAATGGGATTGCTGAGTCAAATGGTAGTTCTGTTTATAGTTCTTTGAGAAACTGCAACACTGTTTTCTAGAATGGTTGAACTAATTTACAGTCCCACCAACAGTGTATAAGAGTTCCTTTTACTCCACAACCTCGCCAGCATCTGTTATTTTTAAATATTTTTGTAATAGCCATTCTGACTGGTGTTAGATGTTGTCTCCTTGTGGATTTGCATTTCTCTAATGATCTGTGATATTAAGCTTCTTTTCATACACATGCTGGCCACAGGTAAGTCTTCTTTTGAAAAATGTTTGTTCATGTTTTTTGTCTACGTTTTAATGGTTTTTAAAAATCTGTTTAAGTTCCATATAGATGCTGGATGTTAGACCTTTGTCAGATGCATATTGTGCAAATATTTTCTCCCAGTCTGTGGTTTGTCTGTTTACTCTGTTGATAGTTTCTTTTGCTGTGCAGAAACTCTTTAGTTTAATCAGGTCCCATTGTTAATGTTTATTTTTGTTGCAATTACTTTTAAGGATTTAACCATAAATTCTGTGCCAAAGCCTATGTTGAGAAGGGTATCTGCTAGGTTTTTATCTAGGATTTTTATAGTTTGGGATCTTACATTTAAGTATTTAATAAATCTTGAGTTGATTTTCATATATGATGAGAGACAGGGTGTCCAGTTTCATTCTTCTGCATATGATTTGCCAGTTATTGAATAAAGAGTCCCTTCCCCATTGCTTTTTTTGTTGATTCTGTTGAAGATCAGATCGTTGTAGGCATGCCATTTTAATTCTGGGTTCTCTAATCTATTCCACTGGTCTGTGTGTTTATTATTATACCAGTACCATGCTATTTTGATTACTGTAGCCCTACAGTATTGTTTGAAGTCAGACAATGTGATGCTTCTGGATTTGTTCTGTTTGCTCAGGATTCTTTTGGCTATTTGAGTTCTTTTGTGGTTCCAAATGAATTTAATAATCGTTTTTCCTATGTCTATGAAAAGTGATGTTGGTATTTTGATAGGATTAGCTTTCAATACGTAACTTGCTTTGGGCAGTATGGCCATTATAATTATAGTGATTCTACCAATCAACAAGCATGAAATATTTCTCTATTTATTTGTTTCATTTCAGATTTCTTTCAGCAGTGTTTTGTAATTCTCCTTGTAGACAACTTTGATCTCGCTGGTATGATAAATTCCCAGGTATTTCGCTTTCTTTGTAGCTATTGTAAATAGGATTGTGCTCTTAATTTGGTTCTCAGTTATAAAGTCTTTGGTGTATAATAAAGCTACTAATTTTAGTACATTGATTTTGTATCATGAAACTTTCCTGGATTCATTTATCAGTATCAGGAGACTTTTCTCAGAATCTTTAGGGTTTTGTATGTATAAAATCATATCATCAGCAGAGAGGGATAGCTAGTCTTCTTTTTCTATTTGGATGCCTTTTATTTATTTCTCTTGCCTGATTTCTCTTGCGAGGACTTCCAGTACTATAATGTATAGGAATAGTGATAATGGGCATCCTTGTCTTGATCCAGTTTTCAAGGGAAATGGTTCCAGCTTTTTCCCATTCAATATGATGATGGCTGCAGGTTTTTCATAGATGGCTGTTGTTATTTTGTGGTATGTTCCTTCAATGCCTAATCTTTCGAGGCTTTCTGTCATGAAGGGATGTTGGATTTTATTGAATGTATTTTTTCTGTATCTATTGAAATAATCATGTGTTTTTTATTGTTGATTCTCTTTATACAGTGAATTACCTTTATTGATTCACATATATTGAACCAATCTTGCATCTCAGACATAAAGCCTATTTGATCATGGTGAATTAACTTTTTGATGTTCTGCTGTAAATGGTTTGCTAGTATTTTGTTGAGGATCTTTGCATTTATACTTATCAGGGATACTGGCCTGAAGTTTTGTTTTTTCATTGTGTCTTTTTCTGATTTTGGTATGAAGATGATGCTGGCTTTATAGAATGAGTTAGG